>NC_000001.11:66220501-66523531 GCF_000001405.40 Homo sapiens | reverse complement strand
TGGACACAGTCCCCTTGGAAAATGTTGGGAGGAAGACTTGCAGTATAAAATTTTTGTAAGTGTAGCAGAGCCTTTACTCACAGTGACCTAGTGTATTAGTTTTCTATGGCTGCCATAATAAATTACCACAAATGTAGTGGCTTAAAATGACACAAAGTTTTAGAGGTCAGGAGTCCGAAATGGGTCTCACTGGACTAAACATGATGACATCTCTTTGGTTCTGACTCTTTTGTCTCACTCTTCCTTCTTTAAGGACCCTTGTGATTACATTGGACCCCCCACCCCAGATAATTCAGGGTAATATTATTTTGAGTTCAGCTAATTAGAATACCTTATTTCCATCTGTAACCTTAGTTTCCCCTTTGCCATGACATATTCATTTGTTCTGGAAATGAAGATGTAGATACCTTTGGAGGCCATTATTCTGTCTACTATATCTTTTAAAAAGGGATCTAGATCTATAATACGACTCAAGTCTGAGAATTTGTTGAGGAAGCATGACTATCAATTGTAGTGATTCATGTTGGACCTCTGTCTCCAGACCAATTTTTGGGTTTTATGTGTTTATTTTGCTTATACAACACAAATAAGACTTTAGTAGGTAGTTCATTATGGTCCTAGGAACCCCATGATAAATTAGTTCTCACCAAAGATTTCTATAGGCCAAATCATTCTGATCACTTCTTGTACCTTGTTGCTCTGGGATCCCATCACCTATTTAATTCAAGGGGCTCATTTCCATGGCAGCATCACTTATTTCTTTGCAGAGAACTGCCACTATGGAGCCTTTTTATGGATGTTGATGCTGCCTTTGCCAATTTATTTCTCAAAGCCTTGATGAAGTGTGTGTACTCTGGACCCTCCCAGGTGACATAACTAGCAGGTGGGTAAGAAGCTCATTCATAATAAATCTACTCCAGCATTCACATCTCCATAAACCTTTGGATGTTCTTTTCTACAATAGTAGTTCTCAAATGGGGTACACTTTGCTCTCCAAGAGGACATTTGACAATGTCTAGGGACATTTTTTATTATCATAACTTGGGAGAGGTGCAACTGGCCTCCAATAGCTAGGAATATGGCTAAACATCTACAATCCACAGTCCCAATGACCAATTTTAATCCCCACAAAGAATTATCTAACTCTAAATGCCAATAGTGCCAAAACTGAAAGCCTTGCTCTATAGTATAGCAAAAGAGTTTTGATATCTTAGCTTCATTAACTATAAGCCACTATTGAGCCCAGATTTCAGTCAACCAATCAAGAACTGTTAGAATCATTCCTAGCTACTTGAGATAGTACACTGAATTCATAATCTCTAGTTAATGCATCCATATTAAATTCAGTCTGACCCAATATTATATTCCTCCCACACTGGTCTAACACCCTTAAGGACTCTTCTCATCCGTATTTTACAAGTTTCTGTTGATATAAGCTGTCAAACTTTTGCGCTTAATACCTGCCCATCTGGTGTACACTGGGATTTGAGTCATATTAAAGGTCTAGAATCAATGGAATTGGTGGGGGTTAGTCTTAAAGATCAGCACTCACTTATAAGAAAGCTATCCCTGGAGTAGTCATTAGCCTGTGAGCAAGATGAGTCACCCTCTTACACAAGAAAGGGAAGATTGCTTCTTCTGGCAGGGAAAGTGCAGGGAAATATGGAGGTTTCAGGTTTTTAGCTTAATCACAATCTGGTCAGATATCCTCTTCCCAATTTTATGGGTCCAGTTCTTTCCCAATCAATGTCCTCAATTTAACATGAGAGACCCTGAGTGGGTGTGAATTCAAATTGTATCGTAGTTCAGCCACCCACAGGATTTCAACTCTGAGGCTACAGAAGATAGAGTTTCTTTTGGGACAGTTTTAGTTTTCTGATTTTTTACGTAGCCTTGAGCTGGATTTTTTAGAGTCTTAAGTGCATTATTCTTTCCCACCCCCAAGTTCTTTATTACATTTAGAAGCAATCATTTCATCCCACAGCCATTATATACATGTTCTATTGCAGCAACTTACGTCTTTGACTTCTATTGGTACTTGACTCCAGATGACTACAGTGATAATTTAAGTAACTATTTTGCCACTGCCTGCTGTAATGATGCTCATTGATGCTGAAAATGAAGGTTATTAATATCTTTTTATCTAATGGGGTGAGAGAACCAATAAAAGATCCCTATCCATAAATTTATATGTGCCTGAGACTACTTTTAATACCCAAAGTTGCATTAGTTTGGGGTTGGTTGGGAAAATGGAGCCATGACAAGTGTTATAAGAATAAGTATTTTAATATGGGAATTAGAGTTTACAGAAATTGTTAGGATCTACAGGGTTTGAAATATCTGGAGTGTTGAAGCTGGGCAATTGGAGAAATTTTTTATTGTGATATTAGGGAAAGCACTGGAACAGAAAGCTGCCTCTTGTGGGAAAATCTGTAAACTACTGCAACTTAAAAGTAGCTTGTGAAGTCTGGAAGCCTGTCATGTAGGATGGCCATTATCTTCCAAGATAATAGTTTCTGCTTCACGTCTGCTTTTCAAATCTCACGCAAGTTTCTTTCACTGGCAAATTTCTAACCCTGAAATTTACAGGGATAGGAATTTTGAGCATTATAGTTTTCAGCCTTAAGAGGGACTGATGGTGATGGTTCCAAGTTGCCAACAACAAATGTCGCACACTCATCAATTTTATAGTTACTTGCAAATCTCCATTTTCAAACCACCACATGTAACAACCCTAGAGTTTTAGTGCACACGTATTTGACTTCGGTGTGCTTTTGAATATTCCTCCTAGCATCGGTGGATTACTTCTTAAAATGAACTGCTGAGCATTTGATCTCAGGACATGTTTTAATTTTGATTGTCAGTTCATTACACTGGTTCAGGGGACCACATTTCTGAGTCATTGGTTTATATCTTTGAACTTAATTTTGACTTTGATATGCTTTGGGTTTTTGGAAACCAAGTCTCCATAGGTAGGTAGGAGGCACTCTGCTTTTCCTTTCCTCTATGGGCCACCACTCACACTGATTTTAGTTCAAACATCACTTCTTTGGTGAAACTTAGCCTGACTTCCCATAGATCTAATCTGCTCTGTCAGAGCAGATTAGCTATACATTCTCATAACAGCACTGTGTAGTTTTTATAGTGCTTTTATGGTGTGCAGTTATATATTAGTGTGATTATTTGATAAATGTCTCTAACTCCTACTAAACTGTAAGTCTCAAGAGTACAAAGACTCTATTTTGTTTGCTTACCATTACACTCTTTTGCTTACTATTACATCACAGTGCCTGACACACAATCGGCATTCAGTAAATATTTGATGAATTTGTCATTTGATAGCACCATAGCATCCCTTGCAAAGGTGACGGCATGATATAAAGAAAGGAGTGCTAATAGACCATCAGGAGAGCTCTGTTCTAGTTTCACCTCGGTTGCTATCTTGTTGGATGACCTTGGGTGGATGACTTAAACTTCTCAAGTTTCAGTTTACTCATCTGTAAAATGAAGCAGTTGAACCAGAAGGAAGGTTTATGATGTTTCCAAGTCTATACGTTCTTTGTATGACAAATATTGTAAATTTAATTTTCTTAAAATGGGATGTACTGTCATATATTTACATTGAATATGGGGGATGCAGCAAATGGAGGATATTGAGTCCAAATGTTTAGCTTGGGTGACTGCTGTTTTTTATATAAACAATAGCAATCAAAGTCTATGGTATGTATGAAGCAGGAATCTTTCTTTGGATTCAGGATTAATAACGTATTCCTTATTTTTACTCATTTTTGTTCATTTGGTCAGTTTTATGGATTCCATTTATAATACAATTCTTCCTGGAAGGTAGCAGCAGGTTTTAGTGGCAAAGGCCTGGGCTTAGAAATCATATAGATCTGGTTTTTCATTCTGATTCTTCCTACTAGTCACCTGATCTCGGTGAAATAACCACCTCTATGAGTCCCTGATTCCTCTTCTATAAAATGAGAATGACTACCTATAGAAATCTTTCTTTTTTTTTTTGAGATGGAGTCTCGCTCTGTCGCCCAGGCTGGAGTGCAGTGGCACGATCTCGGCTCACTGCAAGCTCCGCCTCCCGGGTTCATGCCATTCTCCTGCTTCAGCCTCCGGAGTAGCTGGGACCGCAGGTGCCCGCCACCACGCCTGGCTAATTTTTTGTATTTTTAGTAGAGACGGGGTTTCACCGTGTTAGCCGGGATGGTCTCGATCTTCTGACCTTGTGATCCGCCCACTTCAGCCTCCCAAAGTGCTGGGATTACAGGTGTGAGCCACCGCACCCGGCCAATTACCTACAGAATTCTTAATGAGGATGAAATCAGATCACCTTTGTGAATACCCAAGCACAAATGCTGAAATATGAGAGGCACTCAAAATATTGAATTGAATTTACAAATGAGGAAGTTGAGGCAACAGGGAAATTGTGTGTGAGTGTGTGTGTGTGTGCGTGTGTTTTGCCCAGGCTCATACAACTAGAGTACTTGTTTCTCAAGTCTGCATGGATCCTCGGTCTATCTGGCAATCAAGTGAAAAAGGAAGGTGATGAAGTATGAAACAAGATCATCCAGAAAAGAAGCCATGTGAATACAAATAGTAATATCATAGGTGGCATAAACAGTTCTCAGTACCTAAAAGGACACTGAACACTAAGAACACTGAGCACTTTGTTTTTTATTCCTTTAATCTTCTTTAATGTCTATTTTGGAACCGCATGGAGCACAGTGAACTGCATGTTTTATACAATCAGACTGTCAACAAGTTAATTCAAAATGCAACACAATTTTCTTTTTTTATGAGAGAGTTTAACTGTATTGACCCCCAAATAACAGATATTACTGGGGCACACCTTTCAATAAAAGCTATTTATAATTATTTGACTATTAAAAAGCTTCTTAATTTAACCCAATATCAACATATTCAATTCTGAATTTACTGTTAACGTTCATTCTAAATTTGATCAAAATTGTTAGTGAATTGCATCTTCAAATAAATGGAATTTACTCTCTAATTACACAGCCCACAAAAATGAGCTAAAACCAGTCCTTTAAAGAACTTTTATTTTAAGTTCAGGCATCACGTGCAGGTTTGCTATATAGGTAAACTTATGTCGGAGGGTTTGTTGTACAGATTATTTCATCACCCAGGTATTAAGCCTAGTACCTATTAGTTATTCGTCCTCATCCTCTCCCTCCTCCCATCCTCCACCCTCTGCTAGGCCTCAGTGTGTATTGTTCCCTTCTATGTGTCCATGTCATCTCATTATTTAGCTCCAACTTATACGTGAGAACAAGCGGTATTTGGTTTTCCATTCCTGTGTTAGTTTGCGAAGGATAACGGCCCCCAACTCCATCCGTGTTCTTGCAAAGGACATGATCTCATTCTTTTTGGTGGTTGCATAGTATTCCATGGTGCATATGTACCCCATTTTCTTTATCCAGTCTACCATTGATGGGCATTTAGGTTGATTCCATGTCCTTGCTATTGTGAATAGTGCTACAATGAGCATATACTCACATGTGTCTTTATGATAGAACAATTTATATTCCTTTGAGTATATACCCAATAATGGTATTGCTGGGTCAAACAAATGGCAGTTTTGTTTTTAGATAATTGAGGAATTGTCACACTGTCTTCCACAATGGTTGAACTAATTTACACTCCCCAAAACAGTGTATAAGTCTTTCTTTTTCTCTGCAACCTTGCCAGCATCTGTTATATTTTGACATTTTTGTAATAGCCATTCTGACTGGTGCAACATGGTATTTCATTGTGGTTTTGATTAGCATTTCTCTGATGATTAGTGATGCTGAGTTTTTTTTCATATACTTGTTAGCTGCATATATGTCTTCTTTTGAATACTGCCTGTTCATGTTCTTTGCCCACTTATTAATGCGGTTGTTTGTTTCTCTTGTAAATTTGTTTAAGTTCCTTATAGACACTGGATATTAAACCTTTGTCAGATGCATAGTTTGCAAAAATTTTCTCCTATTCTGTAGGTTGTCTGTTTATTTGTTGATAGTTTCTTTTGCTGTGCGAAGCTCTTTAGTTTAATTAGATACCATTTGTCAATTTTAGCTTTTATTGCCATTGCTTTTGGTATCTTTGTCATGAAATCCTTGCCTGTTCCTGTATCCAGAATGGTATTACCTATGTTGTCTTCCAAGGTTTTTATAGTTTGGGGTTTTACATTTAATCCATCTTGAATTAATTTTTGCACACGATGTAAGGAAGGGGTCCACTTTCAATCTTCTGCATATGGCTAGCCAGTTATTCCAGTACCATTTATTGAATAGGGAGTCATTTCCCCCACTGCTTATTTTTGTCAGTTTTGTTGAAGATTGTATAGTTATAGGTGTATGGCCGTATTTCTGGGCTCTCTATTCTGTTCCATTGGTTTATGTGTCTGTTTTTGTACCAGTACCATGCTGTTTTGGTTACTTTAGCCCTGTAGCATAGCATGAATTGGGTAGTATGACGCCTGCAGCTTTGTTATTTTTACTTAGAACTGCCTTGGCTATTTGAGCTCTCTTTTGTTTCCATATGAATTTTAAAATAGCTTTTTCTAGTTCTGTGAAGAATATCATTGGTAGTTTAATAGGAATAGCATTGAATCTATAAATTGCTTTGAGGAGTATGGCCATTTTAAGGTTCTTCCTGTCCATGAGCATGAAATGTTTTTCCATTTGTTTGTGTCATCTCTAATTTCTGTGAACAGTGTTTTTGTAATTCTCCTTGTAGAGATCTTTCACCTCCCTGGTTAGCTGTGTTCCTAGGTATATTATTCTTTTGGGGGCTATTATGAATATGACTGCCTTTCTGATTTGGCTCTCAGCTTGACTGCTGGTGGTGTATAGGAATACTAGTGATTTTTGTATGTTGATTTTGTATCCTAAGACATTGCTGAAATTGTTTATCAGCTTTAGGAGCATTTGAGCTGAGACTGGGTTTTCTAGATATAGGATCATGTTGTCTGCAAACAGGGATAGTTTGACTTCCCCCCTTGCTATTTGGATGCCCTTCATTTCTTTCTTTTTACTGTTCTGACCAGGACTTCCAATATTTGTTGAATAGGAATGATGAGAGAAGGCATCCTTGTCTCGTGCTGGTTTTCAAGAGGAATGCTTCTACTTTTGTTCATTCAGTATGATGTTGGCTGTGGGTTTGTCATAGATGGCTCTTATTATTTTGAGGTATGTTCCTTCTAGATCTAGCTTGCTGAGTTTTTAACATGAAAAGTAGTTAAAATTTATCCAAAGCCTTTTCTGTATCTATTGAGATAATCATGTGATTTTTGTCTTTAGTTCTGCTTACGTGATGAATAACATTTATTGATTTGCATATGTTGAACCAACCTTGCATCCCAGAGATAAAGCCTACTTGATCATGGTGGATAAGCTTTTTGATGTGCTGCTGGATTCAGTTTGCAAGTATTTTGCTGAGGGATTTTGTATCAATATTCATCAAGGATGTGGGCCTGAAGTTTTCTCTTTTGTGTGTGTCTTTGCCAAGTTTTGGTATCAAGATGATGCTAGCCTCATAGAATCAGTTGGGGAGAAGTCCCTCCTCCTCGATATTTTGGAATAGTTTCAGTAGGAACTCTTATCTGTATATCTGGTATAATTCAGCTGTGAATCGGTCTGTCCTGGGATTTTTCAGTTAGTAGGCTATTTATTATTAACTCAATTTAGGAGCTTGTTATTGATCTTTTCAGGGATTCAATTTCTTCCTAGCTCAGTCTTGGGAGTGTGTGTGTGTCCAAGAATTTATTCATTTATTCTAGATTTTCTGTTTTATGTACATAATATTCTCTGATTTTTTTTGTAGTTCTGTGGGGTCAGTGGTAATATCCCCTTAGTCATTTCTGATCGTGTTTACTTGGATCGTCTCTCTTCTCTTCTTTATTAGTCTACCAAGTGGTCTATCTATTTTATTAATTTTTTTTCAAAAGACCAACTCCTGGATTAATTGATCTTTTGAATGGTTTTTTTATGTCTCAATCTCCTTCAATTAAGCTCTGATTTTGGTTATTTATTGTCTTCTGCTAGCTTTGGGTTGGATTACTCTTCATTTTCCAGTTCCTTTAGTTGTGAGGTTAGGTTGTTAAATTGAGATCTTTCTAACTTTTTGGTATGGGAGTTTAGTGCTAGAAATTTTTCTCTTAACACTGCCTTAGATGTGTCCCAGAGATTCTGGTATATTGTACGTTTGTTTTCATTATTTCCAAAGAATTTTGGTGTTTTTTTTGGTTTTTTGTTTTTGTTTTTGTTTTAAATGGAGTCTTGCTCTGTCACCCAGGCTGGAGTGCGCTGGCGCGATCTTGGCTCACTGCAAACTCCGCCTCCTGGGTTCAAGCAGTTCTCTGCCTCAGCCTCCCAAGTAGCTGGGATTACAGGCGCCTGCCACCATGCCAGGCTAATTTTTGTGTTTTTAGTAGAGACAGGGTTTCACCATCTTGGCCAGGCTGGTCTTGAACTCCTGACCTCATGATCCACCCGCCTCGGTCTCCCAAAGTGCTGGGATTATAGGTGTGAGCCACCGCACCCGGCCATCCTTTTTTATTTTTGCATTTTCCTTTATTTCCACAGGTTTTGGGGAAACAGGTGGTATTTGGTTACAGAGTAAATTCTTTGGTGGCAATTTGTGAAATTTTGGTGCACCCATCACCTGAGCAGTAACACTAAACCCAATTTGTTGTCTTTTATCCCTCACCCTCCTCCCACCCTTTCCTCTGAGTCCCCAAAGTACATCATATCATTCTTATGCCTTTGCATCCTCATAGCTTAGCTCCCTTTTATAAGTGAGAATATACGGTGTTTGGTTTTCCATTCCTGAGTTACTTCACCTAGAATAATAGTCTCCAGTTCCATCCAGGTTGCTGTGAATGCCATTAATATGTTCCTTTTTATGGCTGAGTAGGATTCAATCATTCCTATATACACGCACACACCACAATTTCTTTATCCACTCATTGATTGATGAGGATTTGGGTTGGTTCCATATTTTTGTAATTGCAAATTGTGCTGTTATAAACATGTGTGTGCAAGTATCTTTTTAGTATAATGACTTCTTTTTCTCTGGGTAGATACCCAGTAGTGGGATTGCTGGATCAAATGGTAGTTCTACTTTAAGGAATCTCCACATTGTTTTTTTACAGTGGTTGTACTAGTTTACATTCCCACCAGCAGTGTAGAAGTGTTCTCTTTTCACCACATCCATGCCAACATCTATTATGTTTTGATTTTTTTATTATGGCCATTCTTGCAGGAGTAAGGTGGTACCACATTGCGGTTTTGATTTGCATTTCTGGGTCATTAATGATGTTGAGCATTTTTTCATATGTTTGTTGGCCTTTTGTATATCTTATTTTGAGAATTGTTTATTCATGTCCTTAGCCCACTTTTCGATAGGATTGTTTGTTTGTTTCTTGCTAATTTGTTTGAGTTCCTGATAGATTCTGGATATTAGTCCTTTGTCAGATGTATACATTGTGAAAATTTTCTCCCACTCTGTGGGTTGACTGTTTACTCTGATGACTACTCCTTTTGCTGTGCAGAAGCTCTTTAGTTTAATTAAGTCCCATCTATTTGTCTTTGTTTCTGTTGCATTTGCTTTTGGGTTCTTGGTCGTTAAGTCTTTGCCTAAGCCAATGTCTAGAAGGGTTTTTCCAATGTTATCTTCTAGAATGTTCATGGTTTCAGGCTTTAGATTTAAGATCTTGATCCATCTTGAGTTGATTTTTGTATAAGGTGAGAGATGAGGATCCAATTTCATTCTTCTACATGTGGCTTGCCAATTATCCCAGTGCCGTTTGTTGAATAGGGTGTCCTTTCCCCACTTTATGTTTTTGTTTGTTTTGTTGAAGATCGGTTGGCTGTAATTATTTGCATTAATTTATGGTTTCTCTATTTTCTTCCATTAGTCTATGTGCCTTTTTTATACCAGTACCATGCTGTTTTGGTTACTATGGCCTTATAGTATAGTTTGAAGTTAGGTAATGTGATGTCTCCAGATTTGTTCTTTTTTATTAGTCTTCTTTGGCTATGTGGGCTCGTTTTTTGGTTTCATATACATTTTAGGATTTTTTTTGTAGTTCTGTGAAGAATACTGATTGTATTTTATGGGAATTACATTGAATTTGTAGATTGCTTTTGGCAGTATGGTCATTTTCACAATATTGATTCTACCTATCCATGAGCATGGGATGTGTTTCCATTTGTTTGTTTCATCTGTGATTTCTTTCAGCAGTGTTTTGTAGTTTTTCTTGTACAGGTCTTTCACTTCCTTGGTTCCTAAGTATGTATGTTAATTTTGTATCCTGAAACATTGCTGAATTAATTTATCAGATCTAGGAGCTTTCTGGAGGAGTCTTTGGGATTTTCTAGTTATACAATCATATCATCAGCAAACAGTGACAATTTGACTTCCTCTTTACCCACTTGGATGCCCTTTATTTCTTTCTCTTTTTTTTATTGCTCTGGCTAGGACTTCCAGTATTACGTTGAATAGAGGTGGTGGGAGTGGGCATCCTTGTCTTGTTCCAGTTCTTTAAAGGAATGCTTTCAACTTTTCCCCATTCAGTATTACGTTGATGTGGGTTTTTCATAGGTGGCTTTTATTACATTGAGGTTTGTCCCTTCTATGCTGATTTTGCTGAGGATTTTAATCATAAAGGGATGCTGGATTTAGTCAAATGCTTTTTCTGCATCTATTGAGATGATCATGTGATTTTTGCTTTTAATTCTATTTATGTGGTGTATCACATTTACTGACTTGCAGATGTTAAACCATTCCTGCATCCCTGGTATGAAATCCACTTGATCATGGCGGATTATCTTTTTGATATGCTGTTGGATTCAGTTAGCTGGTATGTTATTAAGAATTTTTGTATCCATGTTCATCAAGGATAATAGTCTGTAGTTTTCTTTTTTTTGCTATGTCCCTTCCTGGTTTATGTATTAGGGTGATACTGGCTTTATAGAATGATTTAGGGAGGATTCCCTCTTTCTCTATCTTGTGGAATAGTGTCAATAGGATTGGTATCAATTCTTCTTTGAATGTCTGATAGAATTCAGCTGAGAATCTGTCTGGTCCTGGACTTCTTTTTCTTGGTAATTGTATTAGTCAGTGTTCTCTAGAGAGACAGAACTAATAGGATGAATATATATATATATATATATATATATATATATATATATATATATATAAAATATGTAAAATAAATATATAATATATATGGTAGTTTATTACTACTTAATAAAGTATATATGATATATATATGGCAGTTTATTACTACTTTATATATATATATATATATATATATATATGGCAGTTTATTAAGTAGTATTAACTCACATGATCACAACGTCCCACAGTAGGTTGTCTGTAAGCTGAGGAAGAGGGAATGCCAGTCCGAGTCCCAAAACTGAAGAACTAGGAGTCCGATGCTTGAGGGCAGGAAGTATCCAGCATGGGAGAAAGATGTAGGCTAGGAGGCTAAGTCAGTCTCTTTTCTAAAGCATAACAAGAATCACCTTTGCTCCAGTTCCCAACAAGTTCCTCATCTACATCTGAGACCACCTCAGCCTTGATTTCATTGTCCATATCATTATCAGCATTTTGGGCAAAGCCATTCAACAAGTCTCTAGGGAGTTCCAAACTTTCCCACATTTTCCTGTCTTCTTCTGAGCCCTCCAAACTGTTTCAACCTCTGCCTGTTACCCAGTTTCAAAGTTGCTTCCACATTTTTGGGTATCTTTTCAGCAGCGCCCCACTCTACTGGTACCAATTTATTGTATTAGTCCATTTTCATGCTGCTGATAAAGGCATACCTGAGACTGGGCAATTTACAAAAGAAATAGATTTACTGGACTCACAGTTACACATGGCTGGGGAGACCTCACAATCATAGTGGAAGGTGAAATGCACATCTCACATGGCAGCAGATAAAAGAAGAGAGCTTGTGAAGGGAAACTCCCATTTTTAAAACCATCAGATCTTGTGAGACCCATTCACTATCAGGAGAAAAGCATGGGAAATATCTGTCCCCCATGATTCAGTCATCTCCCATTAGGTCCCACCCACAACACTTGGGAATTATGGGAGCTACAAGATGAGATTTGGATGGGGACACAGAATCAAGCCATATCACTCCCTATTTTGTCTGTCAGCTCCTGCATTGTTTTATTGTGAGTCTTAGCTTCTTTGCATTGGGTTTCAATGAACTCCTGCATCTCAATGATCTTCCTTCCTGTGCATATTCTGAATTCTATTTATGTCATTTCAGCCATCTCAGCCTGGTTCAGAATGCTTGCTAGAAATGTGGTGGGGTCCTTTGCAGGAAAGAAGGCACTCTGGGTTTCTGGGTTTCTGAGTTTTCAGGGTGCTTGCACCGGTTCTTTCTCACTTTTGTGGGCTGATGTTCCTCTAATCTTTGAAATTGCTGACCTTTGGATGGCTTTTCTTTTCTTCTGTTATCCTATTTGATGACCCTGAGGTTTGACTGTGGTATAAGGTGATTCAGCCAAGTGGCTTCATTTCTGGAAGATTTTAGGGGGCCAACACTCAGCTCTGAACTCCTGGACTGTGTGTTCTGACTGTGGGGGACTTTTATTGGGCCCTGACTTTGTTCCCTGACTCCTTGAGATTAGGAACCCACTGCGCTGGGGGTCCAGGGGTGAGGTACTCCCAGACTGCTGGTCATTACCCTCCAATGGGTGGTGTCAGGCAAAGTGTTTCATACTGCAGTGACAGCAGGATCCATCCTCATTTGCACGTGCCAGCAGCAGCCTCAGTGGCAGTGGGGAGGCGAATGCTCATTGGCTGCAGCAGGGCGCTAGAGTGCCTGCCTCTGTGCCTGGGTTCACCACAATCCTGGAGGCAATCCTGGAGGCCAGGGGCCCTGCTGGCAGTTGTGTGCAAGGTCATGCTGGTGGTGGTGGTGGCACAGGGGTGGGGCACTGGTGGGTGCAGGTCTGTGTGCCCTCTCTGTGCACTGTAGGCAAGGTTGATTTCTTAGGGCGTGGGAGGATCCACTCTTTTCTGTGCCTCGTTTCACTCCCCTAGTGGTATTGGCGTAAGGGGTGGGTGCTGTCAGGGGCAGGGCTGGCTGGCTCTGCACGTCAAAGCTCCCACTGCAATGGCAGTTGATGGTGGGGATGGACTGCTCCACTGCTGCAGCAGTGACAGGGCAGGGTGCACACACACACATACACACACACACACACACACACGCAGGAGGGGCAAGGAAGGCAAAACCTGCTCACCCGTGTTTTGCAAACAATGTGGACGGTTGCTTTGGACCTGGGGGAAGCTGCAGTTTTGGGAGGGAGAAGGTGGGCTGGGCTGGTGTGCAGTGGTGAGGACCACCCCACTGGAGCTCTCTGCTGGTCAGGCACGGCCCACCAGTGCAGGAGCTATGATGTGGGCCCTCAGGGCACCAAAGGCTGCCCTGCAAGCAGGCCCAGCAATGCTGGGGCCTTGGGAGAGGTCAGCAGACCAAGAGGTGCTCAGGTCAGACCACCCAGCCTAATGGGCAAGACTGCTCTGCAGAGTTCATGTCCCATAGTTCCCCTAAGGATAAAGTCTCCTTTGGGAGCAAGTCAAGCCTAGGGGGACGGCCATCTCTGGCAGCCGCTCCATTACAGATGCTCCTGCACCAAACCCTTTGGGCTTCAGGACAGCTGGTCCGCTGCCCCTCCCACTTCTCTAAGCAGCTCTCCCTGTTAATTTGAGTGTCCAAGGTGGTTGAGGGGGTCTCCTCCTGCCGGGATTCCAGAGGCCCATGGTGAGAGTGGGTTGTTCCTCCCCAGTTCAACTCACCTGTTCCCCAAGAGCTGTTGGGGGCCAGGAATGAGTCCCAGCCCACGGTAGCCCTATGGAGGGTTCCCGGCTTCCTCCCCCTTCACCCCAGCTTCTGTGTCTTCCCTCTGTCTACTCTCCGTGCTTCCCCTCTGAAGATCTGTTAGGAGTGTTCCAGTAGTTTCGGTCCCTTGGTGGTAGCTGTTCTACTTGTCTGTGTCTAGTCAGCCATCTTGCCCTCTCCTACCAATTAGCGAAAATGCTCAGAGAAAATAAGAATTTTAATTAACTGAGAAGGAGTTCTAACACCCATTTTTTTCCCTTCTCTTAAACTTAAAAATCTTTCAAAAAAGGTATTTTAAAAGTTTCTAGTTATAGTCTAAAAATATGTACATTCCTGGGATTTTTTTTGGCTGATATCTAAGGATACCTGTCTTATGATTTATTTTCAGTGATTTATTTAATCTACATATATTTTCTGAGCGTTTGCTTTAATAGAATTTTCTAGGGCTAGGAATAAAAGAACAGAAGATATAGTTTTTTCCCTCAAGATTTCAGTCTATTGTTATAAATGACTAAATATAACCCCAAAGTGATTGTTTTGTCATTGTTGTTATTTAATTATAGAAGTTTTCCTTTTTAAAATATAAAGCAGATCAGTTTCTAAAAAGTTACTCCTGCGTCCATTTGCTTATAACTCTAAAGTGTTGGAAAGGGGTCTCACATGTATTACTTTGATGCAGTTCCAACCAAATTATAGTTTGATTTGGCCCTTCGCAGTCTCTTCGCAGTTTTAAAACGGGGATCAAATTTCTACCTAATTGATGGTTATTCTCTCAGGTAACGTTTCCCAAAATAGAACAGTTAGATCAGTTTCATCTGCATTAAAAATTAGCAAAAGCCGATAATCTTCTCCTCTCCTCACCCACACAACTCATGCTCTCCAGGGCAGCCCCAGAATGCCCCAGTGTCTGTTGGCCTCATCATTACTCTTTTGGTGATGTGCAGGGATCAATAGGCCTTGAACCATTGCACATTCAAGAGCTGCACTAAAACGCTCAGCAATAGCATTTTCACCTTGCTTTGTCTTTAGGGCTTTAACAAACGTTGATCCTTCTCCTCAGTGAATATTAAGCTAGCGGGCTTCCAGTATGGATGCTGATTCTCAAGCCACACTTAGAAGGTTATCCATTCTGCCCTTAACACTTCTTTATGTCTTGCTGAAGCACTGTGCTTACTGTTGATGGCATGATTTAGTTTTTGTCCTTCAAAAATCTTTCCTTCTTACCATACTGCAAATTCATTCATTTGCAATATTCATAATCTTCTCACCACTCTCTGATGATAATATTCTCTCTCTTTTTTCTATTGTACATATGTACCTCTTACTACTAGCATTTACCTCATAGTAAACTAGAGAAATATAGGGCAATTATCTGAAAAAATTAAGGGTCCCCTTTGTGGTTCCAGTCAGGAATTTAAGGTGACTGCCATTGGCATAGCTGAATGTTTTCCCCTAGACGCTCCCAGCTGAAATGCAGATGTGGAATACTGGAGATTTGGATTTAGCCAGGATTCTGGTTTTGCCTTCAGGTAAAATAAAGAGAGAGATGGGTACGGAATTGAATATGTGCAAGTAAGTGACTATAAATATTGACATTGGAATTTGTAACTGGATAAGAAGCAAGAGAGGATATTGGGGCATTAAGGTGTTAACCTAAAAGAAAGAGGCTAAAGCACAAAATGTGATTTAAAGAGTTCACTTGAGCCAAAGTGAGGATAGCTGCCCAGAAGACTCAGACCCGGGTAACCTTGGATATAAGCTCTGTTTGTTACAAGCAGATTTTTAAAGGCAAATAAAAGCGGGTACAGGAGTGGGCTGGTGCAAAGTGGTTTGTCAGGAATTCTCATTGTTTTATAGAAATAACATTGATTAGTGATTGGCTACACATTGTTAACCTATAGGGTATGGGTTGTAGTGTCCGGTGCAGCCTTATTAGGTTAATTAATAGCTACTTGGTGCAATAGCATGCAGTTTCCAGAGATTAATGCATAGCTCTAAGGGAGGAAGTAGGACATGATTGCTGTCTCATTTTAATGCCTCTCCAAGTCTGATAATTTGAAAGGGCTCAATTGCTCATATGAAAGTTCTTTTCTTTCCTCAAAGGGATAGTAAAAAGGTAGAATGGTCAATTGAAGGTAGGTGACTTGAAGAGTCAAAAGACATTGGAACCAGCAGTCAGGGTAGAGGGAATAAACTGGAAAGATGAAAGATGGTGATCAGAGAGTGGGGTGGGGTTATGGCCGGATTGAAGTTAGGAGTCTTGACATCTACCATGTGATCTGGGGAGTAAGGTTGCTGCAGTAGGGTGAACAGCAAGATCTTTGGGGGGCAGACATTAAGGATCTGAGCAGCCAGGCTGTGAAAGTATCACATATGCATATGTTGAAATCACCAAGAGTGCAGATATAATAAGTAGTACAGACAGCATGAGAATGAACTAGGAGCTGAAGTCACCAGAAAAATGTGTGTATGGGGTAATAACCTGGGGCTCAGTAACTAATAGCTTCAATTCCTGTAGACATGATAATAATGTTACTGAAAACCTCAAAACAGAACATAACCAACAAACACACTTAAGCCCAGAAGTCAGTAAAACATTAATAGTATGAATTAAATTGAGCCCTTTGATGTTTTTATCTGATAGACAACTCACTTCTAAGAAAAGATCTGCATGATTTACCAACAAATAAAAACTACGAAAAATATCCAAAAGTCCAGGTTTCTGTATCTTCTGGTTTCTGGGTCTTCTTTTGGAAAATGGGAAGCTTTGTTAATGTCAGCCTCAAACTGACACATGGGAATAATAAACTAAAGCTAAATGCTGACTATCCAATTAGGACATACTCTTTCTAGTTTGTCACAGTCTTCACCACCCCCTCCTAATCACATCTAGCTTATCACCTAGTGACTTATCTCTCTTGACACGGAAAACTGTATCAGGAAAGTGTATCAGGAAAGTATATGAACCCCACCTTACTAGAAATCCTAGCTTTGTGCATATTTTTCCAAGTTCCTAATATTTGGAAATAGAGGTTTCAAATTTTCTTTCTTTTTTTTTTTAACATGGTCTTGTAATCATATGACAGATTCTTCTTGCCTGTGGCATAGATAAGCCCAATTCACTGAGATAGCATTATTGCAGTAGAGTTTAATTAATGCAAAGCCAGCCAAGTGGTAGAATAGGAGTTTATTATTACTCAAATCAGCCTCTTCGAGAACTCAGAGGCTAGGGCTTTTATGGGCAATTTGGAGCTAGAGGATGGGTGCTGCTGATTGGTTGGTGATGAAATCATAGGAATGTGGAAAACGGATGGTCCTCATGCGCTGAGTCCACCTCTGGGTGGGAAACACAGGACCAGCTGAGTCATGAGTCACTGGTCTCAGTCGGGTGAGTTGCCAGAATGCAAAAGTCTGAAAAATATCTCAAAAGACCAATCTTAAGTTTTACAATAGTGATGTTATCTATAGGAGAAATTGGCAAAGTCACAAATCTTGTGACTTCTGGCCATATGATTCCTGAGCATTAAGAGATTATAGAAAAACAAGCTAGGGACAATGGCTGGTTATTGTTTAGCTACACCTACATTTTAGCAGAATTCAGGCCCCTCCCGTAATTCTAATCATTGTTCTTTCATGCCAAAAATTCAGACAAAGGTGGTTTCCATTCCTGAACAGGAGGGGATCAGTTTTAGTAAGGGACTATTATCAATCATCCTTACATTAAAGTTAAACTATAAACTAAATTCCTCCCATGGTTAGCTTGGCCTACACCCAGGAATGAGTGAGGACAGCCAGCCTGTGGGGCTAGAAGCCAGCCTGTGGAGTCAGCTGTGCTAGACTTCTTTCACTGTCATAATCTTTGCAAAGGTTGTTTTAAGTTTGCTCTGTTGCCCTGGCTGAAGTGCAGCATCATGGTCATAGCTCACTGCAGCCTCAAACTCCTAGGCTCAAGCAATCTTTCCGTTGCAGCTTCCCAAGTAGCTGGGAATACAGGCACATGCCACCACACGCAGCTGAAAGTTTCAAATTTTCTACCTTAAAAATTGAAATAGGCTGGGCGAGGTGGCTCACGCCTGTAATCCCAGCACTTCCGGAGGCTGAGGCGGGCAGATCCCTTGAAGTCAGGAGTTCAAGACCAGCCTGGTCAACATGGTGAAACCCCATCTCTACTAAAAATACAAAAATTAGCCAGGCGTGGTGATGGGTGCCTATAATCCCAGCTACTTGGGAGGCTGAGGCAGGAGATTCACTTGAACCGCGGAGGTTGCAGTGAGCCAAGATTGCATCATTGCACTCCAGCCTGAGCAACAGAGCAAGACTCCGTCTCTAAAACAAACAAACAAAAAACCACAAACAACAACAACAATAACAACAAAAAAATGGAAACTTCTGAATATTTGACATGAGGCTTTTGATGTGTTTTTGTTTGTTTGTTTTTGTTTTCATGGTTAGCCTGTTTCTCTTAAAAGCAAAGTTGAGAGAAGGAAAAATACCCACATACTGTATTCTCTTTTCAGTTAGACTTTAGGTTTACCAAGTTTTACCCCACTGCCCCACCACTTCACAATTAATTATGCACATTGAGAAATTGTAACTTATATCAAATTATGTTCTAAATATATTGTTTGTTTCATGGAAGTAAAGATTAATAGCCTAAAAGGGGCTTTAAAGATTATATGTTCAACCCTCTCAATTTATAAGAGAATGGAAGCTCAAGGAGTTAAAGGAACGTGGCCAAGTTCATGCAGCCACACTGCATGGCAGAACTTAAATTCAGATTCTTTTTTTAACTCCCCCAAATTATATTTAAAGACCATAATTAGTTTAGGATTTTTGGAAATACTTTTATCATAAAAAATTGCAAAGGCAGAAGCTTACAGAGTTGAATATATTATATGTATGCCTACCACCCAGCTTTATTGAATTTTAATATGTATTTAGATTTGGAAATAAAATATTATAGGTAGAGTCGAAGCTCTTCTCCCATGTTCTCCTCCAAAATTCTCATCACTTCTGCCTTTCCTCAGAGGTAACGATCTGAAAAATTTGATGTGTTTCAGGAATTCCTTTAGGAACACTTTTAAAAGGAAATAAATTCTAAAAGTAATTACATTTACAGAGAGTTTTTATTCTTACTAAACTCAGTAAACCTTTAATGTTAATAAGAGAATGCAAATAAAGTTTGTTTACAGAAAGAAAAAAAAAACACCCAGTGGAAGGAAACTGACTGTCCGGATATGTCTTCCAGCAAAACACCAAACTGAAACTAAGTTTTACTGACTAAAGATCATACATAAGAGATCTTTTGGTTTAATAATAAGAACCAAATCCTGTTTCTCTATGAGTGAAAATGGAGAGAGATGCTTTATGGGCATGCAACCATGGAGTAACAAAACACCCTATAGCTCAAGGGGTCCTTTGCTTGGCTTAATGCTCTGTTATTGCTGTCTCAAAATTCTAGATACTTTTTAAACAAAGGGCACCATATTTTTATTCTGCCCTGAGCCTTGCCAATTATGTTGCTGGTTCTGGTTCCCAAGGCAAGTGGCAGCTAGCTACCGTCTAAGGACTCTTGAGGTGACAATGGCTGTCAAATCCACTTTGTCCTCAGGAGGGTGCTGTTCCACCTTTAATACTCAGTCCTAGTCTTAGATGCAGACTTTTTGCCTTCATTTCCCAATGTGCAGCTAAATATAAAATCAGGAATGTGTAAGTAGGATTTTAAAGTCTGAGCTACTCCAAAAGAGAAATAGACATGGAAATACAAATAGATATGAATTTGTTATCTATTTGTTGAGCTTTGACCTTGTGCCGGGTGCATGGTAAATTCTGTGTTTCTTTAATTTGTATAACACCTTATGATACAGATGTGATCATTCCCATTTTACAGATAAACTGAGAAACAGGCAGTTTAAGTATCTTCCAAAGAGTAAATAGCTAGTAAAAGGAAGAATTAGAATTTTAGCCCAGTTCTCTCTGCCTTCAGAGATCATAAGTGGAAGTTTTGTTTGTTTTTGTTTTTAATCTAGAAAGGATAATTCTAGAAACAGCCAAGTAACAATTTTTTTTCAATTTTTTTCAAATGTCATTCTCATAAAATGAGAAAGATTTTCCATGGTGCATCATGCAATTTTTGAACCCACCTTACTAATTAGATGCAAGGTCCTGTATTATTGTCCTGTTCCAATAATCATGTATCTCAAGGTTTATTTGTCCAGTGGAAAAGTTAACTATTTATTGTTATGTTAAAATGCGACCCAGTATACCTAGTACCCATACAGAAAACACATTTCCTTGCAGGAGTTTATATTATTACAGTATAAGTTGGTCTCTACTATAAAATGAAGCAATGGTAAGTACCACATTGAATATGATATTTCCTCATAGAGTTTAAAGAGCAAATCAATATCAGATTAAGAAAATTCCCTTTGTTTCTCAGTTTATCATCATAAATGGGGGTTACATTCTATTGAGTGCGTTTCCCACATCTACTGAGATTTTCATACTTTTTTCTCCTTTCTTAAGAACATAAGGTGTCCAATTACATTACTTGGCTTTTTAACATTTTAAATCTTGAATAGCTGATATAAATTCCACACAGATATTACATATTCATTTTGTTATACATTACTGAATTTGGTTTGCCAAACTTCTCTATTGTATCTTTGTTGTCTATTCAATCCATTTTTGATTTTATTTTTATAATAAATACCCTTTCTTCTACTTTCCTTGGGTTTATTCTCTTGTTTTCATTCTAACTTCTTAAGGTGAATGCATGGCTCATGTATTTTAAGCCTTCCTTCTTTTTATTTCCCAGTATTACCATTTACAGTACACAATTCCTTTAAATACAGCTTTGGCTGGACCCCACCAGTGTTTTAGTTTTTACATTCAGTATTTTGTTTTCCATTATGAGTTCTTACTTGATCCATGAGTTGTTTACAAGTGTATGCTGGAATAAAAAAAAGATTAAAAATAAAATAATCTGTAATGCAATCTGTGAAATTTTCATAGCCTTTAATTCTCTATCTTTAGCTTTGTCTAATATTCTATTCTGCCTGTCCACCGAGTTCTAATTTTAGTTATTATATTTCTCATTTCTAAAAGTTTTGTTTCCTTTTCACATCTTCTTGGTCATTATTTAATACTCCCTTGGTTCTTTAAGCATATTAAACAGCCTTTAAAAATACCTACTAATTTTAATCTATAAATCTTATCAGATCTAACTCTGCAGTTTATTGTTTCTGCTCACTCTTGCTTCATATGACTTCTGAGCTCATATGACTGGAAATCTTATCTGTATCACTTTTTCTGTGGGTGATTTAATGTGATTAAATGTAATTTTCCCTAAAAAGGATCTATTTATGTTCTGTCAGTAAGTTACCACCAAACACTACCACCATGGGACTACTTTCAACTAAATTTTTTAAATTGTTTAAATTTCAAGTTCACTGGCCACACTGAAGTGTGAAATCTTGCCCAAAGTCATGTGACAGATGGCTTGTGTTTGAGAACACTCAGAGATTTATTTTCTTTTTCTCTTTCTTCTCACGGTCAATGTGGAGAAGACAAATATCTTCACTAAAGAGCATCTTTCCTCTAATTACTCCTTGAGGATATCATTTTTCATGTCCCAGATGGAAAAAGTGGTTTCTGGACCATCCTCCCACTTGGTCTCTGGTCTCCCAGTTGAAGCATTAAGGACCAAAGCCACTTTCAAGGCAAAGAACTCCTTTATCTCTCTTGTTTCCCACTTTCTTGTCTGTTCTGGCATTCACTTTTTCTGACCTTACTTTTCTCCAGCTCAACTGTATCTTTAAAACACTTATCAAGCACTGTTTGGTGATATATACCAGAAATTTTTTCTCCAGATCGCTCAACAATTTATCAGAAACGGAAATCTAGGAATTAGCCCTTATAAAGGGAAAACTATGACAGGGACACAAAATATATTGTTTATTCAGGTACTTTTGTGTGCTAAGAAGAAAGCCCAGGTTAGCAATCAGTGACGGAAGCAAAGGGCATTGGTTAGTGAAATGATCAACTAAGAGTAAGTTTGTCTCGGACAGTGCCTCTTTCCACTTCATTTGCCCCATTTATTATTTCTCCATTTAATTTAATTTAACTTAATATTTCTCTATTTCTTTCTCAAAAGTGTTCCCATTTAGATGATTAATTATGGTCATTCTTATTAAGGAAAAATTTCTTTGGTCTGTCATGTGAAAGATTTATCTGTTGCATTTTGTTGCCATTCAATGTAAAGAAATAAAGACCCTCTTTCAATCAAGTTTTTCTACAACATAGTCTGCCTCTACCCATTTGAAATGTAAACAACTATATTTTTAGGAAGATTATGCTTCTGAAAAATGATAAAAGTAATTATGGGAAATGATAAATGATGGCTAGGAAGAAGATAATGACTGCTAATAAAGTTTTACTTGTTTGTAATAATTTGGATGTAACAGACCTTTTAATGTGTTATACAGTATTTAAAATATATGAAAGGTACAAATCTATCATAATAAACTTAAGAAATGAAATGTTACCAAAATCGATGGTATTTCTGTGTATCACCTTCCCCACATTATGCCGCCACCCACATAGAAATACTGTCCCAAATTTGGGCTTGAAATTCCAATTCCTTAAAAATACTTTTTTAAAATTTCATTTGTATGTTCCCATTAACAATGGTTTTATTTTAGCTTGATATTAATGGCATCTCATTTTATATATAGGTATTTGTGTTCATACACACATTTATATACATTCTTTTGCAACTTAATCTTTTATCTAATTATTATGATTGTGAGAATCATCCATATTTATTTGTGATGCTCTTATTCATTTATTTTCACTGCGGTTAAATTATATACTTCTTTTCCTATAGATGAATATTTAGGCTTTCTTCAATTATTATTACAAAAGTATTTGTATGAAAATTCTTGTACATGTCTCTGTATGCCCATTAAAATGTGTTTAAGTGTGTATATATATATATATATATATGAGTTGGATTACTGAATTATAGGGTATGCTTAGTTTTGATTTTACTAAATATTGCTGAATTGTCCTCAAAAGTGGTTCTACCACTGTATTTGCCCACAAGAGATGTATACCCTTTTCTCCTTGCCCACATCCTCTTCAGCATTTGGTGGTAGCAGATGTTGTAACATTTGCCTATGTGAGGAACGGTTTTAGTTTTTATTTCCCTGGAATGCAAGTTAGAGATGAGATTGAACCTCTTTTCATAAGTTTCCTCCTCTGAGATTTGCCTGTTCATCTCTTTTGGACTGTTGGGTTATTTTTTTCTTACAGATTTATAATTGTCATTTATATATTTTGAGGATAATTCTTTTATTGATTACGTGTTATAAATATTTGTGCTGTTATACAACGCCTTTTCACATGTGTTGTGTCTTTTGTGAACAGATGTGTTCAATTTTAATGTAGTAGAGTTATTGTTTACTTTCCCTTTGTGTTTATGACTGTGTCTTATTTAATAACTCTATTCCTAACTTGAGTACATAAAGATATTTTCCAATATATTCTAGGTGTTTAAAGGTTTTCTTTCCATATTTCAGACTCTATTCCATTTGGGAGTGATTTTTACGTATCATGTGAGGTAAGAATTCACTTTTATTTCTTTTTAGAGAACTTCAGTTGTTATAGCATCTTTTACTGAATCTTACTCCAACATCTCTCATGCATCAGCTTTTGGTAAACACAGGCTCTATCTCTGCACTCTCTATTCTGTTCTACTAGTCTATTTGTCTCTATACCAAAACTACTCTGTCTTTTAGTTAATATAGTTTTGTAATAAACTATTAATACCCTTTAGAGCTCTTGTGTTTCTTCAAATTTGTCTTGCCTGTTCATGGGCTTCCTCAATATAAAATTTTAGAAAAGGCTTATCAAGTGTATGAGTTTGCTAGGGCTGCCATAACAAGTACCACAGGTTGGGTGACTTAAATAATAGAAATTTATTTTCTCACAGTTCTGGCAGTTCCAAGTCCAAGATCAAGGTGAGGCAGGATTACTTCCTTTTGAAGGCAATGGGGAAAGAATCTGTGCCAAGCCTTTCTTCTTGACTTAAAGATGCCATCCTCTTCCTCAGTGTCTTCACGTCATCTTCCCTCTGTACTTGCCTGTGTTCAAATTTCCCCTTCTCACAAGGACACTGGTTCTACTGGATTAGTGAATTCTCAAATAGCCTCATTTAATGTAATCACTCCTTTAAAGACCCCATCTATAACATACAGTTACATTTGGAGGTACTTCAATATATGAATTTGGTGAGTCCATAATTCAGCCTTTAATATTAAGTTACGTGAAAACCACTGTTGGGATTTTATTTTTCATCTTTTTAAATTCATAAACTGATTTGGGAGAGAATTGACATCCTATGAGTCTTCCAATTTATGAACATGTATTTAGGGCTTCTTTAAAGTCTTTCAGTAAAATATTATAATTCTTTTCCATAAAAATATTACACAGATTTTGTTAGATTTATTTCTAGGTTTCTCATATTTTAAGTAGATACTGTGAAGTATATATTAAAAAATATATTTTTTGTTTATTTCTGTATGTGTGTGTGCTTCTTTCCCCACCTAGAGCTAAGCTCCTTGTTCTGTGAAAACTGTAAAAATCTCACTGTAATTTCTGGTGTTTAAAATAGTGGCTCAATTGATTATCTTCCCTCTGCTATCATTTAGATTCAAAGTGCCTAGTTATCGTCAACTTTTCCATGTGTCAAAGTATAAGTAATTACCAGCCAAAATAAGATCTTGATCAGCAAGAGAAAAATGTTCTTTCAACAATTCTAAAGGCCACCACTTGAAACTTCCTTGCTTGCTTGAGAATTGACTTCTTCCTAAGATGATTGACAATGGGTAGACATTCCATGTGTACAAAACTACTCTCACACAGAAGTGTGGTCCTGTTTAAAATTTTATCTTGGTAATTACTTTCTTTTATGAAAGCATTTTATTGATCTTCCCTCATATTTCCCTTAAAAATGTAACAGCTAAGAATTTTTCTGGAACCATAATATATTTTTATTAAATTTTCATCTTGATTGAGTTTATCATTACAATCGTTAGCACAGAATTATTTCTCAAGCCCTTATCCAAAAACTTAAAATACAAAAATAAGTTTGAAAACATTTTAAATGAAGACATTTTTCTAAATTAACAATGAATATATTTGGCTAGTAAACCTGTTCAAACTTGATATAGAGCATGGATAGTCTGTCAAAAAGAATAATTGAATTATAAATTTCAATAAATATTAAACAAACTTAAAATTTCTATGGGCATTGAATCTCTTAATAAAAGAGATAGTGCCCTCTGAAAGTTAGTTTTAAAACCCATGGATGAATGTCAATTTTTTGCTAGAATGAGGCAAGGATCAGCATCAATTCTTTTGCATTTTTTTTCATTTTTAAAGATGGAGGTCTGAGAAACTTTTCATATAAATACATAGATGGAAATGGAAAAAGTTTTGTTACAGCAATGTCCCTCAGTTCTTAGAATTCTTTATGAGTCACGTGACTAAAAATTATATAATGATCCATTATCAAACTATACTTAGCTAACAATTTGGGTTTTCCTTCAATTTCTTTCTCAGTCTTTACAAACAATGAATATGAAACTCACCAAACTTGCAATGCAGTTTATTACCCATTTGTGAGGGATATTCACTTTCTACACGACACTGATATTTCGAATTGTTGTACACTAATATTTCAAATTGTTGCCTTTTTGTGGTTCCCGGAAGGTGTTTACAACCTAGAGAATTTCCCATAACAATTTAGAAAAAGTGTGATATTTGCCTGTTTTTTGGGAAAGTTGAAAAGGAACAATTGACGATTTTGTGACCACAGGTGCTTTCTCAGGCACATCAACTTTAGGAAAGAGAATAAATAGAAGTTGGATATCTGAAAATCAATTCTTTTAAAACTATCCTTGTTTGAGCACTCCTTGGGATGTTGTTTATTATCCACAGGAATATGCATACCCTGCAGACTGTTGCTGCAAGTAATGAGGAGGAAACATTGACAGCATTAATCAAGGTAGTAGTATGTCCAGATCTGAGTTTTAGAAAGACTCTTGTGTTGTAGGGGAGAGAGATCAGTAGGCAGATGGTAAAGGTGGGGGGATTGGCACCAGAGGCTAAAGGAATAAAACAGAGGCCACTGACAATAAGAGCCACAGAAGGAAATTGGGGATAGGAAAGGTCTAAAATTTTGTTAGTGTGGTTCAGAACTATTAATTCACAATCTCCTTGGTGTTTTATGTCTACCCAGATTCTAAGCACTATGTAAGAAGAACCACAGGGAGCAATGGGAAATACATATGTATGAAACTACCTTGAGAACTTGTTATTTTTAAAGTAGAGTTTTCAGGAATCTCAATTCAAAAAGAAAATACAAAAAAAGGTGAATCATTTTCTGGAGCTGTGTATGTTTTGGAAGCAAGCAAAACAAATCAACATCTACTCCTATAAAAAAATTATATTGGGTAAACTGGCCTGGGCAACATGTAGTAAATCCATGCAACCTAAATCCTGTGCGTCTTTTAAAAATTATCTCTTATCTGGTCTGATTTCTGAAAACTTCTCAAATGAAGCTAAGCTATAGCAATCTCCACTTTGCGGTAATTGCCTACCATTTATTCTTACTACCCTACACTTGGCTATTCCTTTTATATTGTCTTGAAACTTCTCTTTGGGAGTTGTAATAAATTGTTATTAATTATGGACACTTGATATTTAGTTTTACTAATATTTATACCTTGTGCCACCCATGAGATTTTAAGTTAGAAGTGTTCTGAACAACTGGAGATGGAACCTAAGCCTAAGTCATCCACAGTGTCCAATACAGTGTCACACACAGCAGACTACATCACTGTCAACTAATTGAATTCTGTTTGTATCTTCCTTGTCTTCATCACTATTTAGAGGACCTGTCTTCCTTCTCCAGTTCTGTTTTAAATGTTAGCTTCTATGTTTCAACAAAACAGTCTAATGATCTAGTAAATGTGAAGAGCAGTGAAGGTGGAAGTCAGGGCTCCTTGATTATTACAAGGTTCTTTTTTAGATTCCTCTCTTCAACATCATTAAAAACAGAGTTTCTGTATTCCCCCCCAGACTTTACCTTTTGGTTGCAAAACTGAATAGGGACTTAAAAGCTCAAGGATGAAAAGAGAAACAGGAAGAAAGCATCTATTTAACTGCTACTATGTAAAGGATAATTTATACACATTATCCTATCCTACCCTACCAGCAGTCTCTTGGGAGAAGCTAGGGTGACAAAACACATGAGAATTAAAAGTCCCTACTCTCAACAGTCTGTCTTGAAGGCCCTTCCTAATCCTCAGGACCTTTTAAATCCCTGATGTCTCCAAGGCACCCAGGCAATGGAGACTCACCTATGCTTTTATACAGATATGGATCACCAGAATCAGCTCAGTGAAGTGAGCAACTTGTCTTCCTTTCTCGTAGATCACTCAAACCACAGAATTCTTTTCAACAGCTTGGAGAAGAAAATTCACTAAGATCAGGAGCTCTAAAGACCTCTGGCTAAAGTCTTGCATATAGTTGAGACTTCATCCTGCTGTGAGACAAGACTACACTAGCTTCAAAGTGTCTGGAACCAGAGAAAATGGCTTTCTATGTAAACATGGACCCCAATAATAAATTGCAAGGTGATTGTGGGCCTGTGTCTAGAGGAAAGTTGTGTAAGGCACTCCACTAGGTGTTAGGGGTACACTGATGAGCGCAGATGTGTTTTGGGGCCTTAGGAAGCTTTTGTCTAATACAGGGTTTCTCCACCTCAGCACTATTGCTATTTTGTATTGGATCATGCTTTGTTGTGGGAGGCTATCCTGTGCATATCCTGTGTAGCAACCCTACCCACCAGATGCCAGGAACACCACTGCTCCCAGTCACAACAACCAAAAATGTCTCCAGACATCACCAAATTTCCTTTGTGGAGGCATAATTGTTCCCAGTTGTGAACCACTAGCCTAATGAGAAACAGGTGGCTTTTGAAGAAGAGGAAAGCAGGTTTTTTTTTTCTCTCTCTCCTGCTGGGTATAAAGTGGGGAGCATTTCTGGTAGCAGCCATCTTAGGACCAAAAGAGGAATCAGCTGATGCTATGGGTGACACAATGGAAAGATGGAAATAATATGGGGCCCTGGTAACATGGTAAAGACTTGATTCCTGGAGTGTGCCCCACCTCTGGACCTCTAGACTCACCGTTAAGTGAGATAGTGCATTTCTATGTTGTTTAAGCAAAAGAGTTTCTGTTGCTTGCAGCTAAAAGAATCCTGATATGACCTTCTGAGTCCCCTCTTTCTTCGTCTATAAAATGATATTAATAATGCATTTTTAGTAAAGATAAAATGTCTTTTTACCTTCCCCATTTTTGAGCATATTGAGTCTATTTACCCTGTTATTACAATAAGTATATTTTATTATTGCTCTTTCAAAACACTCAGCATGAATTGCATATGTCTCTGTTTAATGCTGATACTTAATATGTACTTCAAATACTAATTTGCATCAGTTGATCTCTTCAGAGAGTGTTTCTCCAAACATACTTTGAAACTTGCTAGTCTCTAATATTTAACTTAATAATGATATGTCTTTATTTAAACCTGCAACATTCTTGGTAACCTGACTGTTCTTATCTCTTTATATGTGTATTCTCTGTTTAGATTATATATTTCCACTATAATTAAAGAATGTATTATTTCATTTCTCTCTTTTTTTTGGTGTGAAGAGTCACTTCCCAAGAGAGACCTGAGCTGAAAACTGGATCTTACAACCCTTCTAGTGGTGCAACATTAAATGTTCTTCTTATCAGTGTTGCAGCTGCTGTGCAGAAGATTTGTGATAGAAATAACTAGTGCTTATCACATTCAGCTTTCCTTTCCTTCCTGGGCACACAGGAAGACATCCCAGGCCCTTATGTCAGATGGAGCCATGTGACTAAGTTCCAGACAGTGGTCTGTGAGCAAAAGTGACATGAGTTATTTTCGCTCTGCAGCATTTAAGAGCAGGTGTGAGCTCTGCAGATTCTGTCTTTTGTGACTTTGGAAGCTCTTTGTTTGGTGCATAGACTCAGAATGGAAGGAGGCTGGATCCCTGCTTGGAAGGTGCCTTGGTCAGTTGGGCTGGTATAATACATTACAAATAGAGTGGGTGCTTATAAAAACAGACATTTATTTCTCACAATTCTGGAGGCTGAAACTCCAAGATCAGGGTGCCAGCATGATTGGGTTCTGGTGAAGGCTCTCTTCTGGGTTACAGACTGCTAACTTCTTGTATCCTCACATGATGGAGAGCAGAGTAAAAGCAAATGCTCTGATGTCTTTCTATAAGGCACTAATTTCATTCATGAGGGCTCCACTCTCATGATCTAATCACCTCCCAAAGGCCCCACCCCCTAATGTCACCAGTGGAGGTTAGGGTTTCAACTTACGAATTGTGGGGGGGACACAAACATTCAGCTTATAGCAGAAAGGAATAGCCTTGGAGAGTTGTGTGATCTAAAGAAGACTTTGTGAATGAGAAGTAAACTTTTATGCATAAGAACACTATGGTTTCTGGGGTTATTTGTTACCATAGCCAATCCCATTCTAATGCAGGAATGTACCTATTTGTTCATTTCATGTCATAAATATCCTGTGGCTACACTAAATTCCTTTTATCCATAATCATCTGGGAAAGAGATGTTCCACATTAGTGAATTTTCCAAATACCCAAATGGAATCAGTATGTTGGACAAGAATGACTTGTGATCATCTTCCCCTATCCATGGAGGCAAATTGGGGAGGTTCCATAAATATTCTGCTTAGTCTTGAAGGTTACTTCATGTAGTAAGAACAGTCTCAATTCAGTGTTTGGACTGCCACGTCGGATTTTAATCGTAACTCTGAACTCACCCATTGTTGCCTCCCCTCTCTGGGTCTGCTTAAGACTGGAGGCCACAGTGGGGATGAGGCATTGTGAGTTTCTTCTTCTCCTCCTGTTCCTGCTCATCTGGTCTCCACGCAGTACCTATAGTTTGCATATGGTGCCATATGGGAGATGAGGTAAGGGGATAGAACAGTGTTTACTTGGCTGTGTAGCTTTATGCCTTGTGTCCCAAGTGGATGGTTAAATTGGCATCGACTTTAACCATCCTAACAGGATGGGCCTAACAGATCATCAAGGCTGACTTTCTCTTGGGGTGCTTTTGTGGGCTCTATGAATGTGCTGTGCTGATTCCTTGCTCTTCCATTTCTTTTGACCTGGGCAGATGCATCCCTTTTCTAGATTATAAGACTTGTGATGACTTTCTCAGCTTCCAGGTATCTTCTTGCTTTTCTAGGTCCCTCTATTGGGTAGGCCCCAAGAAGCTCCACACTGATTGATACTCTCCTGTGAGGCCTACACATGGCCCACAGGAAACATTCTTTCATTGTTTGCTCTGACAAACTTTGGAGTAAAGGCTGATCCCAATGTGAGAGTGCCCTTCTGGCTCTGAGCCTTTAACCAGTCAGTCTCTTTATCACCCTTTAGTGAGACCTCAGTTCTTGCTTTCTTAGATATCAATATTCTTGGCATCTCTCACTTGCAGAGAACACATACATTTTCTCCAAGTGGTCCCTTTGAAGATCGCCTCACTAGACTAGATGTGAAAAGATTGCCACTTTACTTCTGCTCCAAAGTTGGGTCAGGTAGAGACTCACAGTGAGACAAATGCACTCCTCAAAGACATCTCCTTTTCTATTTTTTCTTTCTGACCCCATTTTTAATCTTTCATCTGGCTGAAGGATCTAAGAGACTTGGACTAGTTTCTCAGGATCATTTTCTTTATAAATCTACATATGGGGAGCATATAGATTTGGGCACTCTGTCTTTGGCTCATCTTGGTGTCCTGATATCTATATGGGTGCTTTAGTTGATACTAACATAGGGCAAACAATTTCCATTCTACCATCTCATTGCATGTCATTTTAAAAATGTGTTACATACTTTGCCTGTGATCTTAAATAGTTTCTAGATGACTAAAGAGTTTTATTATGCATATTAGTTATGTTTTGCCTAAAAAATCACGCCTTAAAGGAGTATGAAAGCACATAAATTTGCTTATTTCTATGACAACTCAAAATGACTCTAATAGCAATGTCACATTAAAAAAAAAAAGAAGAAAACCTGGAGTATTTACATTGAACAAAATAAGACATACGAGAGATACAAAATTATTTTTTTGAGCATTTAAAGGGTTATCTTGTGGAAGTGGGATGAGAATTATGTTGTCCTGGAGGAAAAAATCAGAAGCAATTTATGCAGAATTTTGGCTCATTTTGAGGATGAACTTTTTAATGAATAGAACTATGGCAGAGATTGGCCCTATTTTCCAAACCTATTTCTCCTCATCTGGGGCCGACATTTTGATAACATTTTCCAGACTCCCTTGCGTTAGGTGTGTGCTTGTGATTAAGTTCTGACCAAGGGTGTGTGACGTGGGCTGTTTTCAGGCCTGGCCCATGAACACCTTCTTTGCACAGTCCGCTATGCTCTTTCTTCTTCCACTGGCTTGATGCTGATGAACTTGGAAGCCTTTGAAGCTATGTGCCAAAGACGGAAGGAGCCTAGGCCCAGAATCAATATGTGGAGGGGAGCCTGTCATTAATTAGGCAACATATTTTGGATGCTATTTAACTAGATTTGAACACTTTATCTTTTATAAACACTAGCATTGCTCTAGCTAATGTAAGAACTGTCTGAAAATGGAAAGCGCTCCATTGGGAAATACAGACACCTCTCAAGACAGAGTTACATCCTAATAAACTCATTCTAAATTGAAAATGTCATAAGCTGAAAGTGCATTTAATATGCCTAATCTACTGATCATCATAGCTTAGCCTAGCATACCTTAAACATGCTCAAAACATTGTAGGCCAAACCATCATTAAGTCAGGGACTGTCTGTACTGCTAAAGGAATACTTTTAGCAAGGCTGCTTTAGACGGAATTAAACATTTGCACCAGAGTTGAATTGTACATTCTCTGAGTTTCCCCTCTAATCCTGATGTTTTTCTTATTTTATTCACCAAGGCTTTTTCTAACTTACTTCACTCATGGACATTCATTTTACAGTTGAGAGCTTATTCTCCTGTAACCATCCTTGAATCTCTCTCCTAGTTTGCTGTTCACAAAATGCTGTGAATATTTTAGACAATCAAACTTGTTAACTCTGTGCTTAAAATAACAATCAGTATGAAAAAGGCAGAATATAAATTTTAAAGTGAGAATCATTTTTAATAGATTTATATATATGCATCCAACAAAAAAAGATTAGAATGAAATACATAAAATAGCCAACAGTGGTTATTTCTGTGTGCTGGGATTACTATTGGTTAATTCTTTCATTTAAACTTTTCTGTATTCTATCTTATTTAAGATCCAAAAAGGAATTTGTCTTTAATAATCTTTAAAAAGCCACCAAATAGCTGTTAAGATTCTTTCTTAAAATAAAAAATTACACTTTAGGAGTCCATATATGAAATAAGAGTATGAGCTTTGATTTTCAGGTTTTGCAAATCTGTTATCTCCAGACAGTCAGACTCTATTGCCTGTAATTCAGATGACTGACCCCAGGCCTCCGGTTAAGCAATTCTACTGTACTGCACATATACTTGTTTTATTTATATCCATCAACCAGCTTTCATTTCTCGTTGCTCTGTAAGAAGAGAAAGCAAGGGAGAAGCTGAATTTATAGTTAATATTAGAACTACTCATCCTGCTTATGGCTCATTTCATTAACTGATTGTTTGTATACCACCTATTGTAACCTCACTTAAATCTTTGGAAAAATTATTCACAATTGAAGGCCTTAAATGAATGCTTTTTTGCGATACAGAGCTTGATGGAGAATCATTTCTTATTCCCCACAATTATAATTGGATAACTCTCATTACAGCTCTGCTTGCCTTTATTATTCCCTGGTTCCCACTTTACCTTTCAATTACCTTTCAGTTTACTTGTTTTCCCCTGAAAATCAGCAGCTATCATTTTATATAGTTTTAAGAGAAGCAGGTTTCTCTGATCTATTTTATTTCTCTTCTTAAAAGAGTTCACAAAGCTGTCCATGGAAGAAAAGCCCATTTTTACAGTGTAATTAGATGACTAAAAATCTGATCAGTGGCTGAGGGGATACATGTTAACATGACTAGTTTGGAAATGCCAGTGTACTCAGCAGGAGAGCCAGCCTGGAGCTTTGCCTGATCTGTACTCTGACAGTGCAAATCCTTGCTGCTAGTGAAGGGACACTGTCCTTTCCATGTTCATATGTTTCCATAGACTGGGTTTTAATGATTTTGGCCATGAGTGCTCAAGCGCCCTGTGGTGTTCATGGTGAGTGGAGAGTTTTCAGCAATGAAATAATTTGCACAGTTGCCAGAGTATCCGGAACACAGAGAACAAGTGTCATAGGAGGATCATAGCCAGTGTGCCTATGCTGCTCCTACAAATGGTTGACAGAACCTCCAGGAGAATCAAAAGGGCCTTCCCAGATAGTGTGGACCCAGATAGAACAGCTAAATTTTGCCCACATTTAACAGAAATATTTTTCACACCAAAAATCAGGAACAAGGTCTGACAATGTAAGGAAGATAAAATTACTTAATGTAGGTGATGATGATAGTTAATATTTTTGGATCACTTTATGTACTTAATCTTCATAGTAATCTTGGATGGTAATTATGTAAACAATCGGTTAAAGAAATGAGTCCTGAAAAATATAATCAATTTTTTTGGCATCAAAAATAAACACAGCGTATCCCTTGCATTATCTTTTTATAGATCAATGAAAACTGGAGGTAAGTGAGGAAAAGCATTGTTCACACTGCAGGTACAAAAAAAAAAAAAAAAAAAAAAACTGAAGCCCGGAGAAATTTAATCACTTGTTCAAAGTTAAATGTTTACTTGAATATTTAATATTGGGGGACATATTTGATATTAGATACATGATATAGGCATACAATCATAATTATTTACATATAATGTTTCTAATACTATAATAACCCTGCTAGGTAAACATATTGTCCTATTTTACAGTGAAGGAGCTGAGACTCAGTTTTAATGACATATTCATGGTCACATAGAAAGAAGGTATGGGGGCTAGAACTGCCTGACAAAAAAACCCCAGGCTGTTTTACTAGATCACCCAGCCAGGCACATACTTCCTAGGGTTTATTCCAGAGCGTCTTCTTTGTCACTTCCTTTTCTTCTCTTCATGACTAGCCCAAATGTTAGTCAGAGATATGATTCAAGAAGCTGAGAAAATTAGCTTTCAAGTAGTCTGGAGAACAGGAAAATCAGCCCTGTTTCTTCTTTTCTGGGTTTAGGTACAGGGATGGGTAGGAAATCCTCTCTCTGTTTAAAGATGAACGTATAACAATACTGTTAGTCAAATGGCATTTTAAGCACTGGGCAGTTAAGGAAAGATGAAGGGAATGGGATAAATGAAATATAGGTTAATATGAATAAATATTGACAGAAGAGGTAGGCTCTGAGAGACTGAAAGTTTGGGAAAATTTTATAAATAAATTAATTCAAAGTTTGATTCTGAGAGCATTGTGCAACATACAATCAATTATATAATACACAGTTCAATCCAAAGATCAGGGCTATTCCTTCATAAACACACATATGTGCAAATACATGCACATACACACACACAGCCTTATCTAATGAACTACAACTCTCGAATCATGATTCTTCCTGTGCATGTGTAGTCTCTTCCAGCAGAGAGAAATGGATGACAAGAAAATAAATTGATAGCCCACTATTATTTTAAAATGTCAACTGTCAAGTTCACTTTAGGCTCTTGTTCATTTAGACTCATGTTCAGACTCATTTACAAGTCCATTAAACTAGAGAATGATGCACCTTTTGAACAAAAGTCCATTGTAATGATCCTCAATTTCTTTCTACCTCAATAGAATTTTGCAGTAAGAAGCAGTGTCTTTTTCCTACTGATGATCCTTACTGCTTCAAAAATTATTGTTTTATCCAAACTCATTAAAGATTCAGTTACATTTGTGAGTCAATATTACAAATGCAAGAGAGTATTTCAGCATGCTTTACATGCATTTTCAATAAACAGAATAGAAAAACATTAGAAAATCATTTTGGTTTGTTTTCTGATTGCATACTTATTACAGAGGTTTTTTGTAAATAGGAAAAAAACATAAAAACAAAGATAAAAATCTTCAGTAATCCTTTCCAGAAATAAGTATTGCTAAAGATATAAATATATACACATAGTTATTGATCAGGTATAAGAAATGCTATTTTTAAATAAAAATAATTTTTAAAAACTCACAGCCGCTGCTCCTGCCTTCTTGATTAATGGCAGATTATGATAGATGGTTCTTCTGATTTATTTGAGGGGAAGCAGGATGGAAAGCACTTGACAAGCCTTTTTGGTGTCAATAGGTAGGATTGTTACCACATACTCCCAATACACTTTCACAGAACATGACTTGGATGGACAAGGACAAGACAAAGGGGGAGATGTATTTCCTTGAAGAAAAAGTAACAGGAAATGTAGTAGCTCAAGATTTGCAAGGAGGCCTATCATCATGGTGGGGACCTGGGAATGCACAGAGCTACACAGCCAGTGAGAAACTAAAAAGAAATGGAAGATTGGTATGTGCTAGATTTTTAGAAATAGTAATATCTGCCACTGAACTGCAAATTGTTTTCTTTTCTCTGTTTTATCGGAACCTCACCAACCCAATTTTCCACCAAAATTTAACTAAAATTCCATTGTACACTTGAGCTTTGTGTTTGCAAACTTCGGGTGAAATGTATGTAGAACACATTTAAAATCAAGATCATACTGTATATATGGAATATTGAATCCAATTTTTTCACTTTTTATCACAAACTTTATTGCATGTTGCTTATTAAAAATGGTTTTTAGTTGTGGCATAGAAATTTTTCCTATGGAAGTACTAACTTTTAAATAATAAGTGCCATAGTTTGGGGGCATATATGTATATGTGTGTATATATATGTGTATATAAAATCAGAAATGGGAGTTATTATGCATATAACGTTGTAAATAGTTTTGACTATTTTCTTAATGACAAGTACCCCAAAGCAAAATAATTGGGTCAAAATGATGAATATTGTTAACTTTTGGTATTAGTTACCAAATTTTAATCAGGAAAAGTTGCAACACAGTTCTATCTTGTAAGAATACCCATTTCACCATGCCTTCATTAACATTAACAATCTTGACAAATTGATAATCAAAGAATAGGGTTTCCTTGTTTCTTTATTTTTGTTATATTAATTATGAAGTTTCAATTTTTGTATATTGAATGGGTATACTTTTAACCTTTTTTTCCTTTTAATGCCCTTTTCTTATTGACTTATATGATATCTTCCTATATTAAGGATGTTAACACTTTGTTATATATATGTTGCCTATATTTTTCCTAATTTGTTTTTCTAAACTAATTTTGATTATGGAAATAGTTGTCATGCTTAGGAGTTTAAATTTTTATATGGTCGAGTCTACCAAACCTTGTATCTGATGTCATCTAAATTTTCTTCAAAATATTATATATAATCTTTTATGTTTTGGGTATTTTAGATTCTTTTAGAAGTTTGGTAGTTCTTTTTTTTTAATTTGTTTGTTTATTTATTGTTATTATACTTTAAGTTTTAGTGTACATGTGCACAATGTGCAGGTTAGTTACATATGTATACATGTGCCATGCTGGTGCACTGCACCCACTAACTCGTCATCTAGCATTAGGTATATCTCCCAATGCTATTCCTCCCCCCTCCCCCCACCCCACAACAGTCCCCAGAGTGTGATGTTCCCCTTCCTGTGTCCATGTGTTCTCATTGTTCAATTCCCACCTATGAGTGAGAATATGCGGTGTTTGGTTTTTTGTTCTTGTGATAGTTTACTGAGAATGATGATTTCCAACTTCATCCATGTCCCCACAAAGGACATGAACTCATCATTTTTTATGGCTGCATAGTATTCCGTGGTGTATATGTGCCACATTTTCTTAATCCAGTCTATCATTGTTGGACATTTGGGTTGGTTCCAAGTCTTTGCTATTGTGAATAATTCCGCAATAAACATACGTGTGCGTGTGTCTTTATAGCAGCATGATTTATAGTCCTTCGGGTATATACCCAGTAATGGGATGGCTGGGTCAAATGGTATTTCTAGTTCTAGATCCCTGAGGAATCGCCACACTGACTTCCACAATGGTTGAACTAGTTTACAGTCCCACCAACAGTGTAAAAGTGTTCCTATTTCTCCACATCCTCTCCAGCACCTGTTGTTTCCTGACTTTTTAATGATTGCCATTCTAACTGGTGTGAGATGGTATCTCATTGTGGTTTTGATTTGCATTTCTCTGATGGCCAGTGATGGTAAGCATTTTTTCATGTGTTTTTTGGCTGCATAAATGTCTTCTTTTGAGAAGTGTCTGTTCATGTCCTTCCCCCACTTTTTGATGGGGTTGTTTGTTTTTTTCTTGTAAATTTGTTTGAGTTCATTGTAGATTCTGGATATTAGCCCTTTGTCAGATGAGTAGGTTGTGAAAATTTTCTCCCATTTTGTAGGTTGCCTGTTCACTCTGATGGTAGTTTCTTTTGCTGTGCAGAAGCTCTTTAGTTTAATTAGATCCCATTTGTCAATTTTGGCTTTTGTTGCCATTAGTTTTGGTGTTTTAGACATGAAGTCCTTGCCCATGCCTATGTCCTGAATGGTAATGCCTAGGTTTTCTTCTAGGGTTTTTATGGTTTTAGGTCTAACGTTTAATTCTTCAATCCATCTTGAATTGATTTTTGTATAAGGTGTAAGGAAGGGATCCAGTTTCAGCTTTCTACATATGGCTAGCCAGTTTTCCCAGCACCATTTATTAAATAGGGAATCCTTTCCCCATTGCTTGTTTTTCTCAGGTTTGTCAAAGATCAGATAGTTGTAGATATGCAGCGTTATTTCTGAGGGCTCTGTTCTGTTCCATTCATCTATATCTCTGTTTTGGTAAGAGTACCATGCTGTTTTGGTTACTGTAGCCTTGTAGTATAGTTTGAAGTCAGGAAGTGTGATGCCTCCAGCTTTGTTCTTTTGGCTTAGGATTGACTTGGCGATGCAGGCTCTTTTTTGGTTCCATATGAACTTTAAAGCAGTTTCTTCCAATTCTGTGAAGAAAGTCATTGGTAGCTTGATGGGGATGGCACTGAATCTGTAAATTACCTTGGGCAGTATGGCCATTTTCACGATATTGATTCTTCCTACCCATGAGCATGGAATGTTCTTCCATTTGTTTGTAACCTCTTTTATTTCCTTGAGCAGCGGTTTGTAGTTCTCCTTGAAGAGGTCCTTCACATCCCTTGTAAGTTGGATTCCTAGGTATTTTATTCTCTTTGAAGCAATTGTGAATGGGAGTTCACTCATGATTTGGCTCTCTGTTTGTCTGTTATTTGTGTATAAGAATGCTTGTGATTTTTGTACATTGATTTTGTATCCTGAGACTTTGCCGAAGTTGCTTATCAGCTTAAGGAGATTTTGGGCTGAGACAATGGGGTCTTCTAGATATACAATCATGTCATCTGCAAACAGGGACAATTTGACTTCCTCTTTTCCTAATTGAATACCCTTTATTTCCTTCTCCTGCCTAATTGCCCTGGCCAGAACTTCCAACACTATGTTGAATAGGAGTGGTGAGAGAGGGCATCCCTGTCTTGTGCCAGTTTTCAAAGGGAATGCTTCCAGTTTTTGCCCATTCAGTATGATATTGGCTGTGGGTTTGTCATAGATAGCTCTTATTATTTTGAAATACATCCCATCAATACCTAATTTATTGAGAGTTTTTAGCATGAAGGGTGGTTGAATTTTGTCAAAGGCCTTTTCTGCATCTATTGAGATAATCATGTGGTTTCTGTCTTTGGTTCTGTTTATATGCTGGATTACATTTATTGATTTGCATATATTGAACCAGGCTTGCATCCCAGGGATGAAGCCCACTTGATCATGGTGGATAAGCTTTTTGATGTGCTGCTGCATTTGGTTTGCCAGTATTTTATTGAGGATTTTTGCATCAATATTCATCAAGGATATTGGTCTAAAATTCTCTTTTTTCATTGTGTCTCTGCCCGGCTTTGGTATCAGGATGATGCTGGCCTCATAAAATGAGTTAGGGAGGATTCCCTCTTTTACTATTGATTGGAATAGTTTCAGAAGGAATGGTACCAGTTCCTCCTTGTACCTCTGGTAGAATTCGGCTGTGAATCCATCTGGTCCTGGACTCTTTTTGCTTGGTAAGCTATTGATTATTGCCACAATTTCAGATCCTGTTATTGGTCTATTCAGAGATTCAATTTCTTCCCGGTTTAGTCTTGGGAGAGTGTATGTGTCAAGGAATTTATCCATTTTTTCTAGATTTTCTAGTTTATTTGCGTAGCGGTGTTTGTAGTATTCTCTGATGGTAGTTTGTATTTCTGTGGGATCGGTAGTGATATCCCCTTTATCATTTTTTATTGCGTCTATTTGATTCTTCTCTCTTTTTTTCTTTATTAGTCTTGCTAGCATTCTGTCAATTTTGTTGATCCTTTCAAAAAACCAGCTCCTGGATTCATTACTTTTTTGAAGGGTTTTCTGTGTCTCTATTTCCTTCAGTTCTGCTCTGATTTTAGTTATTTCTTGCCTTCTGCTAGCTTTTGAATGTGTTTGCTCTTGCTTTTCTAGTTCTTTTAATTGTGATGTTAGGGTGTCAATTTTGGATCTTTCCTGCTTTCTCTTGTGGGCATTTAGTGCTATACATTTCCCTCGACACACTGCTTTGAATGCATCCTAGAGATTCTGGTATGTTGTGTCTTTGTTCTCGTTGGTTTCAAAGAACATCTTTATTTCTGCCTTCATTTCGTTATGTACCCAGTAGTCATTCAGGAGCAGGTTGTTCAGTTTCCATGTAGTTGAGCGGTTTTGAGTGAGATTCTTAATCCTGAGTTCTAGTTTGACTGCACTGTGGTCTGAGAGATAGTTTGTTATAATTTCTGTTCTTTTACATTTGCTAAGGAGATCTTTACTTCCAAGTATGTGGTCAATTTTGGAATAGGTGTGGTGTGGTGCTGAAAAAAATGTATATTCTGTTGATTTGGGGTGGAGAGTTCTGTAGATGTCTATTAGGTCCGCTTGGTGCAGAGCTGAGTTCAATTCCTGGGTATCCTTGTTGACTTTCTGTCTCGTTGATCTGTTTCATATTGACAGTGGGGTGTTAAAGTCTCCCATTATTAATGTGTGGGAGTCTAAGTCTCTTTGTAGGTCACTCAGGACTTGCTTTATGAATCTGGGTGCTCCTGTATTGGGTGCATATATATTTAGGATAGTTAGCTCTTCTTGTTGAATTGATCCCTTTACCATTATGTAATGGCCTTGTCTCTTTTGATCTTTGTTGGTTTAAAGTCTGTTTTATCAGAGACTAGGATTGCAACCCCTGCCTTTCTGTGTTTTCCATTTGCTTGGTAGATCTTCCTCTATCCTTTTATTTTGAGCCTATGTGTGTCTCTGCACATGAGATGGGTTTCCTGAATACAGCACACTGATGGGTCTTGACTCTTTATCTAAATTTGCCAGTCTGTGTCTTTTAATTGGAGCATTTAGTCCATTTACATTTAAAGTTGATATTGTTATGTGTGAATTTGATCCTGTCATTATGATGTTAGTTGGTTATTTTGTTCGTTAGTTGATGTAGTTTCTTCCTAGTCTCGATGGTCTTTACATTTTGGCATGATTTTGCAGTGGCTGGTATCGGTTGTTCCTTTCCATGTTTAGCGCTTCCTTCAGGAGCTCTTTTAGGGCAGGCCTGGTGGTGACAAAATCTCTCAGCATTTGCTTGTCTGTAAAGTATTTTATTTCTCCTTCACTTATGAAGCTTAGTTTGGATGGATATGAAATTCTGGGTTGAAAATTCTTTTCTTTAAGAATGTTGAATATTGGCCCCCACTCTCTTCTGGCTTGTAGGGTTTCTGCCGAGAGATCCGCTGTTAGTCTGATGGGCTTCTCTTTGAGGGTAACCCGACCTTTGTCTCTGGCTGCCCTTAACATTTTTTCCTTCATTCCAACTTTGGTGAATCTGACAATTATGTGTCTTGGAGTTGCTCTTCTCAAGGAGTATCTTTGTGGTGTTCTCTGTATTTCCTGAATCTGAATGTTGGCCTGCCTTGCCAGATTGGGGAAGTTCTCCTGGATGATATCCTGCAGAGTGTTTTCCAACTTGGTTCCATTCTCCCCATCACTTTCAGGTACACCAATCAGACGTAGATTTGGTCTTTTCACATAGTCCCATATTTCTTGGAGGCTTTGCTCATCTCTTTTTATTCTTTTTTCTCTAAACTTCCCTTCTCACTTCATTTCATTCATTTCATCTTCCATTGCTGAAACCCTTTCTTCCAGTTGATCGCATCGGCTCCTGAGGCTTCTGCATTCTTCACGTAGTTCTCGAGCCTTGGTTTTCAGCTCCATCAGCTCCTTTAAGCACTTCTCTGTATTGGTTATTCTAGTTATACATTCGTCTAAATTTTTTTCAAAGTTTTCAACTTCTTTGCCTTTGGTTTGAATGTCCTTCCGTAGCTCGGAGTAATTTGATCGTCTGAAGCCTTCTTCTCTCAGCTCGTCAAAGTCATTCTCCGTCCAGCTTTGTTCCGTTGCTGGTGAGGAACTGTGTTCCTTTGGACGAGGAGAGGCGCTCTGCTTTTTAGAGTTTCCAGTTTTTCTGCTCTGTTTTTTACCCATCTTTGTGGTTTTATGTACTTTTGGTCTTTGATGATGGTGATGTACAGATGGGTTTTTGGTGTGGATGTCCTTTCTGTTTGTTAGTTTTCCTTCTAACAGACAGGACCCTCAGCTGCAGGTCTGTTGGAGTACCCGGCCGTGTGAGGTGTCAGTCTGCCCCTGCTGGGGGGGTGCCTCCCAGTTAGGCTGCTCAGGGGTCAGGGGTCAGGGACCCACTTGAGGAGGCAGTCTGCCCATTCTCAGATCTCCAGCTGCGTGCTGGGAGAACCACTGCTCTCTTCAAAGCTGTCAGACAGGGACATTTAAGTCTGCAGGTTACTGCTGTCTTTTTGTTTGTCTGTGCCCTGCTCCCAGAGGTGGAGCCTACAGAGGCAGGCAGGCCTCCTTTCGCTGTGATGGGCTCCACCCAGTTCGAGCTTGGCGGCTGCTTTGTTTACCTAAGCAAGCCTGGGCAATGGTGGGCGCCCCTCCCCCAGCCTCGCTGCCGCCTTGCAGTTTGATCTCAGACTGCTGTGCTAGCAATCAGGGAGACTCCGTGGGCGTAGGACCCTCCGGGCCAGGTGTGGGATATAATCTCGTGGTGCGCCGTTTTTTAAGCCTGTCGGAAAAGCGCAGTATTCGGGTGGGAGTGACCCGATTTTCCAGGTGCCATCTGTCACCCCTTTCTTTGACTAGGAAAGGGAACTCCCTGACCCCTTGCGCTTCCCGAGTGAGGCAATGCCTCGCCCTGCTTTGGCTCACGCACGGTGCGCGCACCCACTGACCTGCGCCCACTGTCTGGCACTCCCTAGTGAGATGAACCCGGTACCTCAGAGGGAAATGCAGAAATCACCCGTCTTCTGCGTCGCTCACGCTGGGAGCTGTAGACCGAAGCTGTTCCTATTCGGCCATCTTGGCTCCTCCCTCCCGGTAGTTCTTATATGATTGAATGTTTGCATTTATTTCTGTATTTCATTAGAATTTCACAGGCAAACTTGGGGGATGGCAGTGTTAGTATTCTCTCAGGATAATCTGGAAGATATTTTTAAAAACTTTTGGTTAGCCAGACAATTCAATTCACCAAAAGTTTACTACATGTCTTAGGATGTTTTCAGCTGGAAAAGCAAAATGGAACAAAATTTGAAAGTGGCTTAAACAATAAAGGATTTGTTACTTTACATAATATCACATCTGAAAGTGGACGTTTTCATAGTGTGCTAATCCAGTCCTCTTCTAAATGATCCAGGAGTCTCGAACCTTTCTACTCTGGAGGCATTGCCTCTCCTCGTCTTTGCTGAAGCCAGAGGTCATGTGCTCACACAATCATATGGAGAAGCATAAATGAGCTATTTCTCATCACCTAGCTCTTTTTATCAGGATTAAAAATCTTTCCTCAAAAAGTCCAGAAGCATACTTCCCTCTAGCCTAGTTGGCCAGGATTACATAACATGCCTCCGATGGAACCAATCACTGGTGAAGGGAGTGCAATTATTGTGATTCTAGATTAACTGTAATAATTGACATTCACCCCCTGGAGCTGGGATAGAAAGCCGATTTACAGCATCGCTGAGCAGGAAAAAAGAGATGGCTGTTGAACAGGAGGCAACATGCAATGACATAATTAAGTAAGTACTGCATAAGTTTATATTTTAAAGTACAATTGAAGTTCTCATTTATGAATTAACCTTGTTTTCTTGTAACTGGAATTGCGTCTCGATTCAATCTAAGTTGAGATTATAAGTGATCTGATTGTATGCTCTAATCTTCCAAGTTGTTTTGAGAAAGATCTTCAAAGTTGTTTTAAAAGATCATTCTCATAGGAGAGGAAAGGCAGAAATTTAAAGTCAGAACTGAGAGGAGCTGGCAAGAAGGAGAAAGACAGTAAAAGTGAGAGGTGGTTCCAAAGAATTGATGTGACAATAAAGTGAAGGTGATGCACAGCAGAAGAAAAAAATCTTAAAATTGTCTGCTGTATTTCAAATATAAACTTGTGTTTTATTTATTGCCTTCTAATAGCAAGCAATTAGTTTATTGTCATTTTGATTTAATTATCAATGTTAAAACAGTGATAGCAATTTTCCCACTCTTTGATGAGGAAGCTGCTGATTCATCTCTGAAAATCTTCAAAATTTTATTTCGGACATTAGTATTAGCCACTTTTATTTACCTCTTACCGGAAACCACCTATGAAATGCCCTCATTCTATTTCCCCCCTTTAATTTTTTTAGCTGTTTTTTGGTTCTGGTTGAATTTTAATTGCTACCCTATCCCCTGAGTAAATCAGTTTTTAAAAATTGTAGTTGTTCTCATGTTTAAATATTTAACTTTTGTATAGCATTTCTCCATTTATATTTTTAAAAACTGCAAATATTTTCTTATTTGAACCTTGCATTTTCTGTGAAATGTAATTATTATTATTACTATTTTCATTATAAAAATGAAAGAACGCAGGTACTGAGGTTGAAAGAAGTTAAGTAACTTGATTATGGGGACATAGCTAATAGGTGGGACACCAGAACTAGAATAAGTCCTGTGAAGCCCTAGAACCTACTATCCACTATACCATGCTATTCTCATTGAAAGGGAAATCACATAGAAGAGTGTGTTCGGGGGTAAATATTCATTTTAGAGATTTTTTTTTCATTCTTTCAAAGTTTTTTTTTTCTGGGGACCCCACTTTTTTGTTGTTTCATTGTTTGTTTTTAATTATTATTTTTGGTTCACAGGTACATGTGCGGGTTTGGCATATGGGTAAATTGCATGTCACAGTTGTTTGGTGTACACATTATTTCATCACCCAGGTAATAAGTGAAGTACACAAATAGTTTTAGATCCTCTCCCTCCTCCCACCTTCCACCCTCAAGTAAGCCCCAGTGTCTGTCATTTCCTTCTTTGTGTCCATGTGTACTCAATGTTTAGCTTCCACCTATGAAAACATGCATATTTGGTTTTCTGTTTCTGTGTTAGTTCACTTAGGATTATGGCCTCCAGCTTCATCTATCTTGCTGCAAAGGACATGATCTCATTCTTTTTATCACAGCATAGTATTCCATCATGTATGTGTGCCACATTTTTAAAATCCAATCTACCATTGATAGACGTTTAGGTTGATTCCATGACTTTGCTATTGTGAACAGTGCTGTGATGAACATACACGTGCATGTGTCTTTATGATAAAACAATTTATATTTCTTTGAGTATATACCCAATAATAGCATTGCTGGATCAAATGGTAATTCTCCTTTAAGGTCTCTGAGAAATTGCCACACTACTCTCCACTATAGTTGAGTTAATTTACATTTCTACCAGCAGTGTATAGGCATTCCCTTTTCTCCAAAATCCTGCCAGCATCTGCTATTTTTTGCCTTTTTAGTAATAGCCATTCTAACTGGTATTTCACAAAATGTTACAAATGCCAAACATGGGATAGAAAGAGACAAGGGGGTGGAGTGTATGATGAATCAGCCCTAGCTTCTTATTAGAGGAATTACTCATAGTCTAGTTGGGAGACAAGTGATTTTTATTGCTATGTATCGTGTTGGGTGTGCTATGAGAAGTAGGTAAGAACACGCAGCTTCCGGGAGGAAACGATATTCAATCTCTGCCTTAAAAGGCGAGTAGCAGAAGTAATAATAGGCAGTTTGGGAAAGAGAACAACCTACGTCAAAGGCAAAGAGTCATGAGAATGCTGGACACAATTGAGGAAGAGCTGTCTTACGGAGAGAAAGTAATGGAAGCTATAGCTGTGAAGGGCTCTGGATGTAGGACTAAGGAGTTTAGGTTTTACCCTGGATCAAATACGAAGTCTTTGGAAGTTTTAAAACTGCTGCCTTTGAGTAACTGATTGAGCCACTAGGTATCAACAAAAGACACAGCTCAATTGAAATGGACTCACTTTGTTAAAAATAAGTGACTGTGATTCTTCTGCCTTTACTCACACGTTCTTTGGGCTGCTGTCTTCTTGTTAAACAGCTTGTGCACAGAGTTTTCAATCCTGGCTGTTCCACTCAAGTGAATGCATCCGTAGGAGAGTTGAGCTAGATTCCAGAGTAGCCATGCCCCTTCTGAGTTCTGGGTTCTTCTTAGCCTTAGGCCACTTTGAGATTTGAACTTCCTTTTCCCTGACCTTGAGCCTCCCTGACTCTGCTGACCTCTAATCCTGGCAGTGGAATAGGCAAGCTGCAAGGTCAGCAAAGGCCACCTGCCTCACATATGCAAGCCTGGGGGGCCTGTCCTTAGCTCCATTCATGCTGGTCCTTAGAGTGTTTATGTTTAGAAGACAGAGGGAGCCTAAGAAGTGAATTTTTTTTTTTTTTTTTGAGACAGGTTCTTACTGTCTTGCCCAGGCTGGAGTGCAGTGGTGCAATCTTGGCTCACTGCAACCTCCGCCTCCCAGGCTCAAGCGATTCTCCTGCTGCAGCTTCCCAAGTAGCTGGGACTACAGGCATCCACCACCATGCCCAGCTAATTTTTATATTTTTTGGTAGAGACAGGGTTTCGCCATGCCAGGCTGGTCTTGAACTCCTGATCTCAAGTGATCTGCCCGCCTCGGCCTCCCATAGTGCTGGGACTACAGACTTGAACTACGGCACCTGGCTGAGAAGTGATTTTTTTTTAACTGCAAATGTTATCTTATTTGGTTCTCATATTATCTGCAAAAATGTAATTGTTATTATTCTCACTATAAAAATAAAAATTTTAAAAACCCAAGCTCAGAAAAGAGTCATGGTCAAGAGCGAATACATAGCAGGCCAGGGCTCTGTAGGCTTGTTTTGCTGCTGTGCCTGTTGCCAAATGCTTGAAAATCCTGAAGTACAAACATAACAGTCTGAATTAAATTTCATTGATTTTATCTTTCTCTTCCTTTTCTCACTGTGGTGCAGTTGTTAATGGAATTCTAGCCAAAAGGATGTGGGAGGAGAGGAAGGAGCCACAAAGGGAGAATCATGCCTAAGAGTTAACTATGGTACTCTGAAGCAGAACAGAGGTATGTGTTAAATTTTTATACTGTAAGTATAATTCCTTTGAAAATTTTGATGTCTCCTGAGATATTATACAATGACTCATTATTGAAATAATATGAAATAGAATAAAAAATGCACTTTGTGACTTCTAACTGACATGCACTCATCTCTATTTCCCCTAAGTCAACAATTTTATTTAATCTACCTTGAAAAGAAAAAACAAATCTGAAATTCAAAAGGCTACAAATTTGGGTCCAGGTCATACTAGAGCAAGTAAAGGCAGGTATAATTTAATTAATTTTTAATTTATCTCTGGTGGTCACGGTTGTTGGGAGTCAGATGTGGGGGATTTGGGCAGCCATGTGCTGCCATTGCCATGGAGAACAGAACTGCCTAAGCTGATGAGCAGTGAGAAACAGAATTTAGAGAAGAAACAGGAAGTCCTAGCTACATGCAGGTCCTGGTTCATATGGTTTCTGAGTTGAGCCTTCCTTGGATTCCATGAACCAGTTTGCCAGTTATTTACCTATTATCTCTCAGCTTCAATCAGCCCTTCTGTATTCTGCAAACTGCATTTCCCAGGCCCCTCTGCTAGCTGGCTTCCCATGAGCTTATAAGAGGCACTAAAGGACATAAGAATGCCCAAGGGAAAGAGCCTGTCCTTTCTGTTTTCTGTTTTTGGCAGCATCTTTGCACTAGTGGCAGTTGGCTGCAGCTTCCAGTGTCTTGGCCCCTGAGTAGCAGCCTTAGCACAGGCCCCCAGAGGCGCCAACAGCAGCTGGAAGGGAGCTGCCTCTTCCTCAGCAATCTTAGTCCACAGAGCACCTCCCCTGAAATCCATGGCCCTGGGAACATACTCCTTCTATTCTGTTTCCCCAGCGTTCCCCCTCCTAGAGGAGGTAGTTTCTTCCTGCAGTTACCATTTCTGAGTTAGTTCAGGGTCCCTTTTTTGCCCTTTCATGCTTCCAACATCTGTGAAACTATTTCCTCTACTATATATGATTCCCTCAGATAACTAAGTGTGATATTTATTTTTCTGAGTGATACATAAATAACTCCCCCTTGTCTAGGTAGTTTAAACTAAATTGATTTCTTGCAATCAAATTGCTCTTGACCAACACAAGTACACTTTATGGTTACTGAGTAGAACAGCAAAACAAACACAGAGTGTTTTTTACTTGCTTATTGTCTGTCTCCCTACAATAGAATGAATATAAAGTGTTGAACTGCTTTATATACATGATTTTATTTAATACTCTCCTTGCTGTGAGGTCGGTGTATTGATCAAAGAGGTCTGCTTCAGCATTCATTTCTACCCCTTCACAACTCCTGCACACACATGCATGCTCAAACACTGTGTTCCCACAGTCACTTAAGCTCTTTCCCTGCCTCTAACAGTGACCAGGTGGGCAGACTTCATACTTGTTTTTAAGGAACTAGTTTATTCCTAATACCAAAGAAGAAAGGACCTCTGCATGCCAGACTGAAATGACATCTAATTTGTGAGTGATACTTCCAAAGAAGCAGAACCAAAACTGTGAATACTGTCTGCAGCCTGGTAGCTCCGAAAGACAGACCTGGGACAAAGGGCGCTGGGATTTGAATAGACAGACTGAGGTCCTCGCTTTCCAGAAACTTATTTTAGTAACTAAGCCTTGCAAAGAAACTTTTGAGGCTCCAAGGCCAGGGATGGGGCTTTTATCTCATTTAACATATTAGAGGCATGAATCTTTGACCAGATTACCTCCTAGTTACTAGGAGGTAACGAGGGTATAGGAATGATTATAGACGGACCCACTGTAAGATCATCCACTGGGTGCCAGAGCACTCTGCCTTGATTCCCGACTCATACAGATTCCTTACTGTGCTGTATCCTTACTGTTCAATCCAGTAAAGCTTTTGTTAAAGAAAAAATGTGATACTCACCTAGCAGGGACCAGTAATTTGGTGAAGGACCAAGTTAATGGGTTTTATTTCACATTTGTGGAAGCTGAGGCATAGTTAGATTAATTAACTTACCTGGGACCACACAGATAAGAGGTGAAAGATCTCGGCTTTGAAGCTATATAGCTCCAAATCTCATATATTTAACCATTATAATGAATTGTTTTATCTCCTTCCGAATGAGATCAAGAAGTGATTTCTTTCTATCCCTTCCCTGTCTTTCACTGTTGCTCTCAGTTTATAGGGCATTGCCTTGCATTGAGCAGAAATTCAAAGAATGAATATTGAATATCATTCAATATTTTGAATGAGTGTTTTTAAAAAGACACTCTTGATGAACTTAATCTTCTTTCCATTGTCCAAAGAGATCTTGCTCCAGGGCCTTTGAGGAATTTTCAAGCAGTTTCTGGGAAGTCAGATCTCTGCTTTATCCAGAACAGTTCTGCTGTTTTCTCTGTTGTATAATACATAATCTGTTTTACATAAGATTCATCTGAGAAGAGACTTCTGCTACGAAAACAATTTTGAAGATTCTTGTTATAGAGAAGACTGTTCAAGCTACCCAAACTACTTCCTTTATATATATATTTTTAATTTTCTTTTACCAAGATTCCTAAAGAAACAGATATTTTCATACTTTTTTTGACATTTAAAAAGTTGGGCCATGAAATCTTTAGAGGCAGGCCACTGGTATTAAAATATTGATGGTAGAAAAAAGAGATAGAAATTGGTGGTGACAAAGGAGGCACTACATGAGGAATAGAAGTTATGCTCTTACTGCACATCCTTGGAGAAAACACGAGCCATGTTCCTGAACCTCTAAATGTCATTGCTGTCAAGGAAGAAGCTGCTGCAATGGTTGGGACAGAGATTGATGAAATCTTAGAGCAGGGGTCCGCAACCCCCAGGCCGTGGACTGGTACCAGTCCATGGCCTGTTAGGAAATGGGCCACACAGCAGGAGGTGAGCATGGGCGAGAGAACATTACCACCTGAGTTCTACCTCCTGTCAGATCAGTGGCAGCATTAGATTCTCACAGGAGCGCGAACCCTATTGTGAACTGTGCATGCGAAGGATCTAGGTTACGTGCTCCTTATGAAAATCTATCAAATGCCTGATGATGACCTGAGATGAAACACTTTCATCCTGAAACCACCTCCCTCACCAACCAGTTCATGGAATAATTGTCTTCCCTGAAACTGGAACCTGGTGGCAGAAAGGTTGGGGACCACTGCGTTAGAGGACCCTGCCAGGCCTGGGTTCTGCTAGATTCACTTTCTCATTGCATTTTGGCTCTGCTCACCTGTCACCTTCACAGAGGGTCATCCCTGACATTGCTGTCTATAAGAAATGTATGCATCTCACATCAGTCTCCTTGCACTTATTCTGCAATTTTTTAAAAAATTCCATTTATCTCTACCTGAATTATATTATGTTTGTGTTTTTTATTTATTGTCTGTCTCCCTACACTAGAATGTAAGATCCTTGAGGAGAGACACTTTGTCTCTAGTATTCACTTCTGTTTTCTCAGTGCTGTAGACAATCAATTTTGTTTTCTGTTGAATGGATGAGTAAATAATTTCCATATTTTGAGCTTCTCTTGGGCAGAGCTAAAACTCTACAACTCTGTGCATTGCAGAAAGGGTTTGGAACAGGCACTGGTCTATGTTTTTTTTCTTTTTTAGTTCTTTTCTAAGTGAAGCTAAAAATTACTTTTCCTGTCCAGAATATTAAGTTTACACCATGCCTCCATATTCACAACTAATGGGGAGATAGAAATCCTTAGAAATTATAAAGTTAATTTTTACTTATATTTATAAGTTTCTTAAGGAAATCGCCTGATATTCTCAGGCATTGTAAAGCCTCATTTATTTAGCTCTCATAAATTACACCTCTCTACACATAAGAATGGGGTTTTAGCCAAATTCTACCAGATGTACAAAGAAGAGCTGGTACCATTCCTAAAGAAACTACTTCAAAAAATTGAGGAGGAGGGACCCCTCACCAACTGATTATATGAGGCCAATGTCATTCTGATATCAAAACCTGGCAGAGATACAACAAGAAAAGAAAACTTCAGGCCAATATCTTGATGGACAGTGATTCAAAAACCCTCAACAAAATAGTTGCAAACCAAATCCAGCAGCACATCAAAAAGCTAATCCACCATGATCAAGTAGGCTTCATCCCTGAGATGCAAGGTTGTTTCAACATATACAAATCAATAAATGTTATTCATCACACAAATAGAACTAAAGACAAAAATTACATGATTTTCTCAATAGATGCAGAAAAAGCTTTCAATAAAATTTAACACTCTTTCTGTAGTCCCAGCTACTCGGGAGGCTGAGGCAGGAGAATGGCGTGAACCCGGGAGGCGGAGCTTGCAGTGAGCGGAGATCGCGCCACTGCCTCCAGCCTGGGCGACAGAGCGAGACTCCGTCTCAAAAAAAAAACAAAAAACAAACAAACAAAAATTAACAGTCTTTCATTTAAAAACTCTCAACAAGCTAGGTATTGAAGGAACATACCTCAAAATAATAAGAGTCATCTGTGACAAACCCACAGCCAACATTATACTGAATGGGCAAAAGCTAGAAGTATTCCCCTTAAAAGCCAGCACAAGACAAGGATGCCCTTTCTCACTACTTCCACTCAAAAACATCATGATACTGGTACAAAAATAGGAACATACACCAATGGAACAGAATAGAGAGCCCAGAAATAAGGGTACACACCTATGACCACCTGATGTTTGGCAAAGCTGACAAAAACAAGCAATGGGGAAAAGACTCCCTATTTAATAAATGATGCTGGAATAACTGGCAAACCATATGCCAAAGACTGAAGCTGGACCCCTTCCTTACACCATATGCAAAAATCAACTCAAGATGAATTAAAGACTTAAATGTAAAACTCAAAACTATAAAAACCCTGGAAGACAACCTAGGCAATACCATCCTGGACATAGGAACGGGCAAAGCTTTCATGACAGGACACCAAAAGCAATCGCAACAAGAGCAAAAATTGACAAATGGGATCTAATTATACTTAAGAGCTTCTGCACAGCAAAAGACACTATCAACAGACTAAACAAACAACCTACCGAATGGGAGAAAATTTTTGTAAACTATGCATCTGACAATGGCCTAATATCCAGCATCTATAATAAACTTAAACAAATTTATAAGAGAAAAACAACCTTATTAAAAAGTGGGCAAAGGACATGAACAGACACTTTTAAAAGAAGAAATATATGTGGTCAACAAACATATGTAAAAAAGCTCAATATCACTAATCATTAGAGAAATGCAAATAAAAACCATAGTGAGATACCATGTGACACCAGTCAGAATGGCTATTATTAAAAAGTCAAAAAACAACAGATGCTGGTGAGATTGTGGAGAAAATGGAACACGTATACATTGTTGGTGGGAGTGTGAATTAATTCAACCACTGTGGAAAGCAGTATAGTGATTCCTCAAAGAGCTAAAAGCAGAACTATCATTCGACCCAGCAATCCCATTACTGGGTATATAACTAGAGGAATATAAATCATTCTACCATAATGACACAGGCACACAAATGTTCATTGTGGCACTATTCACAATAACAAAGTCATGGAATCAACCTAAATGCCCTTCAGTAACAGACTGGATAAAGAAAAATGTGGTATATATATACCATAAAACACTATGCAGCCATAAGAAAAGAACAAGATCATGTATTTTGTGGGAACATGGATAGAGCTGAAGGTTATTATCCTAAGCAAACTAATGCAGGAAGAGAAAATAAAATATCACTTATAAGTGGCAGCTAATTGATGAGAATGTGTGAAGATAAAGAAGGAAAGAACAGACACTGGGTTCTACTTAAGGGTGGAGGGTGAGAGGAGGGAGAGGAGCAGAAAAGATAGCTACTTGGTATTGGGCTTAAGTCCTGGGTAATGAAATAATCAATACAACAAACCCCCATGATGTGAGTTTACCTATGTAACAAACCTGCACATGTAACCCTAAACCTAAAATAAAAGTTAAAAAATAAGATAAAATAAAATGAAAATATTACCTACCAGGCAGATATACGGTGAATATTTAACAAGATAATAATGTATACTACTTAGTACCTTGAAGGCCAGTTTATATTTGAAATATAGTTAACTTTTCTCCACCATCAGCTGGCATGCCTAAATTGTGTTATTTCAAATGCTGGTTTTCCTGGGTACTAATAGTGCTGTATATAAAATGATTCCATGGTCAAATACAAAAAAAAAAATGAGGCCTCATTCCTTTATCCTTTCTAACATCTTTGGCTAGGCACAAAAGGATTTCCTTGGTCCAGGATTTGATATCTCACAAATGGAAAGATATGATTTCTCATTTTGTGAGTGAGGAGGAAGACTGAGATACTGATAATTCTCTGCTTTTAAATTACTTTATTAAAAACAAGATCTGTGACTGATGACACATCATAAATTATCTAAGAGCCAACACTCCTCACCTAATAAATATTATTTTTTTCTAAGATAATTTACATTTCTTATGAGTTATGAAGATGACATATTTGTCTTATTTATATTACTTTTGACCTTATTTGATACAAAAAGTAATCCAGGCAGGATATTGTTAAGAAGTAGTTGGTTTATTTCCAAACCTGCTTATGTTATAGGACCTGTTATATTAACTTAGAAAGTCTATATCTGGACCAGATCAACCAGCTCTAAAAGATTATTTTTTCCTCCTATCTTTATTGAGGTATAATTGACAAATAAATATTGTATATATTTAAAGCATGTAATGTGATTATTTGATATACATATACATTGTGAAACAACTAACACAATCAAACTAACACATCCATCACCTCATATCACATCTTTGTGTGTGTTTGTGTGTGTGTGTGTGTATGTATGTGTGTGTGGTGGGAACATTTATGAGCTACTCTTTTAGAAAATTTCAAGTATACAATACAGTATTATTAACTAGAGTCACCACCCTGTACATTAGGTCCTCAGAACTTATTTATCTTTTGATTGAAAATTTGTTCCCTTTGATCAATACCTCTCCTAAAATACTCTTCTTGACCATATTCTCTCTCCTAAGATAACTGAATAGAATTGTATGTGCGGAAGAGCTCAATTCACTCAATTTATCCACCTGAATTATGAAGGAACATAAGACTGAGGAATTTGACTTTGTCTAAGAGCATTGCTTATAGAGATTGCTAATTGTCAATGGCAGCAAAAATCTCTGAAACCATCTAATTGAAAGAGAATCTAGAGCCCCCACCAGGAAACACTTAACCTCATGATTCACACCAGTGTCAACCATTTATAGATTAGATTCTATTGGTTCATTTAGTTGTTCATCCAAATGGATACAGCATTATATGTCACATATGGAATAGGATTGTAATGACAGAAATGTTCTCATGCTGCTTACAATCTAGCTGATCCTTTTTATCTATCACAAATTTATAAATATTTTTCTTCCTTTATACTCTTTTGTATTAACAGTATGCAGATCTGTGTTATTCAGTGTTGGTAGAAAGGTCCACTACTGCCCCTTATCTTTCTTGTTTGTTAAGGACATAGAGATACATGATTCTCTAGGCTGCTGCCGATTCTCCCTTGTGTGGGAGAGAAAGGTCTAACTGGTGCTTTCTCTTTTAATTTCATTAAAATAAAAGAACATTTTTAAAAAGTACAGTGAGTGAAATAAAACAATTTATTAGTGTCTGACCCAGCCTTGAATTTGTGGTCTTACTGCTTTTGTGTTCCACTAACTGGGATGTTTCTAGAAATGGCATTAGATGGAGGCCAATGCATATCTCTGCACAGAAGCTGGCAAAAATCCCACAAAGCTTGATTTGGTCCTGTAACTAATTCAGCAAAGTAACACAGAGCTAAGTAGCTTGTGATTTCCCATAAAAGTCTTGAATGTTGGGAGTTAAGATCCAGTTCAGTTGCGTTTGACTGCATGTTAATGGTGTTTCCTTTTAATTGGATGAATCAAGTGTTGGCTAAATTTCTGAGAGTCTCTTGAGTGTTGTTAAGCCTTGTAGAGTCGTACTCAGAAAATATGTCTTTAGTGTGTTGGGATCCTGATGAAAAAGCTAATAAACTTAGGCTGCATTCATTGAAATGTAATATCAAGTTGAAAACAGACTACAGGAGGAGTAGTCATGTCCTGTTCTGAGAGCTATACTTATACAGTTACACTGGAATATAAAGTACAAGAAATGCCATCCAGGAATGAGCCTAGGAAGAAAAGTTTACCGATAATAGTTGAGTGAACACTGGATGTTTTCCCTGAAGAAATGAAGACTCACAGTTACCTAATTTCAATTAGTTAGTTACAGAACAAAATCAAGCTCAAGGAACAATGGAAGAAGTTTAGAAGTGTCCTCACAAAGAATTAGCTTGGTTAGGTTTGCTCCAAAAGTCTGCATAAAGACTCAGTGGAAGTTTCTGGTAGGCAAATTTGGGAATCTAAAATTAGGAAGAAAACCCAGAATTTTCAACTATAGAAAGAGAGCTGCTTCTCAAAACAAAATCCACCCCAGACTGAGATTTTCCAGCTGAAGCTGGGAACTTCACTTCATGTAATCTGTAAAGAATCCTGTGATTAGAGGGAGTAAATCTGATTAGGAGCAAAGGGTTAAGAAGGTGTTGAAGTTGGACACACCTGAGTTTGTACACCAGCTCCATAATTACTTGGCTAGAAATTTGAGGAAGGCATTTATCTTATCTGAATCCAAGTCTTGGCAATTTTTTTTTCTTTTTGAAATGGAGTCTCACTATGTTGTCCAGGCTTGAGTGCAATGGCACAATCTAGGCTCACTGCAACCTCTGCCTTCTGGATTCAAGTGATTGTCCCTGCCTCAGCCCCCCTAGTAGCTGGGATTACAGGCATCTGCCACCATGCCCAGCTAATTTTTGTATTTTTAGTAGAGACAGGGTTTCGCCATGTTGGTCAGGCTGGTCTCAAACTCCTGACCTCAGGAGATCCGCCCACCTCAGCCTCCCAAAGTGCTGGGATAACAGGCATGAGCTACCAAGCCCGGCCTCAAGTCCTAGCATTTTAAAAATAGAGGTAACACTTTCCTCAATGAGTTTGTTTTGTGATGAGTAAATAAGGTCTGGTATGTCAATAGTCTGCTAAAATGCTTGACATATAGAAGTCACTTCTCTGAGTAACCTATGAAGTCCTTCTCAGTTTTAAGAATGCCAAAATCTGAGAAAGGTACAGGGAGTGTATGATATTTTTTACTAGGTGTATTTTTACATGTTGATTCTCTTTTATTATACATGCTATGGTCCTGCCATGTATTCCATTGGCTTGAAATACCCTACATTCAAAGCCATGGCCAGAGGTTCTGAAATGATTGTGAAGATCACTCAGGGCACATTTGGTGTTTTCAATATGGAATTATGAATGAGCTCAGTTAAGATGCTTCATTTTGCTTTGTCTTAGACAAAACAGCAATACTTTACTGTCTATTGCAATATCAGAGTTTGTGTTTTGGTTTTACTATAAAGTAATTCCACAAACATAGAGAAGTCATTTCACTTCTGATGACCTCAAATTCCTTATCATTGAAACAAGGATGTTGATTAGATAATCTTTAAGACCCTTCCTATTTATAAAAATAACAGGCTTTTTTCTTTTTTTAATTTAATTTAATTTTATTTTATTATTATTATACTTTAAGTTTTAGGGTACATGTGCACAATGTGCAGGTTTGTTACATATGTATACATGTGCCATGTTGGTGTGCTGCACCCAGTAACTCGTCATTTAGCATCGGGTATATCTCCAAATGCTATCCCTTCCCCCTCCCCCCACCCCACAACAGTCCCCAGAGTGTGATGTTCCCCTTCCTGTGTCCATGTGTTCTCATTGTTCAATTCCCACCTATAAGTGAGAACATGCGGTGTTTGGTTTTTTGTCCTTGTGATAGTTTGCTGAGAATGATGGTGGTTTTTTCTGTATGGGCAGTTCTGTCAACATTTTTCCAGAATGAAAAAAGTAGATAACACCCTGGAGAATGCAACTTGAATTCCAAAGAACTTTGTCACGACAGAGAATTAGGAAGAGAGCAATGGAAAAATGTTCTCTGGAAACTAATACAGAAAATAGTAAATTGTGCTAATTCAAGGTAAGAAAAGTAGCAAATTTGGATTATATGAGACTTCAGCTAAACATGAGTCAGGGAGTAAATAACAAATAATGAAAAGAAATGCACTGGGTGTCCTGGAAATCTTATATGGGAAGGTTAGGGAATACTTCAAGATCTCGTTTCGATAGAGGAGGAGGGATTTTCCAGACATACCAGGGGTTCAGCATTTAGGGCTCAGGCCCTGGTGTGCGTGTGAGAGGACATGTTGTACTGCTGGAGCAGCAAGCAGGTTTGATACATCAGGAGTTCCAGGTGTGCATAAAGGAGTAGAAAGGCATGAGGAGGGAGGAGAAAGAATGTGTTTAGAAGCTACAGTGTGGTGAAGAGGAGTAGTAGGAGCCTAGGCATAGTGCATTTATTATCTTCATCTTTCTAAAAGAATTACACAGGGACCATGCAAAGTACTATAGAGAAAGAACTAACCAGCTAACTTATTTCTTTCCTAGCTTCCTTTTGTAAATATTTACTGTGCATCTGCAATAGAACATACCTAGTGTTAGGTACAGCAGACATTCAAATCCTCTCTCTAGGCTATAGGACATCTCTCCTCTGCACAATACTATGATTTGGGAAATCTGGCTTGTATTCAATTTAACCATCCCCTGGGTCCCCAAAAAGTTGCTCCCTCCTGCTTTGGCTCCCTGATTCAGCAGATGCCTCAGGTTAAGCCCAAATACCTTTCTTGGTGCCATCCACAGGAATCTCAAGTATACCCAAGACTCTACCTCTTTTTTTCAGTACTGCTATTTTATAGTTCTCTCTCCCTCCTGTTTGGCATGGTAAAGGGGCAGATTAATAAGCCACTAGCCAAGAATATTTCTGAGCAGGGAACCAATTCAAGTTTCCCCTTGTTGCAGGCATGCCCAATCTTTGTAAGAGTTTCTACTGGAGCCCCACTTGTTAGGAGGAAGGGAAGCAATCAGCCACACCTCCTGCACAGGTGATAGTGAAGAAGAAAATAGCCTCTCTTTGTGAACTCTGTACTTTCCAAAAGATTCCCCTCTACCTTTCTCCCATCTTGATTCTTCTTATATTGACTAGAGATTAGATCATTTTGGCACTTCTCACTAAGCTTTTCAGGTAAACTTCTAGAGGTCCATTGTTCATAAAATGGGATATGCTTTATAATGCGTTTTCTCCCAAGCTTTGGGCCTCAACTGGTCACTTGGGTTCTTACACTTTTAAAAACTTCATGGTGCCTAGAACTATGCTTTGCATTTTAGACTTGGAAGTTTAGAATACCAGAAGGACAATTTAGAGGTTTTCAATCAAATCCCTTCATTGTTCAATATGAGAGCTGAGATATGAAGACATGAAGCGATTTGTCCAAGATCCATGTTTGTTATTGGGTACTTGAGCCATATCAGTAAAGATGCCCTCGGTTATAAGAAACAGGAAACCTTGAGTCTAAACTATGTTAAACAATAACAGAATTCATTTTATCACATATCAGGAAGTCCAGTGGTGGAGCAGTCTACAAGCAAGGCACAATCAAGAGCTCTGATTCCATTCCTCTGCCATTTTCTCTGCTCTGTCCTGTCACCAGGTGCCAGCTTTGGCCTCAGGCTGGCATCCTTCATGCTTTCAACATGGCTGGTTACTGTAACTGTGGCAAGATTATTCCTTGTTCTTGTTGACCTGGTGAAAGAGATTCTTTCCTCTAACCATGGAATGGAAGTTCTTTGCAATCTGATTGAGCCAAACTGGTCATGTGCTCAACTCTGGACCAGTACAGTCACCAGGGAAATGCCTGTGCACTGACTAGCTTAAAACTGGGTGTCTGAACAAATCACTCATAAGCGGATGAGGTTTCCGTGATTGGCTTAGTTATGATCTGTTTCCAGAGTGCATATGCCTTCAGTTTTTCTGAGTCACAAATATGACTGCAAGAGGGCTGAATCTCTAAACAGAATTAGAAAGAAGGAAGTATAGAGAGAATGGACACTGTGTAAGCAACAAATATATCAACTACAGGAACCCAGGGACCCCTGTTCCTCCCAACCGGCTATATTCCAGTCCTGTGTTGATTGGCATGAAGGGAGAGAGATGTGCTCTGGAGAAATTTAGGGCCTGAAATGGTACCACATTTGAAATAGACATTGTGTGATATTCTTCTATGAATGAGGTTTCTGAGACAGTCCAAATAGCAAGTTCAGAGAGAGGCTATTTTATTCTGCTGCCAAGATAATGCCATCTGCTATGACATCACAGGTGGGTAAAGCAGCATATTTTATCTGATGTTGTTACCAAGGCAACATAGTCTGACCATGACAATAGGGTAAGGTGGCAGCATAGAAAGTGACTTTTTCCCAGCTTTTTTTTTTCACCATAAAAAACAATTTAGAAAGAACTTATTGTTAGAGAATATTTTATATTTCAAGAGGTAGGGTAGCCAGAAAATAAAAAAATGAAACAGTAATTAAGGCTTGTAGATGAATGTTGCTTGGACATTCTTAGGTCAACCAAAATGATCAATAAATCCTTGTGGGTTGGACCCTCTTATCATGGGTCTCAGCTACTTTAACTTCTTCTTTGTCTAAATCTTTAAAAAATGTTTTCAATGAGGCACAGGTATGTGCAGATCTAGCGTTTATTTTTCTTTTGATTTTTTCTCTATCAACTTCTGCCTAACTCTCTTGTAGCTATTTGCTGAGACTCATTCCAGTACTTTTGTGTGCCTGCTCCCCATAGTGCATATCATAGAGCTAGACAAATGGAAGGCATTCAGATATACCTGTTGGGTGACTGATCTCTCCTTATGCTTCTTATGTTTTACTCGAAAACCAATTTTCTAAATTTAATTGTCCTTATTTGCTTCTTTTTAGAAGAGATATATCCAAAATGAATAATGGATTCAACATGCAGTTTGCAAAACAACATGAATTTCACTTAAGAAATGTAATTTATATTACCTGTTTATCAGCCTGAGATGAAATTTGTTATACCTAGAAAAACAGAGGGACTTTCTTATACATTCATTTATTCATAGGATAAATATTTATTGGGTGACCATTATGTGTCAGGCACTGTTCCAGGTGCTGGAGATAAAACAGTGACTAGAGTAAACAGAGTTGAAAAGAAACTATGAACAGAGTAAACAGATTATCTATAGAATGGGAGAAAAATTTTGCAAACTCTGCATCCAGCAAAGCTCTGATATCCAACATCTATAAGGAACTTAAACAAATTTACAAGAAAAAAACAAACCACCCCATTAAAAAGTGGGCAAAGCACATGAACAGACACTTTTCTGGTGTTACCATCTAACACCAATCAGAACGGCTATTGATATGGTTTGGATTTGTGTCCCTGCCCAAATCTTATGTCAAATTGGAGGAGGGGCCTGTTGGGAGGTGATTAGATCATGGAGGCAGGTTATCTTTGCTGTTCTCACAATGGTAATTGAGTTCTCATGAGATCTGATGGTTTAAAAGAGTGTGGCACTTCTTCCTTTGCTCTCTCTCTCCTGCCACCATGTGAAGAAGGTGCTTGCTCTCCCTTCACCTTCCACCATGATTGTAAGTTTCCTGAGGCCTCCCAGTCATGCTTTCTGTTAAGCCTATGGAACTGTGAGTCAATTAAACTTCTTTTCTTCATAAATTACCCAGTCTCAGGAAGTTCTTCAGAGCAGTGTGAGAACAAACTAATATAGCTATTATTAAAAAGTCAAAAAATAACAGATGCTGGCGAGGTTGTAAAGAAAAAGGAATGCTTATACACTATTGGTGGGAGTGTACATTAGTTCAGCCATTGTGGAAGACAGAGTGACAATTCCTCAAAAACCAAAAGACAGAAATACCATTCAACCCAGCAATCTCATTCCTGGGTGTATACCTTAAAGAATATAAATCATTCTGTTATAAAGACACATGCACACTTATGTTCATTGCAACACTATTCAGGATAGTAAAGATATGGAATCAACCTAAATGCCCATCAACAATAGGCTGGATAAAGAAAATATGCACATATACACAGTCATTTCCATAGATCCTCTGAAATCTAGGAGGAGGTTCCCAAATCTCAGCTCTTGTCTTCTGCACACCCATAGGTCTAATACCTCAAGCCACTGAGGCTTGGGGCTTGCACCCTTTGAAGCCATGGCCTGAGCTGTACCTTGACCCCTTTTAAAGCCATTACTGGAGATGGAGTGGTTCGGTTGCAGGGTGCTATGTCCCAAGTCTGAACAGACCAGTGGGGCCCTGGGCCCTGCCCAGGAAACCATTTTTTCATCTTAGGCTTGCAGGCCTGTGATGGGAGGGGCTGCCATGAAGATCTCTGAAATGCCCTGGAGACATGTCAGGGCAAGACACCACCATTGTCTTGGTTATTAGCATTCTGTTTCTCTTTATTTATGCACGCAAATTTCTGCAGTCAATGGGGTTTCAATTTCTCCCAGAAAAAGGGGTTTTCTTTTCTACCACATGGTCAGGCTGCAAATTTTCCAAACTTTTATGTTCTGCTGTCCTTTTAAACATAGATTCCAATTTCAGACCATTTCTTTGTGAACACAGATGACTACATTTTCAGAAAAAGCCAGGCCACATCTTGAATGCTTGGCTGCTTAGAAATTTCTTCCACCAGCTACCCTAAATCATCTCTGTCAAGTTCAAAATTCTACAGATCTCTAGGGCACAGGCAAAATACCACCAGTCTCTTTGCTAAAGCATAGCAAGAGTGACCTTTACTCCAGTTTCCAATAAGTTCCTCATCTCCATCTAAGAAAAGCTCAGCCTGGACTTCATTGTCCCTATCACTATCATCATTTTGATTAAGTCCATTCAACAAGTCTCTAGGAAGTTCCAAACTTTCCCACATCTTCCTGTCTTCTTCTGAGCCCTCCAGACTGTTCCAACCTCTATCCATTATCGAGTTGCAAAGTTGTTTCCACATTTTCAGGTATCTTTATAGCAGTGCCCCACTTTCTCAATACCAATTTTCTGTATTTGTCTTTCTTCACACTGCTATAAAGAACTACCTGAGACTGGGTAATTTATGAAGGAAAGAGGTTTAATTGACTCACAGTTATGCATGGCTAGGGAGGCCTCAGGAAACTTATAATCATGGTGGAAAGTGAAGGGGAAGCAAGGCACATCTTACAAGGTGGCAGCAGAGGAGAGAGTGAGGGTGGGAGTGCCATACTTTTAAACCATCAGATCTTGTGAGAACTATCATGAGAACAGCATGGTTCTCATGGGGAAAATCCACCCCCATGATCCAATCACCTCCCACCAGGTCCCTCCCCTGACACATGGAGCATACAATTTGAGATGAGATTTGGGTGGGGACACAGAGACAAACCATATCATACACCATGGAATACTATACAGCCATAAAAAAGAATGAGAGCATATCTTTTGTGGGAACATGGATGGAGCTGGAGGCCATTATCCTTAGCAAACTAACACAGGAACAGAAAACCAAATACTGCACGTTCTAACTTATAAGTGGGAGCTAAATGATGAGAACACATGGACACATAGAGGGGAACAACACACACTGGGGCCATTTAGAGGGTAGAGGGGGGACGAGGGAGAGGATCAGAAAAACTAACTAATGGGTACTAGGCTTTATACTTGCATGATTAAATAATATTTAAAACAAACTCCCATGACACACATTTACCTATGTACTATAACAAACCTGCACTTGTACCTCTGAACTTAAAATAAAAGTTAAAAAAAGAATGTTGATTCTGTTCCACAACAGAAGATTCCAGAAACATGACAAATCTTAACTAATACGAGCCTGGACAAGGGGAACTGCCTCTGCTATGGGAAAAGCACAAAATCCTGCCAAGTCCCTTCTACCCTAAGGAACAAAAGACTTAAGTTGTTGGTGGAAGGGCAGCAAAACTTCCCACAGGGTCTGCTTAGGAATTTGGTTGAAGTGCAACAACAGAAAACATCTCTCACTCCCCGTTACCATACTAGCAAGCGCCAAGTAACAAGTGATAGCAGCCTACTGTTGGGTAAAAGGCCAGAAAATTGAAGAGACAACTTCTTTGATATGCAGATACTCAGAGAAGGCCTAAAACTGAGGATAGATCAGGCACATTGAGTAAAATTATCAGGTAAACCAGTCTCCATCTTAAGCATAAGGTAATGCCAGAGGAATGAAACTGGCAGGGCACTGAAGCAACAATACAACTGAAACCCAGCTGAATTTCTGACCATATTGACTCAAACTCCAACACTAATGACCAATAGAAGAATAAGTATTCCTATTTCTAGGCATAAATACTATTTATCTTAATGTCTACTGTCCTGTATACTTTATCCAGCATGCAATAAAAAGATGTAACAACCACTGTCAAGAGATGAAGCAATCAACAATCTAACTCAGACCCTACCCAGATATTGGAACTATCAGGCAGGAATTTAAATTAACTATGATTAATTTATTAAACACTCTAGGAGAGAATAGGGACAACATGTATGAATAGATGGGAAATGTCTGTCTAGAGAATCGAAAATAAAGAGAAAGACAAATAGAAAAGCTTAAAGTAAAAATCATTGCAACAGAAATGAAAAATTACTTTAATGAAATTATCAGAAGAATCAATATAGCTGAGGAAAGAATCACTGAACTTGAAGAAATCACCCAAAGTAAAACACGAAGAGAAAAAAAGAGTGAAAAAGGAAAAGAGACAGAGAATACAGGAACTCTGGAATACTATCAAGTGGTCTAATATACATGTAATTAGAACCCTGGAAGAAGATAGAAAATTAAACAGAAAAAGTACTTTAAGAGATAACAGCCAATATTTTTCCCAAAATAATGAAATATGACAAACAACAGATCCAAAAATTTGAGAGAACCCCAAGCACAAAAATATTAAACACTACACACACACACACCGCAAGATACAGCACACTGCTGGAAATAAAGTTATAGAGAAAATGACACATACAATGAGAAACAAAGAAAAGAAAAAAGTTGCAACAGACTTCTTGTCATAATCTATGCAAGTGTGCAGACAATAAAGTGATATCATTGGAGCACTTAAACAAACAAAAAGTCTGTAAACCTAGAATTCTATACCCAGTGAAAATACAGTTTAAACTGAAGGAGAAATAAATACTCTTTTAGACAGCAAAAGCCAAGATCTTTGATTATCAGCAGACCTGCACTACAAGATGTGTAAAGACAGCTCTTCAGGCAGAAGGAATTTTACGAGAGAGAAATTTTGATGTATACAAAGAATGAAGATTTCTGGAAGTGATGAAAATAAAGATAAGTATAAAAGTTTTTTCTTTTTAATTACTCTAAAAGATTATTGGTTTTCTAAAGCAAAAATAAGAGTGATGTATTTTGGCATATGCAAAATTAAAATGTGTGACCGCAATAGCATCACTAGTTATGGGAGGGAGGAATTGGAAGCATGTGCTATAAGGTTTTTAAAGCCTTCGAAGTAGTGTGATATTGTTTTAGTAAGACTGTGCTTTATTTTTATTTTTATTATTGAGATAGGGTCTCATTCTGTTGTCTAGGCTGGAGTGCAGTGGTGCAATCTCAGCTCACTGCAACCTCCACTTCCCAGGTTCAAGCGATTCTTGTGCCTCAGCCTCCTGAGTAGCTGGGACTATAGGCACTCGCCATCACGCCTAGCTAATTTTTGTATTTTTAGTAGAGATGGGGTTCCACCACGTTGGCCAGGCTGGTCTCAAACTCCTGACCTCAGATGATCCACTTGCCTCAGCCTCCCAAAGTGCTGGGATTACAGGCATGAGCCACTGCGCCCGGCCTAAGACCGTGCTTTATTAATGATGCACATTATAAAGCTTGAAACAGCTACTAAAAATAAAACATTTCTAAAAGATATATGAATAATAGGCCAAAAGTGTAGATAAGATTGAATGTAAAAAGATAACCAATCCAAAGCAAGCAGAAAAAGAGGAGCAAAGGATGGACAGAAAAATTTAAAACAACTAACAAAATGGTAGGTTTTAATAAGAATATATCAATAATTATATTAAACAAATTGTCTAAACATAACAAAAGACACAGATTATCAAATTTAATAAACAAGCAACTCATCAACTCTATATAGTCTTTAAGAAACTCATTTTAAATACAGGTTAAAATTAAAAGAATAGAAAAAGATGGATTATAAAAACACTGATCAAAAGAAAGGTGAAGGGACTAAATATCAAAGTAGACTTTAGAACAAATGTTATCAGGAATCATGAGGAACATGACATAATGATAAAGAAGACATGGCAATCATAAATGCGTATGAACCTAACAATGGAGCTTCAAAATACATTAAGCAAAAACTAATGGAATTAAAAGGGAAATTGATAAATCCATAATTATAGTTGGAAATGTTAATTTTCTTCTCTCAGTAATTAATAGAACAGATAAATTTTAAATATCAATAACTTTAGAGAACATGTGAGTAACACTGTCAACAAACTTAACCTACTTGGCATTAGTAGAACATTCTATCCCACAATAGAACAATAGCACAATACACATTATTTTCAAGTGCAAATGGAAGTACACCAAGATTGCCATTTTCTTACTCATAAAACAAACTTTAGCAAATTTAAAAGAATTGAAATCATACAAACCATATTCTCTGATCGTACTGAAATTGATCTAGAAATCAACAGAAAAATACCTGGAAAATTATGGGGAAAATGGAAATTAAACAATGCAGTTCTATGTAATCTATGACTCAATGAGTAAGGCATAATGGGAATGAGAAAATGTTTAAAAATGAATGATAATAAAAACACAATAAATTAAAATTTGTGTAATGCATCTAAAGCAGTAATGAAGGGAAAGTTATAGCATTAAATGCTTATATAAGACAAGAAGAAAGACCTCTCATCAGTAATATGGGTTTTCATCTTAAGGAACTAGAAAGAGAAGAACATATTAAACCCAAAGCAGAAAGCAAGAAATCATAAAGATCTGTGCAAAAATCAGTGGAATAGAAAACAGAGTAACAACAGAGAAAATCAATGAAATCAAAAGCTTGCTCTTTGAGATCAATAACACTGATGAATCTCTAGTTATGCTGATCAGAGAGGGAAGCCAAAAATAATCAATACTGGGGATGAGAGCAGTGAAATCACTACATAGTCCACAGTAATTAAAAGATAACAAGGGGATATATGAGCAACGTCATGCCAATAAAGTTGTTGCCACGGCTGAGTGTTTTAGGGGAGTGTTTGGCTGGATGTTTTAGGGCACTGATTGACTATAGATAAAATATTTTTTGTGGGTGATGGAACTATTCTATGTCTTGATTATAACATACAGCTGCACAGATGTATGTGTTTGTCAAAATTTATAGGACTGTACATTAAAATTGTTGAATTTTATCTTATTTAAATAAATTTGTTAGTGCAGTTTAAGGCACTGTATTGTGTCTCAGTCATCCTTAACATATGTCGTAGCCATATATAACTTTTGGACTTTTTCTTCTCTTGTTTTCAATTTACATAGATTAAAAGAATTGTTAGATATCAAAACATTTATTTATTAAAACTTCTTGTCATAGACTGGAGGAGAATATACAGCCATGAAAACTACGTACAATATGGCGTCTTGAATTGGATCCTGGAGCAGACAATGGGATTACTGGGAAAACTGGTGAAGACTGGAAAATAGAAAAAATAGAGTCTCCAGGGAACTAAAAATAGAATTAATGTACAGTTCAGCAATCTTGCTGGGTATCTACTCAAAGGAGAAGAAATCATTATATTAAAAAATAGCTGTACTTCTATGTCTATTGCAGCATCATTCACAATAGCAATGATACGAAATCAATCTAAAATGTCCATCAGTGGATGACTGGATAAAGAAAATGTGGTATTTATGCATACAGACACATACACACATATACACACACACAATAGAATACTGTTGAGCCATAAAAAAGAATGAAATCATGTTCTTTTGCAGCAACATGGATGGTACTTGAGGCCATTATTTTAAGTATAACCGCTCAGAAACAGAAAGTCAAATACTGCACATTCTTACTTATAAGCGGGAGCTAAATAATGTGTACACATTGACATAGAGTGTGGAATAATAGACATTAGACAATCAGAAGGGTGAAACGGTGGTAAGAGGGTAAGGGATTAGAAATTACTTAATGGGTACAATGTACGTTACTCAGGTGATGCATACACTAAAAGCCCAGACTTCGCCACTGCACAATATATCAATGTAACAAAACTGCACTTATACGCCTTAAATTTATACAAATAAAAAAATTTAAAAATAGAGTCTGAAATGTATGATTTTTAATTTAAGTATATTTTTAAAACTAACAAATGTAAGAAATTCATATGAAAGCAAGATTTTTAAAGACACAACAAACAAAAGCATGTCTTGGTGCTGATGTAGTCGAAGGGGGTGCCAGGAGCACCCACCATTGGCCACCGCTCCAGTTGGCTTATTCACTGAAGCAAAGCACCTAAGTTGGGAAAGATACGCGCATGAGCATGTACAGCTTGTGTCTCCTGGTTAATTCTGGAACATATGATACTCACCATTCAATAATAGGGAAGGCTCAGAATCCCCCCAGTGATTGAAGGTGAGGGCGCCAAATATGTCACAGACATCTGTGGGCTAATGGCAAAGAATCCTAAATTAAGAACTCAACCATTTTTGGCCGGGCGCAGTGGCTCACGCCTGTAATCCCAGCACTTTGGGAGGCCGAGGTGGGCGGATCACAAGGTCAAAACATCGAGACCATCCTGGCTAATACGGTGAAACCCCTTCTCTACTAAATATACAAAAAGTTAGCCGGGCGTGGTGGCGGGTGCCTGTAGTCCCAGCTACTCAGGAGGCTGAGGCAGGAGAATGGCGTGAATCGGAAGGCAGAGCTTGCAGTGAGCTGAAACCGCGCCACTGCACTCCTGGGCGACAGAGCGAGACTGCGTCACAAAACAAAACAAAACAAAACAAAACAAAACAAAACAAAACAAAACAAAAACTCTACCATTCTTAATGTTCTACTTTAAAATTTTGTTTATGACAACCTTTTATTATTGAATGAAATATTTCCAGTTGATATAACCATCCATTACTTCTTGAATAAGTTCAGAGTTGTTCATTAATTCCAGGGTTTAACTCTCACACTCCTTTTGCACTCCTGTTCCAATCCTCGTGCTTTCACTCCACAGTTTGGCATTCGCCTCTTCTTTCACATCTAGCATCTGAGACATTTCTTTTAGGAAATTATTCCACTGCTGTTTCTCAAAATTCACATTTCTATTACTTAGGTGTCCTTGGTGTCCTTCAATCTTTTTGCTGGAATTTCTACATAGTTAAGTTTATATATTTTTTCTTTAGGGAAACAAGCTTTCTGGGTATTACTTTAGCATGTTAATTCATCTATGAAAAGAATGGCCAGCATCCCTCAAATCCCCAATGCACACAATAAAAAGCATCCAGAGTTCTTCCTTTGGAATCAAAGAGAACATTCACAAGAAATTAATATTGTTTTCTTTTCATGATTCGGATAAGCCTTTGGTCTATATTCCTTTAAGAAACTGACTACAAGAGCAAGGGAACTTCTTGCTAATTGAAGAGATTTTCTTTCTCATTATAGGTTTAGACTACACTGCTTCCACCCATAATTCCTCCAGATTAATGAGTTTTCTTAGAATGTATGCATACAGCAGGTAAGAATATTCAAGCCACATACTTAGACATATAGGAAATTTTTTTTTTCCTCTTGAACTAAACATGGCTTTTTCCTTAAGTTCCTACTCCATCAGTAATGGGATGCAACATTGCCAATTAAGAGTAAAGTTTGTCATACCCGGTATTCTTAGGTGATTCAGGAAAAATGCTGTCCCTTTATACTTTTTCCCAATTTTTTTTCCCTCTGCTATGGCATTTAGGTTTCTGGGGGCTCTCAGAGTCTCCTGACAATAGCATAATGGGGGAATTGCCCTGGCCTCCAGGCACCGTCAGCTCCTTTACTTTCCAGCGTCACATCCACGATTCTCTAGGCTGCACCAGAAGCACGGTGCTCCTCTCAATGCTCTGACAGCCAGTGAAGGAGCTCAGAGTCTGCCTCTGGCCCTTGGGCCTGGAAGTCTCAGACAGTGTCTCCTCTCTACTCCCAAAACCATGATGACATAGGGAATGGGTGCTTGCTGCCTCCCAGTACACAAGAGAAGCAGAGCACAGGACTCCATCCATGACTCCAAAATCCCCAATTTTCTCTAAGTGCATTCACCACCTTGGAGTTAAACCCACGGAGGACAGGGATCAGCATCTGCTTTTCAAAAGCCCTCACCAGTTTCTCTGTTGAATTCCTTGGAACTCTCTCTCCTCAACTCAGAATTATTTTAATATCCCCTCAATGCCTGTGCTTATTTATGTGTGTGTGTGCGTGTGTGTGTGTGAGAGAGAGAGAGAGAGAGATGGGTGAAGAATGAGACGATAAGGTGGAGAGAAAGACGACTAGAAGAGTATTCTTACAGAGCTATAATTTATACCAGGACTTCAGTATATAAATTTGCATATATCTGTATAGCTTAATGTGCCAGACTTTGAGAGCATGCAATGCACAAAGCGGGGTAAAGGGGGACCTCTGCCGCCCCATTCTATCCCAGGCTACAGCAGAGACACACCATCCTGGAAAGCAAATTATGACTTGGAGTGCTGGGTGGAGAGAGGAAAGGCCTACAATTTTAGGGTAGCTTCTGACAAGGACAGTCCTTAGAGAGGCAATGGAAGTTTCTTACACTTGCTCTCTGAAATAGGAGGGGGCTTAGCAGGAATCTAGTCATTCATTCATTTAATCAATAAATAATTACTGAGCACCTCCTCTGTGCTAGCTCTTATTCCTTTCTCCATGAATTGTAGTAAGAGCCTAATGAAGAGATTTGCTTAGAAAGTGAGAGATGTACACTGAGCAGTAAAACTTAGAGGTGAGCACCATTGTCCCCAAAAGAACCGAGAAATACTGATAATGGTTTACCAAAAGCTTGCTACTGCCAGGCACTGTTGTAAAAGATTCACCAACCTTTCATGGACTCTAAGATGCATCCTTTGTAAGATGTATTATTATTTTATGAGCCACTAAGAAAGAAAAAAACTGTGGCCAATTAAATATGAGCCATGCTTTCTTGTCACTTTGAATTTTTATTTGTTCTTATTGAAAAATGATCCTTATTTGGATGTAATTTTAAAAATTAGAGATCATACTTGTTCACACATAAAAAGGAAAATATAAGTAAAATAAATTATTTAATCAATTTCTAAGCCTTCTTTACATTTGGAGTCTGCCCATTCTCAATCAGTTTTGACAGAATTGCCAAAGTCCGGGTTTGTCTACATAATGATGTCAGAGCCATGAAGAGACTCATACTGTCATATTTTTTACCAATACTTCACTCCGGGATTCCAGTTCCAGAATTTTCTTCCAAGCTGCTGACACCCATTTCCCAGTTTTGATACTTGAGCATCTTAGATCTGACTACAGGGTGTCACACAAAATGTTTTCCAACAATCAGGCTTCATGTTTCTTCCTCAAATGGTCCTTAATGGTTTGTGGCACAGAGCAGATGCAAATGTGTCATGCCACCTGGGACAGCAACTGTCTTAGCTCCTAAGCAATCATTAACCACTTTATCAGGACTGCTGCATGCCCATCAGTGAGTGTAAGCCCTATTCATTCTAAGAAGTTCTTGATCTTGAGATGTCAAAATGTAGGGAAAAAATACGGCCTTATGATTGACGATATACTGCTAAACCATTTAATCCTCGCAACACCATGAAGCAATTACTCTCATCTCCATTTTACAGATAGGAAAGTCAAGACATAGAAAGTTCTGGAAACTTCACACAGAACCAGGATTTTGACCTCAAGCAGTCTGGCTTTGGAGCCCCTCATCACATGGTTCTATCACCAATTCATGTCTGTGCTTAAGGGTCACTTCTCGGGGGATGCTTTCCCTGGACACCTAAACCAGGGTAGCCCCCTTTCCTCTCTAGATTGTAAACTCCATGAGGTCAGAGGCCCTCACTGTTGTATCCAACTATTTATAATAATGTCTGAGACTTAGTAGGCTCTATTTGATGTTTCTACACATCCTGGGGGAAGGAGGAGGCTAATAACAGGGCCCAGGGCATATATAGACTGAAAATACACAGGGACTTACCATTGTTTCTTGTGATCATTATGATAATAGAATAATTTGAAAAAAAATACATTGCAAGGAATCAGCCCATTCAAAATGCATTCACATCTGGCTCTCTCCATAAGCCCATCAGCTCCTTATACCTAAGGACCCATCATCCCTTTTTCAATGGCCCATCACATCCAACCTGTTGATGAGAGAAAGCCTAATGTCAGAATATGCTTCCCCTTGTGGTCAGACCCAGCTGGTCTGGTCCAGTCAAGATATTTATTTAAGATGCACAACACTGATTTTCAGGGAGGCCTCTGTTTGCTAACAGATTGAAGGAAAAGGGCTTCTTGGATTAAACAATGTGATATTTACTAAACAAACACTTCCCCCAAAGGTTAAACTTGTTCCTGTCTACATTGTTTGCCTTCCTGATTAGAAACAACGGCAATAAGACAGAATATGCCTTTTTAAAAATCTTCTTTACTTTGGTACTAGTAAAAACTGTTGGGCTGGGCACCATGGCTCACACCTGTAATTCCAGTGCTTTGGGAGGCTGACGTGGGAGGATTGCTTAAGGCCAGGAGTTCAAGACCAGCCTGGGCAACATAGTGAGACTCAGTCTCTACCAAACAACATAATTAATGAATAAATAAAAATAAAGAACTGTGTTAGCATCCACCCACAGAGACATACTAGGTTTTTCAGGCTGTCAGTCTTTATAGCAGGCACTGCCTTTTTTTTTTTTTCACTACTAAAATACTATTGCTTCCATTACTAAACATCAGTCTGTTCTTTAAAAAATATTTTTGCTTTCCTTAATTTGATGTAGATTCAGCTGGAAACGGGCTAGCTTCATCCTGTTCATCAACTCAAAAGGGAATCCTCAGGTGATTATAACCTACTGTTCCAAAGCAAAACTCATAATGAGATTATGAAGAACAAATAGAGGCACAACATCTTCATGTCTTTGGCAGGAAGAAAAAAGCGAATTACTAAGGACGTTTTAAAAACCTATATTGTGTAAAGCAATATTCTACGTGTTTTACAATAGTAACAAAGTTAATCTTTAAAATAACCCTAGGGGCTCTGATGTAACCGGCCCAATGAACTTCTGTTACTTGCCCAGATCACAGGCTGGGATGTGGGGAGCTTAACTGTGGGCTCTGGCAGGGTGTCTCCAGCACCCAACTTCTTTTTGTTTTGTGTGTATGTTTCATAACCTGCTTATATTTGCTTACACATTCTTTAAATATATGTGTACACAAAGCCACATGGGTATTTTCAGAGGAGCACATGGAACATTATACACATGTAAGTAACACAGTCATTGCCTCAGGGGCTTTTTTCTCAGGTGGCAAATCTGTTGCCTCTCAGAGGCTCTCAGTTACCCTCTCACTACCTTTTCCCAGATAAAAAGTGTACCCTGAAGTGAACCAGGCTCTGGAATGTTCCTGAACCTCCTTCCTCACCTCAGAAAGAACTGCCCTCTTAAGGGTCTAATTTATTGGAAAAATAATACATCCTAAAATGTTAATAATTTCTTATAAGTTAGTATCATAACCTTCCCAGATAACATATCTTTAAATCCATAATATGCAACCTTAATGAAGAGAAATTTAATTAGGTTGATAAGGAAGCTATTTTCTGTCAAGTAGATTATACGGCTCCCTTCTCTTAACCAAAAGGCCTTGGATATACTTGACATCAAGTTAAAATGAACTGGAAAGTCAAGCTTGTGCAGAGTAGGAAAAAAAAAATGAAAAAATGTAGCAATAGATACTTTTAGATTAGGCAGGTACTCTTAGCTAAAATTGTGTATCTTTTCTGAGCCTCTTAGCCTGAGACTGAAATAGATGCAAATGTTATCTCCTGCATCAGAAACAATCAGTTAACTAGAACCTAGTATATCCTGAGCTAAATTAGGTTTTTTACTAGGTACTAAATATAATGTGAGAGAGAAACGAATGTTAGGTTGACATGGTGCTTCCCAAAGCTTGCTTTGTTTAAATGGCATGTTTTGGTCCACTGACAAGGTGATTCTTTTTTCTCTGTCTTTAAATTTGTTAAAAAAAATTTTTTCTGACAGTGAAAACAAAAATAATAGCTCTCTCCTGCTAAGTATTTACTCTGCAATAGGCACAAGCACAGCCCTTCACAGTAATCCTCACAAAAGGTCTATGGAGTGAGTATTCTTGTCCTCACTTTACAGATAAGAAAACAGGGTGCTCAAAATAGCCACTAGCTTGTTCAAGTTTACGTAGCTAATTGGTAGCAGAGCCAAGATTTAAACCAAACACCCATGTACTGTGTTGGATAGTGTCCCCTAAAAGTCATGTGCTTCCCAGAACCTCCAAATATGACTGTATTTGGAAATAAGGTTGTTGCAAATGTAATTAAGTTAACATATAATTAAGATGAGGTCATGCTGGAGTAGGGTGGGTCCCTAATCCAATAAGGCTGGTATCCTTGTTAGAGGAGAGGAGACACAGAGACCCAGACACACAGGGAGATGCTGTGTAATGACGCAGGAGGCAGAGGTTAGAGTGATGAAGATTACTGGTAACTCCAGAAACTAGGAGACAGACATGGAACAGATTTTCCCCGAGAGGCTTCACAGAGAGTGTGGCCCTGCCAACAACTTGATTTTAGATTTCTAGTCTTCAGAACTGTGAGACATTAAATATGCCCGTGGTTCTAAGCCACCCAGTTTGTGGTATTTTGTTACAGTAGCTCTAAAAAACTGTTGGAGCTCAGGACAAATCACCCCTAAATATTCCTCTTGGGCATGCTATTTATTAGCAGATTATTTTGAGAAACTAGATGCAAGAGCGCTCTGAATAGCTACCCTTTTGTAAAATAAATGTGCATCTCTAAGGAAAATTTTTATTAATAAAGATATCTGTATTAAGGAAAGAGCTGCTCCTGAGACAACTCTTACCACCTGAGAGATCCTTATCTGTATAATGAGACCACATTTATTCACTGTACATTTCCCCCCCCTCATCCTTCCATAACTTGTCCCCACTACTCCTTAGGAGCCCCAAACCCCTCTTTCTGTCTGTAGCTCAGGATTCCATAATATATAAGCATCAATCATTCAGCTCTTCTTTGAGTCTCATATTTTTGTGGGACTCCTGTGCATACATACACAATTCAAATTATTTTTCACCTGTTAATATGCCTTATGTCAATTTAATTCATGGCTCAGCCAAAGAACCTGAAGGGTACAGAGAAATCATTTTTTTCTTCCCATGCAAACCTAATACAGCTTGCAATCCTAAGCAATAGACCCTGTCTACCTATTTATTGTAGAAATTTTAGAAAACAAAGAAGAAAGTGTACAAAGCATTCTTGATCCTATGTTCCCAAGTCCATCACTATGGATTGTATATTTTTAAGTTTGTTTTTGCTTCCTCCCAAACACCATTTCATTCAGTTTCATCGTTTAAAAATAGCAGCAACTCTCTTGTGTATTTTCTTTCATTTTATCATTTGATCAGCTCTACTCCTTGTGGGATGTGCTTTAAAAATAGTGAAAATGGCTATTAACCTCAGAATCCTCAGTTTTTTTATCATCGTCATAACCACCATGATCATTTCAGCTCACCATCTCGCCCTACCTTCCTAACTGCTGCTTTGCAAGCCCTCCTCCTGCTTGTGCACCAACTTTTACTCCTGTAACTCCAAATTAGTTGCGTTAGAATTTGCTTCCATCATCTCATCTATGTATCTTGATCATCTGTTTGGATATACTATCCTTTTATATCTCTGGGCTGTGTTATAGGTAATTTATTCAAGTTATATTTTCCAACTCTCTAATAGTCTTTTCATCTTTGTTTAATTTGCTGTTTCATTCAGCCATTGCGATCCGGGTGTGTATTTGAAATCTACGAGTTTTATTTAGTTCTTTCTAAAATCTGCCATATTGGTTTTTAAACTTTTGTATTTATTTTTTGAATGTGTTTTTTTTGTAGAGATGGGGGTCTCACCATGTTGCCTAGGCTGGTCTCAAACTTCTGGGCTCAAGGCCTCCCACCTTGGCCTCCCAGAGTGCTGGAATTACAGACATGAGCCACTGCGCCCAGCCCAGTTTTCACATTCTGTTTTTCTTGCTTTTTTAAAATTTCCTTTTCCATTTCTTTTGACCTTTTACACATGGTTGTTTCTGTTGACAAAAAGCCAAACTCTGTAAAATATTTGAAGAGATTTCTTCTAAGTCAAATGCAAAGACCATGACCCATGATACAGCCTCAGGAGGTCCTGAGAACATGTGCCCAATGTGGTTGGGTTACAGGTTGGTTTTATACATTTTAGGGAGACACAGGACATCAATCAATACATATGAGGTATACATTGCTTTGGTCTGGAAAGGTGAGACAACTTGAAGTGGGGGCTTACAGGTCATAGATGAATTCAAAGATTTTCTGATTGACAATTTGTTGAAAGAGTTAGTTATTATCTAAAGACCTGGAATCAACAGAAAGGAGTGTCTGGGTTAACGTAAGGTGATGTGGAGACCACAGTTCTTATTATGTAGGTGAAGTCTCATAGGCAGCTGCTCTTAGAAGTAATAAATGGCTAATATTCTAATATTTCCTATTCATACCTTTAAAAATGCTAAACTCTCATCTAATCCCTTCAGGGTCAGAAAAATACCTGGAAAGGGAAGGGGATTCTCTGCAGAATGTAAATTTTCCCCACAGGAGACAGCTTTGCAGGGCCATTTCAAAATATGGCAAAGAATTATAATTTGGGGTAAAATACTTTTGTTTCTTTCAGGCCCTGCTATCTGTCATGTGATGCTATGCTTGAGTCAGGTTGGAAGTTGGTATCTTAATGTTACCAGAGTCTGTTTTGTCAGTCTTGAGATCTCTGTTTTAATTTTAATGCTGGACAGTTGTGCCTGAATTCCAAAGAGAGGAGGGTGTAATGAGGCATGTCCAATTCCCCTGCCCTTCGCATCATGGCTGGAACTAGTATTTTATGTTTCTTTGGAATCCCCTTGGCTGACAGGAGGGGTCCATTGAGTTGGTTGGGGGGACTTAGAATTTTATTTTTGGTTTGCATTTCACATTCTTTTTCGGATCACTCCAATATCTGGTCTTTGAAAGTCTAATCTTTCATGTATTATTTCTGCTGTCTCTCATGTGCTCCTTGTGTGTTCTTTGGTTTTGGTTTTTCTGTTTTCGTTATGAGCTATATTTTATGGAATACAATCTGTAAGAATCCAATAACCTATATTGGAGGTGCTGATTGCAGCAATGTAAGTATTTATTTCCAGACAATCCCACCATATAACTCCCTCCTCTGCTCACTTGCTTACTGCTACGGCTGCCTGCTCAGGTTGTAGTTCATTGCTTCTGTTATTATTTACTTAACTCTTAGAGCCTCAGAAGTTTTCCCTCACTTTTTAATAAGTGTAACAATGCATTAAAATTATGTTTATTGTGTGTGTGTGTAATTCATCATTGGATTATAGGTCATTGGATTATAGGTCAGATACTTTTTGAGCCCTGAACATCATAGGCTGTCCTTTTCAAGACATCATATAATGTCCTATTCCATCATAAGAATCTTTCTCCAAAATTCCATGAGAATGACCTGAATCTTGATGTCTCATTCTCCAAGACTCAAGAAAGCACATATATTTGCATTCTCAGACTGATAGCAACTGAATGGTTATCATTCAAGGAGAACTTGTGAAAGCCTCCCCTTCCCCAGAAATGTCCACATCAGGAGCTTGGCGTTTAAGAGGTCTCTATGTTCTGGTATCTGAGCTGTCTGAGGGTCACTTTGGATTACAGATTCAGGAGTGAGAGGGACCTGGTAGTGAAGACCGCAGACTAGAGATGCTTGTAAGAATAACAGGGGGAGAGAGATTTCTGAAATTGGTATATGGATTTTTGTAATTAACATTTGCTATATCCCCAGTGTCTAGTATAAGCTCTGACAAATCAGAGACTTTAGAATAAATCCTTGTCGGTTGAATTAAAAAAATCATGAACCCTTTTTGAGCTTTAGCGACAGTATTGCTTTCTACCACTAGATGGTGGTGTAAAACCACTTTCTCTCTCTCTCAGGCACACAAAATGGCCTTCGTTGTTTTCTGGCCTTCCAAGCAGAAGATTCATCTCCCCAGTCTCAGCTTTTCAAATAATCTCAATCTGGATATCACGCGGCCTTTTCTTTCTGAGAAAAGCTTGAAATCTTTCAGATTCATTCTTGAAAGCTGTGATTTTTCCAGCAACACGTCTACTAATATTTGATTCACACTGGGAAGATTTCTATGGCTGTGACATCCAGAATGCAGATACATCTATGGAGCATGGTTGTTGTTGTTTTGGTCAGAGGTGGCAGTGTAGATTAATTAATGGAAAGAAAAGAAACCAGAAATTGTGAGATTTGGATACCAGACTCAACATCTCTGTGCCTTTCCTCAAATTAAAAATATCCAACTTGGCCGGTGATTTTCAAATTGTTCTCTTGTTCCACAATGACCTAAGGAAACTTCAGAGACAAGTCCAGCTGACAAGGTGTGTGCATGTGTGTGCGTGCATTTGCACATGTGTGTGCACATGTGTGTTTGGTGATTGGAGCAAGTATGAAAGGTTCAGTTATGTTGATGCCCCTCCTAGCCCTCACATTTGTGGTTCTAAGTTCTTTCGTTTTCATGATTGAATTTTTCACCCTGGTCTACTTGAGTGCATACTAAGAGATGTGGGGCTCTGGACCAGCCTGAAAGGAGACCCCTGCAGTCTCTGTTCATCTCCAGCACCCTCCTCTTCTCTCTCCTGGTTCTGTCTTTCTACTGTCTTGCTGAGCTCTTGCTGCCTGGCTCAAATAACTCAACACAGCAACAAGAGGTATTTGGAGAAGGGTTGGAGAGACAGAGTTTTCATGGCAGTGCAATTAATTGAAAAAGAAAAGAGCCAGTTCTTATAATGAGCCTGAGTAAGTACATAAACAGAAACTGAATGTCAAGACTCTCAAACAGGAAAGCGTCACCCCAGCAGGCTGTGCACAGAGGCAGGAACAAAGCCCACAGAGGCAGGAACAAAGCCCACAGAGGAAGAAACAAAGCACATAGAGAAGAGGGTCGCAAAGATGGACAGGTGGGACCATGAAGTTAAACAGCTCCACGAGCATGCTTTGAGTGTCTACTATGTGCTGGGCTCTAAGGATATGGAAACAAATGTAAGGAAATCTTAGGAATTGGGAGAGAGGTTCCAAACTAGAGAGCTACCAGGCCCTATTTAAGTGCTTTGACAGTAGGAGGGACAGAGTGCCAGGAAAATTCAGAGAAAAGGTACCAAATTTAGTGTTGGTGGGTTTGGGAGACTCCCTGAAGGAACTAATGCACAGAAAAAAAAAGGAAAGGAAAAGAAAGGAAAGGAAAGGAAAGGAAAGGAAAGGAAAGGAAAGGAAAGGAAAGGAAAGGAAAGGAAAGGAAAGGGAGGGGAGGGGAGGGGAGGGGAGGGGAGGGGAGGGGAGGGGAGGGGAGGGAAGGGGAGGAGAGGGGAGGGAAGGGAGAAGGGTGGGAGGGAGGGAGAAATAAAGAGAGAAAGAAGAAAAGTTTGTATGAGCTTAAAATTGTCTCTCTAATCCTTCTCCAAATACCTCTTTCCTGATGCTGACGTGTTGACTTATTTGGGCCAGGCAGCCAGAGCTCAGGGTGACATTAGAAAGACAGCACCACGGGAGGGAATAGGAAGGTGGTGGGGGTGAGCAGAGACCTGCATTCATTCTTAGCTAAAGGGTTATCTCTTTTCAGGAGAAATTTTTATCAGACTTCTTTAATATATATTTGGTAGTTGGTTTTATACAATTATGTAGTATTAATAGCTACTCTTCGTTAAGTTCTAAGCATAGTTCTAGGCAATTTACATACAATTCCACATTTAATCCTCACAACAATCCCTTGAGCTAGGCAGTAGTATCAAGATCTTTATGTTGAAAACTGTTTTATGGAAAATTTTAAGCTCACACCAACTTTCTTTCCTTCCTTCCTTCCTTCTTTCCTTCCTTCCTTCCTTCTTTCCTTCCTTCCTTCCTTCTTTCTTCCTTTCCTTTCTTTCTCTCTCTCTCTCTTTCTTTCATCTCCATTTTACCCATCACCCAGTATGAAGAGTTATCAACTTGGAGCCAATTGTGTTTCATCTAGGCCCCCCACACTTTCAGATGTCAGTAGTATGTTAAAGCAAATTCCAGATGTCTTGTCATTTTATCTGTACATCACTCAATATGTTAATCTAAAATATAAGGATACTTCGAAAAATGTGAACACGAGTCTACTTTCAGGGAAGGTGGAGTAGCAGGGATTGAATTTATCCTCCTGCCTGAAACAACAACAATAACAACAAAAGAAAAAAAAATACGTGAAAGAGTTTTTGAAGTTTCTAGACATCAGGCAATGAGGGACAGTGACACCTGAAGCAAGCAAGTTGAAGCCATTGCCAGAGCTTATTGCCTTGAGGAAGTCCAGGTGTGACCAGGGAGGAGGAACACAAGAGGAGCCTGATGGACTTCCAGAGCAGGGCTTTGTGAAAATTAATAATTTGATTATAGAATTCAAATGGAAGTGCAAATGACTTGGAATAGCCAAAACAACTTTGAAAAAGAAGAGCAAACTTGAGCCTGGGAGGTCAAGGCTGCAGTGAGCCATGATCATGTTACTTCACTCCAGTCTGGGCAATAGAGGGAGGCCCTGTCTCAAAAATAAACAAAATTAGAAGAGCAAAGTTGGAGGAGTAGCCTTACATGATTTCAAGACATTATACAGCAAAGACATGGAACCAATGCAAAAGCCCATGAATAGTAGACTAGATAAAGAAAATGTGCTACGTACACACCATGGAATACTATGCAGACATAAGAAGAATGAGATCATGTCCTTTGCAGGAACATGGATGGAGCTGGAAGTCATCAACCTTAGCAAACTAACTCAGGAACAGAAAACCAAATACCTCATGTTCTCACTTATAAGTGGGAGCTAAATGAGGAGAGCGCATGGACACATAGAGGGGAACAATACACACTGGAGCCTACCTAAGGGTAGAAAGTGGGGCAAGGGAGAGGAGCAGGAAAAACAACTAATGGGTATTAGACTTAACACCTGGGTGGTGAAATAATCTATACAACAAACCCCTCTGACATGAGTGTACCTATGTAACAAACTTCCACATGTATCCCTGAACTTAAAAGTTAAAAAAATGACTTATAAAGTTACAGTCATCAAAACAGTATATGGTATTGGTGTTAAGATAGGCAAGTAAATCAGTGGATCAGAATAGAGGGTCCAGAAATAAACTACACACACACACACACACACACACACACACACACACACACACACACACATATATATATATAGAGAGAGAGACAACTGATTTCTAGTGAAGGTACAAAGGAAATTCTATGGAGAAAGGATGATCTTTTCAGCAAATAGTGCTGGAAAAAATGAATAGTTGTATGCAAAAAATGAAGCTTGATTCATAATTTGTACAATAAACAAAAATGAATTTAAATTTAAAACCTAAAGCTGTGAAACCTCTAGAACATAGGAAACTTTTGTGACTTTGGGTTAGGCAAAACCTTCTTAGATATGACATCAAAAACACAATTCACCAAAGAAAAAAAATTAAAAATTTGGACTTCATCAAAATTTAAAATTTGTACTCCTTAAAAAACACTCCAAAGAGAATAAAAAGACAATCTACAGGCTCACAGAATATGTTTTGCAATGATAGAATACTTGATTATATATAGAGATTGAGTATTCCTTATCCAAAATGCTTGGGACCAGAAGTGTTTCTGTGAGATTTTTCAGCTCTTGGAATATTTGGACATATATAATGAGATATCTTGAGGGTGGGCCCCAAGTCTAAACATGAAATTCATTTATGTCTTATGTGTCTCATACATACAGCTTAATGGCAATTTTATACAATATTTTTAATAATTTTATGCATGAAACAAAGTTTGTGTACATTGAGCCATCAGAAAGCAAAAGTGTCACTATCTCAGCCACCCAGGTGGACAATCTGTGGTTGTTTGGCATTACATCATTCCTGACTCTGCACTTATATGCTGCTTATCAGCAATCAATTTCTTACACTTACTTGCACATAGGTACTTAATAACAAAAATTATGACTTATCATTAACCCAATAATGGAACACTAAGCATGTGGGAGTTATTTATATCCTACTGCTCAAGGTCATTGCCAAGGTCTGAGTGCAAAAATTCAAAAAAATGCAACCTCAGGCATAAATGGGTTAATACAGTGAAAGAAATAATGTGTTCAGGGTAACGGAGCGACACAGTAGCTCCTCCAGAATACCTGTATTAGCTGTTAAACAACAGCAACAACAAAGCCAGGCTTTCAGTCTCTAACTGTAAAGCTGTGTTTTGATTAAAAGGTTATTGTACACTGTATTCTACATTTTTAGGTGAGAAGAAACTTTAGAGCAATTGAAGGAGCAGGAAGTGGAACCTCCAGGGATGAGGAGGCATTCTGCTGGATGGCTTTTAAAAGTGTTTTCTCCAGTCATCTGCTCCACTGACAACAGTTTTGTCTTAGAACTTTTTCTTTGATTTTATTAACTGACATGATGCCTTGCTCTAGAATGCACAGTGTTCTAATTTCTTCATAAGCCCGTCATACATTTTCACCATGTCATCTATAGGCACTTTCTCTGTAATGTTTAACCAAGTCCTTTATGCCCTCTCTCTCTATATATATATATAAATATGTATGTATATATATACACACCCATATACATACATGTACATATGTGTATATACACATATATATGTATATATTTCTGGACCACCTATTCTGATCCACTGATTTATTTGCCTTTCTTAATGCCAATGCCATATACTGTTCTTGATGACTGTAACTTCATAAGTTTTTTTTTGCTTTTATTTTAAGTTCAGGGGGACATGTGTACATGTACATATATGTACACATATACATATATACGTATATATACATACACATATACATTTATACACATATATACGTATATATGTATATATACACATATATACATATATGTATATATACACACATGTACCCTCTATATGTACACACACATATATACACACATATGTGTATATTAGCATTCTCTATATACACACATATACACATATGTGTATGTGTATAAATTCTTATATATGTACCATACATATGTGCATATATATACATACACAATGCACATATGTATGTATATGTATGCATGTATGTATACACAATTATACATATAAGAACACATATATGTATAAGTATACATATATGAACACATATACGTATAAGTATGCATATATGTACATATATGTATATGAGGGAGATATATAGTGTGTGGTGTGTGGAGTATATATACATATATGTATATTATGCACATATTCACATATGTGTGTATATGTGTATATACATGTATATTTATGTGCATATATACATATGTATGTATATGCATGTATATGTGTGTATATATGTATGTATATATGTTTGTATACAAATGTATGCATGTTTATACCACCACTCACTCTCTCCCTATATACACATGTATACCTATGTGTACATATGTGTATATGTATAAGTATGTACATATATGTATACAAACTGATACATGCATACATGTATACATACATATACATATGTATATACATAAGTGTACATTCCTATATGCACATATATGTATACATACTTATAAGTGTGTATGTGTATATATATATAGAGAGAGAGAGGTGATATATATAAACAGTCATTCATCTGCTACCTAATAATGGTTCAGTCAATGACCACACATATGACATTGGTCTTATGAATTATAATGTTGTGTTTTTGCTGTATCTTTTCTATGTTTAGATACATAAATACCTACCATTGTGTTACAATGGCCTACAGGATTCAGTACAGTAACATGCTGTACAGGTTTGTAGCCTAGGAGCAATAGGCTATACCATACAGCCAAGGTGTAAAGTAGGCTATACTACTTAGGTTTGTGTAAGTTCACTTTACAATGTTTGCATAATGATGAAATCACCTAATGATGCATTTCTCAAAATGTACCCCCATTGTTAAGAAATCTAGGACCATATATATATCTATATATATAGATATAGATATAGATATATACACACACATATTCAGTGCACTTCATCAAAGCAGTTGTATGTATGGATAATAAGACCTAGAAAAGATGATTAAAATCATCAATGATTAGATAAGACCTAGAAAAGATTATCAAAATCACCAATCAGCAATGAAATGCAAATTAAAACCACCATGAGATACCACCACTCACCTATTATGGCTAAAAATAGAAAAAACTGAAAATATCAAATATTGCAAACATACAGAGTTTAGTGCTAGTACAGAACCTGCAGCCAGTTCTCCAAACACATTTCTAATTTTCTGTCTTTTGTCTAAACACCCACATACCTAATTAGTGAATTCAAGTCTCAGGTAAATGCAATTAAAGGAGACCTGAGGATGTGGTCCTCTGCCTTTCAAGTAGGGAATGCTGAACAATTGAGGAACTTCAGAGACTGGGAAGTTTTGAGAGTTTAATGCACATTGAAGTTTCAGAGGGCTCCCAACATGGATCAGGATTTAGGGGGTTCCTAACTGAATTATATGTGAGGCTGCCCCAGGAAGAAGATAGAAAGGAAGATGCATTGAGATACATATCAACAGGACATATTTTCTTCCCTGGACTCTCAGTCTCCATGGTAGTTCAAATATTCATCATGAATGGAAGTTTGATATTATAACTCCAGTGTCTGTTAGGAAGAAGAAAGAAATTAAAGGGGGAACAGCTACTGTGTCATGGAGAAACACCAGATGTGTGTACCTGGTGAGAATGACTCAAAAGTGCCAGGAAAAATTTCAGGTAGCATTTTCAAACAATCAGGATAATAAATCAAGTATTTCAAAACACAATGACTTAAGCTGTTGTTTCTGGTTAATAACAACACCACAATTCAGCAAGACTGTAAATAATGATGATTTTACTTAAGCAATTGTATTTTTAGCTAGAGAAGTACACATTCAGCATTGAAATCATGGAAGTGAGAATTTGGAATTATGAATTGTTCTGGACGTAGTTCCTCTCTTGCCCTAGCACTCTTCAGCTTTCTTCCTTGGTCAAAATTGCAAGGCTGTCTTGAACAGTCCTTTTAACCATCTGGTGCTTCAGCTTTCTCCTCTGCAAAATAGAAAAAAAACTTTGTACTATTTGTTTACAAAGAGCATACTAGGTTTCTAATATGTATTTCTTAAATAAATTGATGGTTTGTTTTTGCCAGCATTAAAGCGCTATCCAGGTCACGCTGATGACCATAATCTTCCAGGGCCTCTAAACCCTGCAAAGGATGTAAACTAGTTCCTGATTCCAACTGTAAAACCCAACTTCCTCATTTCAGTATAAATGATACATTAACAATGAGTCAATACCATGAAAGTGTGCATTTCCTAATACTGACATGCTTTTCAAAATTTCTCAGTGCTTTTTCTTTCATTTTAAGTTGGGGAAAAATCAGCAGCCCTCTCGTCACTACTACTCTTTTATATGAGCAAAATGAGGCTCTAATGACTGAATAACTTGCTTAATTTTATATAACAAAGACCCTAGATCTATTGATCTTTCTTCTATCCAGGTACATTTATTAATAGAATTGCCAATCCTCTGTTAAGTCCTAGGACAAATAAAAGTGTCTGATGCTCCATTAAACCTGCTCTTGGTACCAGATGGTAGATGTGAACCTGTTGTAAAAATTGACTGAAGGAGTGGTAGGAGTCGTATTGATAAAGGAGTATGGCTGTCCAGACTGGTTTAATCCCTAGTCACTTGAATCATCCTGACGTGTTAAAAAACAAAACAAAACAACCAAGAGGATGAGTGCATCAGAGAGGAAGGATATGGAAGATTTGTTTAGTCTTAGAAGTAGCACATTAATGCCAAACAATAGGATGACTTCGACTCCGAAATAAATTTGAAGGAATTTGAATTCCCCTTTCGAATTCGAACGGGAAGGAGAAGGGAATGATTTGAAAAGATTTTCAGTGCAAATCTCTGCCTTTTGGGCCACCCATCCCAGCCAGGCTAGTCATGGTGAGATCCAGAGTTGGGGCTAGAGGAAGGGGCGTTGTTGAAAAATAACATGAGTCACAATCCAATGGAACAAAAATGTCATTTCTAGAATATGATATTTAAAAAAAATAAAATGGGAGAAGAAGATGCTCACCTGGGTGTACTAACTTTGTAGCCATAAAAGTTACACAACTGCTGCTTTGAAATGCATACCATCTCAAGGAGGCCTATAGGAAGTCCTGCCCCACATTTTGCTTGCCTACAGGGTCTGCTATTATAGATGCAGTTAGGAGATTAGAGCTGGCCATTTCTGGCCACATCCGTTATTGCCAACCACTATGAGAACATTTATAATTCTGAATCAGGATATAAGAATGAGACAGGCTCTAGAACACAGTTTCTATCTTTGGCACTATTGACATTTTGGGTCTGATAATTCTTTTTATGGAGAATTTTCCTGTGCATTGTAGGGTATTTAGCAGCATTCCTGGCCTCTGCCTGTTAAACACCATAAGTAGCTCCCCAATGGTGACAAACAGAAGATGTCTTCAAATATTGTCAAATGCCCTTTGGGAAGCAAAATCATCCCCAGTTGAGAACCACTGCCCTAAAACACTGTAGGCAATCTTTGTCACATCTTCCACACATAGAAAAACTTTTTGTTTTGTACAAATGTTTTCTCTACAAAACCTGGAGGGTGATCTGGGAATAGCTCAACAAAGTTCAGTGAAAAAAATTGTCACTCTTTATATTTATATCCTTATAGGAAAAATAAAATACAAGATGTTTAGAAAAATATCAAATATTAAATTTATATAAAGGTTCCAAATAAAATAATTTTAAAAAATTAGAAATTTGAACTTATTACCATTGACATATCTTTTTACCAACAGATACCATATTCAAAATAGCTATGCAAAACTCTGAGTAAGACTTCTTAATGATGATTGTTTCAAATTCCTAGTGGTGTGTATCAACAAGAACCTTCATTCCCACAATAAGATAATTTAAAAAATTAAAACCATTGTTTACAACTATTTGAAGATTTGCAACATTTGAAATTAAAGAACCTAATAGCTTATCCTTTTCTTATACTGACAAGTTAATGTTTAATTTTTTATGATAGAGCAAAGGTACTTTAAATTCAGACTTTTATGCTATCTAGCATTCCAAAATAATAACGAAGGTCTAATTTGTATATTGCATATGCATTGTAAGAGCAGTTGCCCTACAGCTAGCATGGAAACCACTAAATGGACTTTTTTGTCCATCTGCTGAAGATGAACAGGAGTATCTGATATATGTGAAAACAGATTCTGGGCTATCACGTGTTGCTGGGCAGACCAGAAATCCCCACCATGTTTCTGCACTCACTCATCCCCACTGGCCACATCTTGGGCTAAGCTCTAAGCTTCTGGGCAGCTGGACACAAACTACCTACTGATCCTCAGGCCTTACCTAGAATGGTCTGCGGTGCTAACTGCTAGGATGGATGGCTGCTGAGATGCCCATGCAGTAGAACACCTACCTTCTTGGCTGTGTGCATTCAGGGCATTATAGTGGAGAAATGCATGGTAAATGTGACTCATGGTGCCCACTGCCTCCTCTAGGGACTATGAGGGTGGTCCTTGGACTCCTACACTGCTCAGACCAGTCCCCAAGAAGACTCTGATGAGGCTTCTCTTGGCTAGAGGCACATTCTGAGAGCTGAGGAACGCAGTAATTCATAGCACACCTATAATCCGTTTGTGGCACACCAGTGTGATACTACATATAAGCTAGGAAGCTCTGCCTTAAAGAATTCTGCCTAGCCCTAAGGCACCCTGTGGCCCAAAGAGAGGCATGACTCACCTCAGATCACACCCTCAGTTAATACCAGAGCTGGAACCAGCAGCTAACTCTCTGGCTCCAGGCACCACAATCATGTCGATTCTTCATTTCATGCCTTTCTTCCTCCCACTGATGCATTCACCACAAACTCCTCATGTGCCTCACCTACTAATCAAAAACATTGGCTGGTCCAGCACCTACCACAAGGGGAGCAGTGTTTCTTAAGCTCTGTGGTGCATAAGAATAGAACTTTAAAAATATGTATATTTAACTGCTGTGTGTTTGTGGAGAAAGTTGAAGCAGGAAGAGGGAAGAGTGAAGCTTTATTATGGGAAGCACAAGTAGAATTTCCATTCTACTCCATCTAATTTCGCTGGCTGAGTACTAGGCTGAATACTAGATCTTGGTGAGCTTAAAAGAGATCTAGAAACCCAAAGCTACAAATATGGAAGAGTTTGAAAAGCAGGCTATTTTATCTATAAAAATAGAAGTGATTTCAGATGCTAGAAGGGAGTGTGCAGTGGTTTCTAAATTCTAGTGGACATGAGAATTTCACCAAGAACTTATTTGACTTACTTATACAAGTAATTATAAATCAGTTGATCTGGATCAAAGCCCACAGATCTGTGTTTTAACAAGCATTCTGAGATTATCTGATTGAGAATTGCTGAAATAGGAATAAGACCTTATAGCTTTAATGCACCGTATAATGTGGACATTGCAAGAAGCTAAGAGGAAAATAAATTTTTTAATTAAAAAATTCTAATTTCTCTAGGGCAATTCCTAGAATATAAATATTGTAAATTATTTCCTAAAACCAAACCAAAAAAAAAAACAAAATTTCTCTCTGCTCTTCTCCTCCACTTTCAGTCTATTCTGAAGCTAGGAGAAGGGCTGTCTTATGTTTGTCCTTAAATGAATGCAGGCCATTTATATAAAAACCACATCATAAGTGGAATAACCAAGTCACAAGCTTTCCTGGTCGTGTAAGTCTTTGACCTTTTGCTGTGCACCCCAGGCCCAAATACCAGTGCAATTCCCCTTGTTTTGATCAGCCTGATTAGACACATTTGTGCTAGGCTCTGCACCTCATAAAAGGCAAGGTAGATAGTATTATTTTAAAAAAAACAGGATAGAGATAGTGTGCTAGTAACAGCTTTTATGAATTGATGCTTGGAGCACCTCTCTCCAGTTGTGAGAGAGCCATGACCCCAAGATACAATATGGTAGAGCCCAGAATGTGGTCCCAGAAATGGGCTTATAAACACATCTGACCCAGAGTTAATAATTTTCTTCTCAAGGTCGTTTTAAATAAATCTTATATGTATGTGTGTTACGCACTATGCTGTATATGTGGGGTGTCTGTGTGTGTGTGCATGTGTGTGTGTGTGACTGATTACTACTGCTTTACTACTGGGAAAAGGGAACATTAAGGGTTCCTAGCATCCATGTCAAGTACTGTGGTGAATATTCATATTTATTTTCTTATTTGAGCCTCATAAAAGCTTTGTAAGGAAGATAGAGGTGATATTATTCAATGGAGATTTATATATTTAACATATCATATAACTTTGAACAGGTTATTAAACTCTTCTGAGCTTCTGGGGTTTTTTTAACCCATAAAATAAGGAGATTGGCATAACCAATCTCATGGTAACAAGATATCATAATCAACTTGTTCCAAATCACAAAGCTAGAAAAGGACTTGAACCCAGATCTTCTTTCTCCAGCATATAATCTTCTAAATGGCACTGCTTATCAAGAAGGACAACACAGCTGGGCATGGCGGCTCACGCCTGTAATCCCAGCACTTTGGGAGGCCAAGGTGGGTGGATCACCTGAGGTCAGGAGTTCAAGACCAGCCTGGCCAATGTGGTAAAACCCTGTCTCTACTAAAAATACAAAAATTAGCTGAGTGTGGTGGCAGGCGCCTGTAATCCCAGCTACTTGGGAGGCTGAGGCAGGAGAATCGCTTGAACTTGGGAGGCAGAGGTTGCAGTAAGCCAAGAGTATACCATTACACCATTGCCCTCCAGCCTGGGCAACAGGAGCGAAACTCCATCTCAAAAAAAAAAAAAAAAAAAAAAAAAAAAGGACAACACTAAGAAGAGCTAACTCTAACTGGAAACTCACAAATTTTGTTCAATCCAGGGAAATAAAGTCCAGAAATGCTCCCTGCACTGCTGTCCCTCTGAAGAGCCATGATAGACTATGTGGCCCAAACACCTTTCTGGGCCATGTGCCAGGGCTGTCCTGAGGAAGTCCTATGGCCTTGGATATTCCCATAAAGCTACATACTCAGAGTCTGAGTGTCAGGATGTGGTGGGAGTACCAGGTCGGCAGTAGCAGCCTTCCTACAGGATGGTCCTGCTCAGCCACAGAAGGTAAACACGAGTCTGCTGGAATTTTAAGGCAACCACATCTGCATCCAATAAGCCTTAGAGACAGTCTTTTTGTCTCATTTCTTTGAGGATGATGAAATGTTGCCCTTCTTGCAACACCCAATCATCAGTTATAAATCTTGCACATGGCAGAACAAGTCAAACTGCAAATTAGAAGACCCCATCCTAGTCCTAAATAATTGTGTGATCTTGGGAAAGTCATTTGACCTCTTAACTGCACAAAGAGAATTTGCCGGCTTGATTTCTCCTGAGTGTTGTGTGTCTTCACTACCATGCCCTTTGCTCAAATTCTGTTTTTCCTAATACACTCCCCATACCCTTCTCTACCCATTGTCTAAATTCCATTCTTTTTTTAAGCCCAGCTTTTCAAGTTCACTTCCTTTGTGACAGTCTTTTCTGATCATTCCTCTTGACCATGATCTCTTCTTTATACCTATCACTGTAGTCTGGCATACAGAATGACAGTTTCAACTTTTCTGCCTTTGTGGAGTGCTCATCTTGGAATCAACATTAACTCCCAGTGACATCACATGGTGTCTCTTAGTGGTTTTACATTTCTATATCCCCCACAAGGCTTTGTACAGAGTAAGTATTTAATGTAGATTAACTGCATAATCTTTTCTCACAGAAAGCCTTTACTGGTTAAATAACAAAACTGGTATGCACTTGGATGAGCTGATTAGCTTCTGACATTTTCTCTGTTTGCAAAATAGAAGAATCAAAACAGGATACTCCTCATCCCAGGATGTTTCAAGAAACAGTCTTTTAAAATGAATAATTGTTGACTAAGAAACAAAATGCACAGGTGCATCTGCCTGCTTAGATTAAGAATGCTTCCTTTAAGTAATAATGTTATTTTCCCTCTGTGAGGGATTTCCTGACATCCTCAGACAAACTTGTTTTTAGCAATAATATTTATTGAATATTACAAAAAATTGGGCACTCTATTAAGTACTTAGTGTACACTATTTTATTTCATGTTCACAACCACCCTATGCATAACTCATTATTAACCTTATTTTATAGATGGGGAAATTGAAGCTTAAGGGATTAAATAATTTAGTAAAAATCACCAGCTAGCCTCAGAGCCTGAATCTGTGTGTAGGTGATTCTGACTCCAAAGCCTATGCATTTAGTTATTGCATTATTTTACTTTGCTGTAGATGACTTAACATCATACAGCCTTTTAGTTGTTGCTTGCTTGCTGGTCATTTGAGAATTCTGTCAGTTCTTTGGAAGGGAGTATAATATATTTTCTTTATGTCTAATTAGACATAAAGAATTTGTGTCATAATTAGAAAAGAATTATGTATAATTCTTTTCTAATATGTCTTTAGTGTCTGGCACAGAGTAGGTGGTCAATGAAAGCTAAAGGAATGCAGACAGAAAGGGAAAATAAGAATGAAAGAAACTACAATAAGCCTTGAGCTAGGTAACTGTAACAAGGGCTAATAAGCACCACAAAAAATATAAAAGGCAGAGGATGAAGGGAGCCTCTCCTGCTGTTAAGAAAGACCAATGGCAGGGTTGGAAAAAAAGGCAGATAGGAGGCAGGACTAACTTGCAGCTCCCACTTGGATGGACAGAGCAGCATATGGAGACTCACATCATGAACTTTTGCTCCAAGAACTACTGCAGGAACATACCAGGAAAGCCAAGTGAATCCACGGACCCTTTGAAGGAAGTGGGTTGCCACTGCATGCTCCAAGAGACACCTGAAGAACTGTGAGTGCCCAAAGTTTGCAATGGAGTTCTTCTGCCCCCAAACATGCACCTTCACTGGGGAACCTGAAGGTCCAAATCGTGGAAGAGGAATTTGACCTTACCTGGTACTGAGACAAATTTAGAGAGCCAAGTGAAATATAGGGGTAGAAGAAACAGCGGGAAGAGCACTGTGGGTGCTCTCAGTCCCCAGGGAAGCCATTTCTAACTTTATCTCACAGGGGTCCTTGGGGAGGGCTGCCAGAGGAACTGGGAAAAGACTACAGGGAGAAGGAAACTTCTAGCTGAAGTGCATAACAATTTTGACTGAATGTGAAGTTTTCCTGAACAGAACCCTGGGGGAGGCGGAAATTGGAGTGCAGACTCAGCACAGAAACTGCCACAGGCAGGGAGGCACAAAACCTGAAAGCCCTACTTGCTTTCTCAGCAAGGAGGCTGGCAGCCTGGGGTAAGTTCCCAGCCCTGCTTACCAGCTGCCTGGAAATAAACTTGGTGTTACTAGGGGGCATGGTGAGAGTGAGACCAGCCTTTTGGGCTGCATGGGAGCTGCGTGAGGACTGCAACTAACTGCTGGCTTTCCCCCACTTGCCTGGTGACTTGCATGATGCAGCAGAGGCAGCCATAATCTCCCTGGAAACATAAATCCATTGGCCTGAGAATAACAACCCCATCCCTCACAGCAGCTGCAGCAAGCCCTGAACAAAGAGAGTCTGAGCTCAGACAGACATGCTTAACCCTGCCCACACCTGATGGTCTTTCTCTACCTGCCCTGGTAGCCAAAGACAAAGGACATAATCTCTTGGGAGCTCTATGATCCCACCCACCACCTGATCCTTTCTATACTACTGCAGCTGATGCTTTCTTGAAAACACCATCTCCTGGCTGGAGCCCAACCAACACAAAACTAATTCAATAAACAAATCTACAACCAAGGACCCTCACAGAGTCCACTTTACTCCCCTACCACCTCCATCAGAACAGATGCTGATATCAGTGGCTGAGAGACCTGAAGATGATTCACAGGGCCCTGTGCAGACAGCCCCTCATAAGAGCCAGAAGGCTGGTAGCCCCACTGGGTGGCTAGATCCAGGGGAGAAATAACAATCACTATAGTTCAGCTCTCAGGGAGCTATATCTCTACAGGAAGGGGGAGAGCACCATATCAAGGGAGAACCCTGTGGGATGAAAAGAGTCTGACAGCAACTCTTGAGCCCCAGCTCTTCCCTCTGACATAGTCTACCCAAATGAGAAAAACAAAACAAAACAAAACAAAAAAAAAACAGAAAAACAATCCTGGACATATGACAAAAATGTTTTATTAACACCCCCAAAAGACCACACTAGCTCACCAGCAACAGATTCAAACCAAGAAGAAATCTCTGAATCGCCAGAAAAAGAATTCAAAAGGTCAATTATTAAGCTAATCAAGGAGGCACCAGAGAAATTTGAAGTCCCAGTTAAGGAACTAAAAAATAATAATAATACAATACATGAAGGGAAAAATCTTCAGTGAAATAGCATAATTAAAAAACAATCACAACTTCTGGAAATGAAGGACACACTTAGAGAAATGCAAAATACACTAGAAAGTCTCAGCAATAGAATCAAATAAGTAGAAGAAAGAACTTCAGAGCTCAAAGACAAGGCTTTCAAATTAACTCAATCCAACAAAGATAAAGAAAAAAGAATAAAAGAAAATGAACAAAGCCTCCAAGAAGTTTGGGATTATGTTAAATGATGAAACCTAAGAATAATTGATGTTTCCAAGGAAGAAGATAAATCTAAAAGTTTGGAAAATATATTTGAGATAATAATTGAGGGAAACCTCTCCAGCCTTGCTAGAGATCTAGACTTCCAAATACAAGAAGCTCAAAGGACACCTGGGAAATTTATCACAAAAGATCATTACCTAGGCACATAGTCATCAAGTTATGTAAAGTCAAGACAAAGTAAAGAATCTTAAGAACTGTGAGGCAAAAGCATCAGGTAATCTACAAAGGAAAACCTATGAGATTAACAGAAGATTTCTCAGCAATAACTCTACAAGCTAGGAGGGATTGGGGTCCTATCTTTAGCCTCCTTAAACAAAATAATTATCAGCCAAAAATTTTGTATCCAGCAAAACTATGCTTCATAAATGAAGGAAAGATAAAGTCTTCTTCAGACAAACAAATGCTGAGAGAATTTGCCTCTACCAAGCCAGCACTACCACAACTGCTAAAAGGAGCTCTAAATCTTGAAACTAATCTTCAAAACACACCAGAATAGAAACTCCTTAAAGCATAAATCTCACAGGACCAATAAAACAAAAATATAATAAATTTTAAAAAACCCAAGGTATTCAGGCAAAAATGGCATGATGAATAGAATAGTACCTCACATCTCAATATGAACATTGAATATAAATGGCCTAAATGCTGCACTTAAAAGGTACAGAATGGCAGAATGGATAAGAATTCACTAACCAAGTATCTGCTGTCTTTACAAGACTCACCTAACACATAAGGACTCACATAAACTTAAGGAAAAGGGATGGAAAAAGATATTCCATGCAAATGGACACCAAAAGTGAGGAGGAATAGCTATTCTTATATCAGATAAAAACAAACTTTAAAGCAACAGCAGTTAGAAAAAACAAAGAAGGGCATTATATATAATGATAAATGAACTTGCCCAACAGGAAAATATCGCAATCCTAAATATACATACACCTAATACTGGAGCTGCCACATTTATAAAACAATTACCACTAGACCTAAGAAATAAGATAGACAGCAACACAATAATAGTGGGGGACTTTAATACTCTGACAACACTAGATAGGTAATCAAGACAGAAGTCAACACAAAGAAACAATGAATTTAAATATACCCTAGAACAAATGGACTTAACAGATATTTACAGAACATTCTACCCAACAACTGCAGAATACACATTCTATTCATCAGCACATGGAACATTCTCCAAGATAGACCATATGGTAGGCCACAAAACAAGTCTCAATACATTTAAGAAAATTGAAATTATATCAAGTCCTCACTCAGATCACAGTGGAATACAACTGGAAATGAACTCCAAAAAGAAACCTCAAAACCATGCAAATACATGGAAATTAAATAACCTGCTCTTGAATGATCATTGGATCAACAATGAAATCAAGATGGAAATTAACAAATTCTTTTAATTGAATGATAATGGAAGCACAACCTATCAAAACCTCTGGGATACCACAAAGGTGGTGCTGAGAGGAAAGTCTGAAAGAGCACAAATAGGCAATCTAAGGTCATACCTTAAGGAACAAGAGAAGCAAGAACAAACCAAACCCAAACCCAGCAGAAGAAAATAAATAATAAAGATCAGAGCAGAACTAAATAAAATTGAAACAAAAAAAATACCAAAGGCAAATGAAACAAAAATCTGGTTCTTGGAAAAGATAAATAAAATTGATAGACCATTAGCAAGATTAACCAAGAAAAGAAGAGAGAAGATCCAAATAAATGTAATTAGAAATGAAATGGGAGCTATTATAACTGATGCCACAGAAATACAAAAGATGATTCAAGACTACTATGAACACCTTTATGCACATAAACTAGAAAACCTAGAGGAGATGGATAAATTCCTGGAAATATACAACTCTCCTGTATTAAACCAGGAAGAAATAGAAACTCTGAACAGACCTATAACAAGCAGCAATACTGAAATGGTAATTTTAAAAATTGCCAACAAAAAAAAAGTTCAGGACCAGGCAGATTCACAGCTGAATTCTGACAGGTATCCAAAGAACCATTGATACCAATCTTATTGACACTATTCCACAAGACAGAGAAAGAATCCTTCCTAAATAATTCTATGAAGCCAGGATCACCTTAATACCAAAACCAGGAAAAAACATGACAAAAAAGAAAATAACAGACCAATATCACTGATGAACATAGATGCAAAAATCCTTAACAAAATACTAGCTAACTGAATCCAACAGCATATCAGAAAGATAATCCACCATGATCAAGTGGGTTTCATACCAGGGATACAGGGATGGTTTAACATATGCAAGTCAATAAATGTGATACACCACATAAACAGAATTAAAAACAAAAATTACATGATCATCTCAATAGATGCAGAAAAAGCATTTGACATTATCTAGCATCCCTTTATGGTTAAAACCCTCAGCAAAACCTACATCAAAGGTACATACCTTAAGGTAATAAAAGCCATCTATGACAAACCCACAGCCAAAATTACACTGAATGGGGAAAAGTTGAAACCATTTCCCCTGAGAACTGGAACCAAAGATGCCCACTCTCACCATTTCTATTCAACATAGTACTGGAAATCCTAGCCAGAGTAATAAGACAAGAGAAAGAAATAAGGGCATCTGAGTTGATAAAGAGGAAGTTAAACTGTCGCTGTTTGCTGATGATATGATCATATTCCTAGAAAACTCTAAAGACTACTCCCAACAGCTCCTAGAGCTGATTAATGAATTCAGCAAAGTTTCAGAATACAAAATTAATGTATACAAATCAGTAGCTCTGCTATACACCAACAGCAACCAAGCTGAGAATCAAATAAACTCAAACACTTTTATAATAGTTTAAAAAAATAAAATACCTAGGAATCTATCTAACCAAGGAGGTGAAAGACATATGTTGGTGAAAGACCACTATGTTGGTTACTGATGAGGGGCTTGTATAGGTCAAGGATACTGACCTAAACCATTTCATAGCTCAGATGATCCATATGTCACCTGTGTTCTTAGCTGAAAACACAGAATCCACCCTTACTAGGTTAAACAGAAAAGAAATTTAATAAGGATCTTAGGAAGTGCATGGAATTCCAAGGACGGCCAAAGATTCAGGCTCAAAATCCCCTTGTGGAGGAGGTGTCCACACCACTGCCACTGCTGGAAACAAATACCTCAGCTCATACCAATGATGCTAGACCAGGGAAGCCTGAATCTCAGCCAATACTATACCCCAAAACTGGAAATCTCCTTTGTTAAAATTGGAGTCCCTAGGGTGCCTGCATCATCGCACTGCTCTCTTCCTGATCAAAGAACAAGAGATTGCTTGGTGAAGCACAGCTTTATCCATTGACATCCACACTTTGAGACCTGAAACTATAAAACTACTAGAAGAAAACATATGGGAAAAGCTCTGCAACATTGTCTGGGTAATGATTTTTGGATATGGATCCAAAAGCACAGGCAATGAAAGCAAAGATAGACAAGAGATTACATCAAACTTCTGCACAGCAAAAGAAACAATTAGGCCGGGCGCGGTGGCTCACGCCTGTAATCCCAGCACTTTGGGAGGCCGAGGAGGGCGGATCATGAGGTCAGGAGATCGAGACCATCCTGGCTAACACAGTGAAACCCCATCTCTACTTAAAAAAAAAAAAAAAAAAAAAAATTAGCTGGGCATGGTGGTGGGCGCCTGTAGTCCCAGCTACTTGGGAGGCTGAGGCAGGAGAATGGCGTGAACCCGGGAGGCGGAGCTTGCAGTGAGCCGAGATCCCGCCACTGCACTCCAGCCTGGGCGACAGAGCGAGACTCCGTCTCAAAAAAAAAAAAAAAAAAAAAAAAAGAAACAATTAATAAAACTGAAGAGACAGCCCACAGAGTGGGAAAAATATTTACAAATCATACATCTGATAAGGGGTTAATATCCAAAATATGTGAAGAACTCAAACAACTCAATAGGAAGAAAACAAATAGCCTGATTTAACAATGGGCAAAGGACTTGAACAGACACTTTTCAAAAGAAGACATACAAATGGCTGGCAGGTTTGTGAAAAAATGCTCAGCATCACTAATCATTTGGGGAAATTCAAATTAAAACCAGAATGAGATATTGCCTCACACCAATGAGAATGACTTTTATCAAGAAGATGAAAGACAAGTGTTACCAAGGATGTGGAGAAAAGAGACAATCTTGGTGGGAATGTAAATTAGTACAGCTGTGTCTGGAGTTGGTTCCTTCTGGTGGGTTCATGGTCTTGTTAACTTCAAGAATGGAGCCACAGACCTTTGTGGTGAGTGTTACAGCTCTTAAAGATGGCACGGACCCAAAGAGTGAGCAGCAGCAAGATTTATTGTGAAGAGTGAAAGAACAAAGCTTCCACAGTGTGGAAGGGAACCTGAGCAGGTTGCCAGATGTCTGTCACTCCCCAGGGCAGCATTGTCATCTTGGGGTCTTGTCCACGATATCACCACACAGTGATATGCTTTCACTTGCTATTCTGTCCTATTTTTCTTTAGAATTCAAGGGCTAAACACTAGGCACCTGTCAGCTGCCGGACTAAAGACACGGGTGTCAGGCTTTCTGGGAAAGGGCTCTCTAACAACCTTTAACTCTTTGGAGTCAGAAGCGTTGGTTTGTGTGGAACCAGCTTCCACTTTTCCTGCACTTCTGGGCTGAGCCAAGGGTCAACAGAGAGGAAAGCCATTCAGCTCCAGGGTCCCAACAAAAAGTTAGTTGACCCTGCAGCCATGAGCAGAACTCTCAAAGTTACGTTGTCTAAGTGAGACTCACCCATCTTTCCTATCTACCCTGACTCTTGCCTCCTGGGTCCTAATGCCTGTCAGACAAAATTCCTCCCACCTCTCTTCTCAGAGGCTAGTCCCACTTCTAAAAAACCACTCCCTGTCCCTGGTGCTCTTCTAGTTTCTCCTATAAGAATGATTTCTAGTATAAATTTTGGGACTCTGTTCCCTTCTTTAGGCACCTGGGCTCACCAATCTAAAGGACGTAATTTTTGCCCAAAACCCCGTTGGTGGGGGACTATCTGGAATTTCAGGATCTCTCCTTAGACTAGAAGGTGTGGGGAAAAGCAAGAGAGATCAGATTGTTACTGTGTCTGTGTAGAAAGAAGTAGACATAGGAGACTCCATTTTGTTATGTACTAAGAAAAATTCTTCTGCCTTGAGATTCTGTGACCTTACCCCCAACCCCGTGCTCTCTGAAACATGTGCTGTGTCAACTCAGAGTTGAATGGATTAAGGGCGGTGCAAGATGTGCTTTGTTAAACAGATGCTTGAAGGCAGCATGCTCCTTAAGAGTCATCACTACTCCCTAATCTCAAGTACCCAGGGACACAAAAACTGCAGAAGGCCGCAGGGACCTCTGCCTAGGAAAGCCAGGTATTGTCCAAGGTTTCTCCCCATGTGATAGTCTGAAATATGGCCTCATGGGAAGGGAAAGACCTGACCGTCCCCCAGCCCGACATCCGTAAAGGGTCTGTGCTGAGGAGGATTAGTAAAAGAGGAAGGAATGCCTCTTGCAGTTGAGACAAGAGGAAGGCATCTGTCTCCTGCCTGTCCCTGGGCAATGGAATGTCTCCGTATAAAACCCGATTGTATGGTCCATCTACTGAGATAGGGAAAAACCGCCTTAGGGCTGGAGGTGGGACCTGCGGGCAGCAATGCTGCTTTGTAAAGCATTGAGATGTTTATGTGTATGCATATCTAAAAGCACAGCACTTAATCCTTTACATTGTCTATGATGCAAAGACCTTTGTTCATGTGTTTGTCTGCTGACCCTCTCCCCACAATTGTCTTGTGACCCTGACACATCCCCCTCTTCGAGAAACACCCACAAATGATCAATAAATACTAAGGGAACTCAGAGGCTGGCGGGATCCTCCATATGCTGAACGCTGGTTCCCCGGGTCCCCTTATTTCTTTCTCTATACTTTGTCTCTGTGTCTTTTTCTTTTCCAAATCTCTCATCCCACCTTACGAGAAACACCCACAGGTGTAGAGGGGCAACCCACCCCTACAGAAGGCCTAACAAAGGCTATTCCTGAAGCTAGGATATTGAGAGCCTCAGAAATTTTAACCTTCCCATTGATATGATGAGAAGTGAGAACAAAAGGCCTCACTCTTCCAACCTTAGTTATCCCTTCCCTCCCTCAGGGTATGGCCCTCCACTCCATTTTGAGGCATATCATCTTCATAGGACAAGGGTAAGGTCCCATTACTAACAGGAGAATTGTTAGGACTCTAACAGGTTTTTGAGAATGCAATGGTAATGGCCACTAAATCCGATTTTTCTTTGTCCTCTTTGTGTCCTAAGAGGAAAGGCAAGGGTGCAGATTTTCGAGAATGCATTGATAAGGGCCACTAAATCCGACATTCCTTGGTCCTCTTTGTGGTCTCTGAGGAAAACTAGTGTTTCCTCTGCTGCTTCAGTGAGTGCAACTGTTCCGAACAGCAGGGTCCAGGGACCATTGCAGGTTCTTGGGCAGGGGGAAAAACAAACAAGCAAACCAAAACTGTAGGCAGTTTTTTCTTTCAGATGGGAAACACTCAGGCATCAACAGGCTCACCCTTGAAATGCATCCTAAGCCTTTGGGATCAATTTGATCCACAAACCCTGAAAAATAAGCAGCTTATTTTTTTTCTGCACTACAGCCTGGCCCCAGTATTCTCTGATGGGGAAAAATGGCCACCTCAGGGAAGCATAAATTAGGTACTATGAAGGAGAATCCACAACTATGCAAAGCTTGCAATTTATATCCTACAGGAGGACCTCTCAGCTTACTTCCATATCCTTGCCTCCCTACAGCTCCCCATCCTATTAATGATAAACTTCCTCTAATCTCCCCCACCCAGAAGGGAACAAGCAAAGAAATCTCCAAGGGATCACAAAACCCCCCAGGCTATCACTTATGTGCCCTTCAAGCTGTAGGGGGAGGGTAATTTGGCCCAACCCAGGTACATGTCCCCTTCTCCTTCTCTGATTTAAAGCAGATCAAGGTAGACCTGGGGACATTTTCAGATTATCCTGATAGGTATACAGATGTCCTAAAGGGTCTAGGGAAAACCTTCGGCCTCATTTGGAGAGATGTCATGCTATTGTTAGATCAAACCCTGGCCTTTAATGAAAAGAATGTGACTTTAGCTCCAGCCCGAGTTTGGAGATACCTTGTATCTTAGTCAAGTAAATGATAGAATGACAGCTGAAGAAAGGGACAAATTCCCTACTAGTTAGCAAGTTGTCCCCAGTATGGATTCCAGCTGGGACCTAGACTCAGATCATGGGGACTAGAGTGAAAAACATCTGTTGACTTGTGTCCTAGAAGGACTAAGGAGAATTAGAAAAAAAAACCCATGAATTATTCAGTGATGTCCACCATAACTCAGGGAAAGCAAGAAAATCCTTCTGCCTTCCTTGAGTGGCTATGGGAGGCCTTAAGAAAATAAACTTCCCTGTCACCCGACTTTGTCAAGGGTCAATTGATCCTCAAAGAGCCCTGGCCCTGAACAAAATCTGGAAGCATTATTAAACCTGGCAACCTCGGTGTTCTGTAACAGGGACCAAGAGGAACAGGCTGAAAAGGAAAAGTGAGTTCAGAGAAAGGCCACAGCCTTAGTCGTGGCCCTCAGACAAACAAACCATGGTGGTTCAGAGAGGACAGAAATGGAGCAGGCCAATCACTTGGTAGGGCTGGTTATCAGTGTGGTTTGCAAGGACACCTTAAAAAAGATTGTCCGATGAAAAACGAGCTGCCCCCTCACCCAAGTCCACTATGCCAAGGCAATCACTGGAAGGCACACTGCAGAGTACAAAGGTTCTGTGGGCCAGATGATCCAACAATATGACTGAGGGTGCCCAGGGCAAGCTCCAGCTCATGTCATCACCCTCACTGAGCCCTGTGTATGTTTAATCATTGAGGGCCAGGAAATTGATGTCCTCCTGGACACTGGTGCAGCCTTCTCAGTGTTAATCTCCTACCCCGGACGACTGTCTTCAAGGTCCATTACCATCTGAGGGATCCTGGGACAGCCTGTAACCAGGTGTTTCTCCCACCTCCTCAGTTGTAATTGGGAGACTTTGCTCTTTTCACATGCCTTTCTTGTTATGCCTGAAAGTCTCACACCCTTATTAGGGAGGGACATATTAGCCAAAGCTGGAGCTATTATCTACATGAATATGGGGGACAAGATACCCATTTGTTGTCCCCTATTTGAGGAGGGAATCAACCCTGAAGTCTGGGCATTGAAAGGACAATTTTGAAGGGCAAAAAATGTCCACCCAGTCCAAATCAGGCTAAAAGACCCCACCACTTTTCCTTATCAAAGGCAATATCCCTTAAGGCCTGAAGCTTATAAAGGATTACAGGATATTATTAGACATTTAAAAGCTCAAGTCTTAGTAAGAAAATGCAACAGTCACTGCAACACCCCAATTCTAGGAGTACAAAAACTGAATGGTCAGTGGAGACTAGTGCAAGATCTTAGACTCATCAATGAGGCAGTAATTCCTCTATATCCAGCTGTACCCAACCCCTATACCCTGCCCTCTCAAATATCAGAGGAAGCAGAATGGTTCACTGTTCTGGATCTCAAGGATACCTTCTTCTGCAGTGTCTTGCACTCTGACTCCCAGTTTCTCTTTGCCTTTGAGGATCCCGCAGAACACCCATCCAAACTTACATGGACGGTCTTGCCTCAAGGGTTTAGGGATAGCCCTCATCCGTTTGGTCAGGCACTGGCCTAAGATCTAGGCCACTTCTCAAGTCCAGGCATTCTGATGCTTCGGTATGTGGATGATTTACTTTTGTCTACCAGTTCAGAAGCCTCATACCAGCAGGCTACTCTAGATCTCTTGAACTTTCTAGCTAATGAAGGGTACAAGAGGTCTCAATCAAAGGCCCAGCTCTGCCTACAACAAGTCAAATATCTAGGCATAATCTTAGCCAGAGGAGCCAGGGCCTTCAGCAAGGAAGGAATACAGCCTATACTGGCTTATCCTTGCCCTAAGACATTAAAACATTTGTGGGGGTTCCTTGGAATCACTGGCTTTTGCCTACTATAGATCCCCCGATACAGTGAGATGGTCAGGCCTTAAGTAAGGAAATTGATGTAGTAGCAAAAGGCTGGCCTCACTGTTTATGAGTAGTTGCAGTGGTGGCCATTTTAGTATCAGAGGCTATCAAAATAATACAAGGAAAGGATCTAACTGTCTGGACTACTCATGACGTAAATGGCATACTAGGTGCCAAAGGAAGTTTATGGCTATCAGACAATGGCCTGCTTAGATACCAGGCACTACTCCTTGAGGGACTAGTGCTTCAAATACGCATGTGTGCAGCCCTCAACCCTGCCACTTTTTTCCCAGAGGATGGGGAACCAATCGAGCATGACTGCCAACAAATTGTAGCCCAGACTTATGCCACCTGAGAGGATCTTTTAGAAGTCCCCTTAGTTAATCCTGACTTTAACCTATATATTGATGGAAGTTCATTTGTGGAGAATGGGAAACAAAGGGCAGGTTATGCCGTAGTTAGTGATGTAACAGTACTTGAAAGTAAGCCTCTTCCCCCAGGGACCAGTGCCCAGTTAGCAGAACTAGTAGTGCTTACCTGAGCCTTAGAACTGGGAAAGGGAAAAAGAATAAATGTGTATACAGATAGCATGTATGCTTATCTAATCCTACATGCTCATGCTGCAATGTGGAAAGAAAGGGAGTTCCTAACCTCTGGGGGAACCCCCATTAAATACCACATGGAAATCATGGAGTTATTGCATGCAGTGCAAAAACCCAAGGAGGTAGCAGTCTTACACTGCCAAAGCCATCAGAAAGGTGAAGGAGAAAAGGCAGAAGGAAACCATCGGGCAGACGCTGAGGCCAAAATTGCTGCCAAGCAGAACTTCCCATTAGAAATACCTATGGAAGGACACTTGGTATGGAACAACCCTCTCCAAGAGATTAAGCCCCAGTATTCCCCAATTGAAAAAAAATGGGGACTTTCACGGGGGCATAGTTTTCTCCCCTCAGGGTGGTTAATGACAGAAGAGGGAAAGGTACTCATACCCGAAGTCAGCCAGTGGAAAATACTTAAGCCCCTCCACCAAACTATTCATATGGGTATTGAGAACACTCATCAAATGGCTAAATCCCTGTTTACAGGGCCAAATCTCCTCTGGACCATCCGACAAGTAGTCAAAGCCTGTGAGGTGTCAAAGGAATAATCCCTTGGTCTATCTTAAGGCCCCTCTGGGAAAACAAAGAATAGGGCACTATCCCGGAGAGGACTGGCAGTTAGACTTCACCCATATGCCTAAGTCAAGGGGATTTCAATACTTGTTGATCTGTGTTGATACCTTTACAAATTGGATAGAAGCCTTCCCCTGCAAGACAGAGAAGTCTCAGGAAGTGGTTAGAGTCCTAATTTATGAAATAATTTCTAGATTTGAACTTCCCTAAAGCTTACGAAGCAACAACAGTCCAGCTTTTAAAGCCACAATAACCCAGGGAATTTCCAGGGTGCTAGGGATACAATATCACGTTCACTGCACCTGGAGGCCACAATCCTCAGGGAAGGTTGAGAAGGCAAATGAAACATCAAGAGGCACCTAAGGAAACTAACTCAAGAAACTCATCTCCCATGGCCTATTCTTTTCCCCATGGCCTTGTTGAGAATCCGAAATTCTCCTCAAGAAATGGGGTTCAGTCCACATGAAATGCTGTATGGATGACCTTTTCTCACAAATGACCTCCTACTTGATCAGAAAATGGCCAACTTGGTCAAAGATATAACTTCTTTGGCAAAATATCAACAAAACTTAAATCCTATGTGAAGGATGTCACAGAGAACAGGAAACGGTGTTATTTCAACCAGGAGATCTAGTGTTGTTTGAATCCCTCCCCTCTATCTCCCTATCTATGGATTCTTTGTGGGAAGGACCATACTCGGTAATCCTCTCTACCCCCACTGCAGTTAAGGTGGCAGGAGTGGAATCTTGGATTCACCACACCGATTTAAGCTTTGGACACCCCCTGAAGAACCTGCGGGACCGAGAGCTCAGGAGTCCCATTATCAGCCAGACCAGCCTCGATACACCTGTGAGCCATTGGAGGACTTGTGTCTTCTATTTTGGAAAGAAAAATCCCAGACTAAAAAGACTCCTACAGCCGATCCTGAAGAAAAACCCCTTCCTACTTAAAAAAGATAAGTGAAAACCTACATAATCTTTAACACCTCTCCTTGCCCCTTTAATGGAATCCTTTTACTGTTTCATCACATTATTAACCAGGATACTAGCTGTACTCTTTGCAGTAGGACTATATACTGTAGCTCCAGGATGAAATCCTAATCACATCAACCTTTCTTCTATCATCCTTCCTTCTGACAGCAATTTACTCCTACCATTAACTCAGACTGGATAAAATGATCTCATCTTTCAGGGCACCCTCTTTACCTTCCTACTTACTCTTTGCCTATCTATCCCTCCTGCCTACTTGGATACCCCACATAGTTGCCCCTCCCCTTCCACTAGCTCCTAGTTACCTCTACAAGACTCTAAACTTAACCCACTCTCTGTTAAACCAGTCCAGTCCTTCCCTGGCAAATGACTGTTGGCTTTGCATCTCTCTATCAGGCATGCTTACGTTGCCACTCCTGTTCCTGCAAAAAACTGGGTCTTTACCAACTTAACCTACCATCCCTCTTATGAAGGAAAAGACCCTTTCCAAATTCCAAATATGCAATCATTAGCCAACTTCCCCATCTCTGATAGGACCTAGAATACCCTAACAGGATGCACAATCCAACTTTTACACTCTTACATTTCCAACCTCACCTATTACATGAGCAATGAAAAGCCCATACACAGCCCTGCAACTACAAATACCATCTTAACTTTCCAAGCCCTTTTATGCATCCAATGCGACCTGTTATTAGGCCTGCCCCTGGGGCATCTACTATCCCATCAGTGTAATTACATTCTACAACTTCAAGCCCCATCTGATCATAGTAACTTCCGAGTCACCCAAACAGCTCCATTCAGACAGCTTGCCTTCTTCTCAGGGCCTCCAAAAATTATCACCTCCTCCCTGCTTAATAAACAGTCCAGGTTTTTTAATGGCAAACATACTCCCTGCATGACCATTCACCCTGGACCCCCTGCAGCAGCGCTCCCACCACTAATGAATGCCTTCTCATCCCCTCTTTCAATCACTCCCTTGAATGGTTCCTAGTAGATACAAAATGGTTTTTTTCTCCAATGGGAAAATAGAACACAGGGAGCCACTCAATTTGCTCCCAACACCCCTTTTCAGCTGCTCTGGAGCTACCTTGGCAAGTACTCTAGGAGTATGGGAAAATGAAAACAACAAACTCACACACCTTTTCAACATACACAACCTGTTCTGTCTACCCAGCCAAGGCATATTCTTCTTACATGGAACTTCAACCTATATCTGCCTCCCCACCAACTGGACAGGCACTTGTACCTTAATCTTCCTAAGTCCCAACATTCACAATGCCCCAGGAAATCAGAACCTATCAGTGCCCCTCAAAGCTCAAGTCTGTCAGTGCAGGGCCATACAAGTAATACCCCTACTTATAGGTTTAGGGATGGCCACTACTACAGGAACCAGAGTAGCAGGTTTGTCCACTTCGCTATCCTACTACCACACATTCTCAAAGGATTTCTCAGACAGTTTGCAAGAAATAACTAAATCTATCCTTACTCTACAATCCCAAATAGACTCTTTGGCAGCAGACTCTTTGACTCTCCAAAACTGCTGAGGCCTAGACTTCCTCATGGCTGAGAAAGGAGGACTCTGCACCTTTTTAGGTGAAGAGTGTTGTTTTTACACTAACCAGTCAGGGAGAGTATGAGACGCTGCCTGGCATTTACAGGAAAAGGCTTCTGAAATCAGACAATGCCTTTCAGACTCTTATACCAACCTCTGGAGTTGGGTGACATGGCTTCTCCCTTTTCTAGGTCCTGTGACAGCCATTTTGCTATTACTCGCCTTCAGGCCCTGTATTTTTTACCTGCTTGTCAAATTTGTTACCTCCAGGATTGAGGCCATCAAGCTACAGATGGTCTTACAAATGGAACCCCAAATGAGCTCAACTCACAACTTCTACCGAGGACCCCTGGACTGACCCAGTGGCCCTTTGACTGGCCTAGAGAGTTCCCCTCTGGAGGACACTACAATTGCAGGGCCCCTTCTTCACCCCTATCCATCAGGAAGTAGCTAGAGTGGTCATCGCCCAATTCCCAGCAGCAGTTGGAGTGTCCTGTTTAGAGGGGGGATTGAGAGGTAAAGCCAGCTGGACTTCTTGGGTTGATTGGGGACTTGGAGAATTTTCTGTCTTACAAGAGGATTGTAAAATGCACCAATCAGCACTCTGTAGCTAGGATTGTAAAATGCACCAATCAGTGCTCTGTAGATAGCAAGGGGGTTGTAAAATGCACCAATCAGCACTCTGTAAAATGCACCAATCAGCACTCTGTAAAATGCACCAATCAGAGCTCTGTAAAATGCACCAATCAGCAGGAGCCTAAAAGTAGCCAATCACAGGGAGGATTGAAAAAAGGGCACTCTGATATGACAGAAATGGAACATGGGAGGGGACAAATAAGGGAATAAAAGCTGGTCATCCCAGCCAGCAGTGGCAACCTTCTTGGGTCCCTTTACATGCTGTGGAAGCTCTGTTTTTCGCTGTTCACAATAAATCTTGCTGCTCCTCACTCTTTGGGTCCGTGTCACCTTTAAAAGCTGTAACACTTACCACGAACGTCTGCAGCTTCATTCTTGAAGTCAGCGAGACCACGAACCCACCGGCAGGAACAAACTCCAGACTCACAGCCATTATGGGAAACTGAATGGAAGTTCCTCAAAAAACTAAAAATAGAACTATCATATGTCAGTCAAACCCTCTTCTGGGTATTAGTCCAAAAGAATTGAAATCAATATGTCCAAAGGATATCTGGACTCCTATGTTCATGGCAGTGCTGTCCACAATAGCCAAGATGTGGAATCAACTTGTGTCCATCAACAGATGAATAGATAAAGAAAATGTGGTACATGTAGACAATGGAATACTATTCAGTCTTAAAAAAGAAGAAAATCTTGTCATTTGTGACAATGTGGATGAACGTGGAGAATATTGTGCAAAGTTAAATAAGCTAGGCACAGAAAAGCAAATACTGCATGATCTCACTTTTATGCGGAATCTAAAAAAGTTGTACTCACAGAAGTAGAGAGTAGAATGATGGCTACCAGAGGCTGGGTGAGGAGGTGGGGAGAAGAGGGAGGGAATGGGGAGTTGCCGGTCATAGGGTAAAAAGTTTCAGTTAGACAGGAGGATTAGTTTTGCAATCTATTGCACAATAGGCTGACTATAGTCAATAATAATGTATATTTCAAAACAACTGAGGGAATAAATTTCAAATGTTTCCTAACAAAAAATAAGTGAGGTGATAGATATCTTAATCAGCTTGATTTAATTATTCCATATTGTATACATATATAAAAATATCACATTGTGCCCCATAAAGTTATATAAAATTATGGTTTGTCAATGAAACACAATACTAATTATGTTTACATACATAAATGTACATATATGCCCACATGCACAAACACACACACACAAAAGAGCACAGTGAATAAAAGGGGGAAATGCTTGCAAATGAGTTCAGAGAGATAGGGGCCAGGCTGTATACAACCTTCAAGCCACTCCCTTATTTAAGTTTTGTTCAATACAAAGGCAGCATTGGAATGTTTTGAGCAAGGAAATTCCATGATCTGATTTAGTTTTAACTAGATTGCTATGGCTGTTGTGTGGCGAGTGGGGCAAGATTAGAAATAGGGAAGTTGTATAGGAGGCTATGTTAACACTAGAAAAGGAGAGAGAAGAGTTGGTCTGGAATGATAGTATTGGGGATGGCAAGAAGTGGCTGAACTTGGGTTGGAGCAGATAGGTTTCCTAATGTATTTGAAGAGGGAAGGGTAAGAAAACTGACTTAAGCATCTGGGTAAATGGAGATATCATTTCTCGAGATGCAAAAGACATGGGCAGGAAAAGCTTTGGAGGAAAAGTCCAGACTCATGGTACTTTGGATCTGGACACTTGGAGTTGCTTACCAGACATCTGAGTGAACATGCTCAGAGGCATTGGATGTAGGAGTTGGAATTTCAGGAAAGAGGTCAGGACCAGAAGTATACACTTGGGTGACATGAGTATACAGATCATGTTTCAAGTCTTAAGACTAGATGGGATCACCCCAGTTTGAATTCTATAAATATTTGCTAAATATTGAGTAAATCTTTAAGGATAGAGATTGGTTTGACACAGGTCTGACTCAAAACCTTAAGACATGTAAACTACACTACTCAGCTGTATGACCTTGGGCATGTACTTTGTTCTTTCTGAACTTCAGGACAGGAAGAGGAAACAACTTTACTTCGGTACAGAGAGAGAGGTTGAAAAGGACAGAGCCATTAAGGAAAAAAGAACTGGAAGGACGATGCTAGATGGGGCAAAAACCATGCAAAAGAGAGGCCTGTATGGGGAAGGGGAAGAAGAGGACAAGAGCCTCCACAGTTCTCGGCTGGGCCTCTTCTCATCTTCTGTGCTCATGCACTGCTATTTGCATTCTTAACATCACCCTCTCTGCCCACTGAACGCTTTCCTTGGTTTTTGTTGACCACATTTTCTGGAATTACTCATGAAACACACTTTATAAGTCTTCTTGGGAGAAATTTATTTCTATTTGGTATCAGGAATAGCTATCTTTTCTTGAGAAACTTAAAACAAATCCTAAGAAATCTAGGAATCCCATAACTTCTATCAGACTTGTGTGTGTGTGTGTGTGTGTGTGTGTGTGTCAATGCTGGGAAGCTTAGGGCTGCTTGAATGGCATTTTTACATGAGCTTCATTTCAATTCTATCTTATGCCCCAATCATGTTTATCTTTTTTACTTATATGGGCTTCTTTTTTATATTTCTTTGAGATCTTTAAGTATTTCTGGCAGTGGCATTAACTCCTATATGGAGTGACACAGAAATAAATAACAAACAAATGCAGCATCTGAAAGAATCTTCATTCCAAATTATCTTTTCCATCGCCATTATAAACCCACCTGTTGCACTTGTTGGATATGTGACTCAACTTCTTGTTGAGAAATTATGTTCTAAGGTGACTTTCCATTAAGAGACTGTGCCCCAAGTTTCTGCTGTTTCCTTTTTCCAAAGTAAAGAGTAAATGAGCTTGGTTCTCCTTCCTCCGGTCATTCTGAGAACAAAAGTAGAATTAGCTTAACTACTTACATCAGGAATAAAAGAGACTCAAGTGTTGTCAGCACACTTATCATCAGCTTCTGGTTCAAATCTAGGATAGTTCAACTCCTGATACAAAGCCAGTGCAGACACTTGCTCACTTTGGCTTGCAGCAGGGGTCCCAGCTTGGCAGTCTAAGTTGTACTCGTCATGGGACACAGACCCTTTCGAGCACATATGAAGAACAGGTGGGATGGGCCTCCAAAGGCACGTCCTCATGAACGATACTGCCTGAGCCAGAGTAAGTTCACATCTGGAATGGAGAGGTCACCATGTTCCAGAATTGTGCTTATATCATGAAGCCTTTGGTATCGGCAGTGACAGAAGACATCACCACTGCAATTCTGAAGAGGAACAGGGAAAACTCGGTGTCCAGGAACTCTGTTCAAGGGCCTATATGACATTGGCCACTCCCCGAGGATTCCCAGAACAAGCAAAAGAAGGGTTGGGGTGGGCTCTCATTATTGCAACAGCTGGCAGGAAAAGAGCCAGAGAAATAATGCTTTGTTACTGAGTTATTGAGACTCAAGCTGTTTTGGCCTGGAGAGATACTAATTACAGAATCTTTTTAGATAGAGTTGAATATTTAGATACACTCCTGACAGCTTCCATAAACACTAGAGTAAATTTCCCGGTAATGCAAAAGAAACCCTATGAAATCTGTCACTGTTGGAAACAAGTAAGTTGTGTACTGGAGAAGGGATATGTATTTCCAGTCATTGATCAGTCATTTGTGAAAATGTATTAAGAACTAATTACAAGCTTGCACCCTGCTTGGGGCAGATCTATTTATAGAAAAAATGTGGTTGTCATGGAAAACACAGATCACTATAGTCCCCCCACACCCAAACGAGGAGCTAAAAGCCCTCTGACCAAATTATTTTCTCTAGGCAAAAAGCCTAGGAGCTTTGAGACTGTTCTAAAACTAGGCTTGTGGTTTTATGTATTACCTTCTCATTCCAATTCTGAAATGTGCTTGCTATTTAATCAAGGCCCTTCTGATGAAGAGAAAGATAATGGTGTAAGCAGAGACAGCATACCCTTCAAGGTCCATGCTGCCTTCCTAGAGGGTGCAAATCCACCCTTGTCTTTGCATTTGACTTACCCTGGCTTAAGTGGCAGGTTGCAGAGAGAGCAAGGGGGTTGGAGGAGGGGTTATCTGAAACACCAGAAGTACTAGGGTGAGTTAATCATATATGTACACCTCTGTCTGGTTCACACTAATGCTTTTAACAGGCTCAGAATCCCAAGGACAGACAGCACAGACCAAAAACAATGGGCTTGCCTTTCCCTTGAAGTGCCTGCCCTCCTCAAATTCCAACTCTACTAGTTAATGTCTCTTTTACATTAAACAAATCCCTCAGAGCCCCCGTTACCTCCTATATTAAATGGGGATATCAGTTATTAGATTACAGAGTGGCTTATGATCAAATGAGAAAATGCCTGGGAAGAATTTTTGGTTTTCTTTTCAAATAGGAATTTATGGTACTTTGAGTTTCATGGGAGGAGGTTAGCACCCAGTTCAGGGCTATGTTGCATCTTATTCAGCTTTGAGTGCTCAGATTCTGGCATAATGCCTGGTTTAATGTAGGAGTTTAGTAAATGTTTGTTGTTGAAGAAATGACCAAGGGTTGTAATCACTTTGCCTGGAATCCCTTTGATACTTCATTCCAAGAATTGGCAGGGAAGTCCAGAGGTCATCTGATCTATGCCTCTGCTTCTGGTTGTACAGGAGACATAGTTTGGTATGGAATGAAAGCTGCTACAGGATATGAGTGTCTGTGGATCTCACAACTGATCCATAGAGGCTTGGGATAGAAGAAGCAATGGGACATGACACAGAGTGAGTCTGGCCTAGCTTCAGATAAAGCAGACTCTTTCTGCATAGGCAACATGAGGTCTATCCCCTTTAAAATAATTCTACTATCTTTATCTTCCTGTTGGCTTATGGGACAATTCTCTAGAAGGCCCCTGTTGAAAATATGCTTATGTTCTCAAACAGTGCTAGCTTACAAAGTCATGAGCAAATTCTTAGTAGGGGCCACTTTTGAGCTTTTGGCCAGGGAAGGAGGGATTAAGTGGAGCATATTTGGGGTTACAGCTCAGGACCATGAACAAGCTGGTGAGCTTCAGTGGATCCCAGACAAGAGGAGGACAACACAAAAACACCAGGAAGAATAGGACCCAGAAACAGAAGCTGTGAGATGTGCACATAAGGTAGATGTGGCAACTCCATCATTTTGACTCATCTTTTTTTATTATACTTTTAACTTCTGGGATACATGTGCAGAACTTGCAGTTTTGTTACATAGGTATACATGTGCCATGGTGGTTTGCTGCACCCATCAATCCATCATCTACATTAGGTATTTCTCCTAATGCTATCCCTCCCCTCGCCCCCACCCCCAACAGGCCCCCAATGTGTGATGTTCCTGTCCCTGTGCCCATGTGTTCTCATTGTTCAACTCCCACTTATGAGTGAGAACATATGGTGTTTGGTTATCTGTCCTTGTGATAGTTTGCTGAGAATGATGGTTTCCAGCTTCATCCATGTCCCTGCAAAGAACATGAACTCATTTCTTTTTTATGGCTGCATAGTATTCCATGGTGTATATATGCCACATTTTCTTTATCCAGTCTAACATTGATCATTGATGGGCATTTGGGTTGGTTCCAAGTCTTTGCTATTGTGAATAGTGTTGCAATAAACATACGTGTGCATGTGTCTTTATAGTAGAATGATTTATAATCCTTTGGGTATATACCCAGTAATGGGATTGCTGGCTCAAATGTATTTCTAGTTCTAGATCCTTGAGGAATCTCCACACTGCCTTCCACAATGGTTAAACTAATTTACACTCCCCCCAACAGTGTAAAAGCATTCCTATTTCACCACATCCTCTCCAGCATGTGTTGTTTCCTGACTTTTTAATGATAGCCATTCTAACTGGTGTGAGATGCTATCTCATTGTGGTTTTGATTTGCATTTCTCTAAGGACCAGTGATGATGAGCATTTTTTCATATGTCTGTTGGCTGCATAAATGTCTTCTTTTGAGAAGTGTCTGTTCATATCCTTTGCCCACTTTTTGATGTGGTTTTTTTTTTCTCATAAATTTGTTTAAGTTCTTTGTAGATTCTGGATATCAGCCCTTTGTCAGATGGGTAGATTGCAAAGATTTTCTCCCATTCTGTAGGTTGCCTGTTCACTCTGATGATAGTTTATTTTGCTGTGCAGAATCTCTTTAGTTTAATTAGATCTCATCTGTCTATTTTGGTTTTTGTTGCAATTGCTTTTGGTGTTTTAGTCATGAAGTCTTTGCCCATGCCTATGTCCTGAATGGTATTGCCTAGGTTTTCTTCTAGGGTTTTTATGGTGTTAGGTCTTATGTTTCAATCTTTAATCCATCTTGAGTTAATTTTTGTATAAGGTGTAAGGAAGGGGTCCAATTTCAGTTTTCTGCACATGGCTAGCCAGTTTTCCCAACACCATTTATTAAATAGGAAATCCTTTCCCCATTGCTTGTTTTTGTCAGGTTTGTCAAAGATCAGATGGTTGTAGATGTGTGCTGTTTTTTCTGAGGCCTCTGTTCTGTTCCATTGGTCTATGTATCTTTTTTTGGTACCAGTACCGTGCTGTTTTGGTTACTGTAGCCTTGTAGTATAGTTTGAAGTCAGGTAGCGTGATGCCTTCAGCTTTGTTCTTTTTGCTTGGGATTACCTTGGCTATATGGGCTCTTTTTTGGTTTCATATGAAATTTAAAGTAGTTTTTTCTAATTCTGTGAAGAAAGTCAATGGTAGCTTGATGGGGATAGCATTGAATCTATAAATTACTTTGGTCAGTATGGCCATTTTCACGATATTGACTCTTCTTATCCATGAGCATGGAACGTTTTTCCATTTGTTTGTGTCCTCTCTTATTTCTTTGAGAAGTGGTTTGTAGTTCTCCTTGAAGAGGTCCTTCACATCCCTTGTAAGTTGTATTCCTAGGTATTTTATTCTCTTTGTACCAATTGTGAATGGGAGTTTGCTCATGATTTTGCTCTCTCTTTGTCTATTATTGATGTATAGGAATGCCTGTGATTTCTGCACATTGATTTCATATCCTGAGACTTTGTTGAAGTTGCTTATCAGCTTAAGGAGTTTTTGGGCTGAGATGATGGGGTTTTGTAAATATACACTCATGTCATCTGCAAACAGAGATAATTTGACTTCCTACCTTCCTATTTGAATACCTTTATTTCTTTCTCTTACCTGATTGCCCTGGCCAGAACTTCTAACACCATGTTGAATAGGAGTGGTGAGAGAGGGCATCCTTCTCTTGTGCCAATTTTCAAAAGGAATGCTTTCAGCTTTTGCCCATTCAGTATGATATTGGCTGTGGTTTGTCATAAATAGCTTTTGTTATTTTGAGATATGTTCCATCAATACCTAGTTTTTTGAGTGTTTTATTGCAAGAAGGGGTGTTGAATTTTATTGAAGGCCTTTTCTGCATCTATTGAAATAATAATGTGGTTTTTGTCATTGGTTCTGCTTATGTGATGGATTACGTGTATTGATTTGTGTATGTTGAACCAGCCTTCCATCCCAGGGATGAAGCAGACTTGAACATGGTGGATAAGCTTTTTAATGTGCTGTTGGATTCAATTTACCAGTATTGCATTGAGGATTTTCGCATTGATGTTCATCAGGGATATTGACCTGAAATTTTCTTTTTGTGTTGTGTCTCTGCCATGTTTTGGTATCATGATGATGCTGGCCTCATCAAATGAGTTAGGGAGGAGTCCCTCTTTTTATATTGTTTGGGATAGTTTCAGAAGAAATTGTACCAGCTCCTCTTTGAGCCCCTGGTAGAATTCAGCTGTGAATCCATCCGGTCCTGGGCTTTTATTGGTTGGTAAGCTATTAATTACTGCCTCAATTTCAGAACTTGTTTTTGGTCTATTCAGGGATTCGACTTCTTCCTGGTTTAGTCTTTGGAGGGTGTATGTCCAGGAATGTATCAATTTCTTCTAGATTTTCTAGTTTATTTGTGTAGAGGTGTTTACAGTATTCTCTGATGGTAGTTTGTATTTCTGTGGGATCAGTGGTGATCTCCCCTTTATCGTTTTTTATTGTGTCTATTTGATTCTTCTCTCTTTTCTTCTTTATTAGTCTGGCTAGTGTTCTATTTTATTAACCTTTTCAAAAAACCAGCTGCTGGATTCATTGATTTTTTGAAGGGTTTTTCGTGTCTCTATCTCTTTCAGTTCTGCTCTGATCTTAGTTATTTCTTGTTTTCTGTGAGCTTTTGAGTTTGTTTGCTCTTGCTTCTCTAGTTCTTTTAATTGTGATGTTAGGGTGTCAATTTTAGATCTTTCCTGCTTTCTCCTGTGGGCATTTAGTGCTATAAATTTCCCTCTAAACACTGCTTTATCTGTGTCCCAGAGGTTCTGGTATGTTGTGTCTTTGTTCTCATTGGTTTCAAATAACTTATTTATTTCTGCCTTAATTTCATTACTAACCCAGTGGTCATTCAGGAGCAGTTTGCTCAGTTTCCATGTGGTTGTGCAGTTTTGAGTGAGTTTCTTAATTCTGAGTTCTAATTTGATTGAACTGTGGCCTGAGAGAGTGTTTGTTATGATTTCTGTTCTTTTGCATTTGCTGAGGAGTGTTTTACTTCCAATTATGTGGTCGATTTTAGAATAAATGCTATGTGGTGCTGAGAAGAATGTATATTCTGTTCATTTTTGGTGGACAGTTCTGTAGATGTCTATTAGGTCTACTTGGTCCAGCGCTGAGTTCAAGTCCTGAATATCCTTGTTAATTTTCTGACTCATTGATCTGTGCAATGTTGATAGTGGGGTGTTAAAGTCTCCCACTATTATTGTGTGGAAGTCTAAGTCTCTTTGTAGGTCTCTAAGAACTTGCTTTATGAATCTGGGTGCTCCTGTATGGGTACATGTATATTTAAGATAGTTAACTCTTCTTGTTGCATTGATCCCTTTACCATTATGTAATGCCCTTCTTTGTCTTTGTTGATCTTTGTTGGTTTAAAGTCTGTTCTTTGTTTGTTTGTTCTTAGATGGAGTATCGCTCTGTTGCCCAGGCTTGAGTGCAGTGGCGCAATCTCGGCTCACTGCAACCTCCACCTCCTGGGTTCAAGCGATTCTCCTGCCTCAGCCTCCTGAGTAGCTGGGACTACAGACGCGTGCCACTGCACCCTGCTAATTTTTTGTATTTTTAGTAGAGATGGGGTTTCACCATGTTAGGTAAGATAGTGTCAATCTCCTGACCTTGTGATCTGCCCGCCTCAGCCTCCCTAAGTGCTGGGATTACAGGCATGAGCCACCACGTCTGGCCTAATGTCTGTTTTATTAGAGACTAGGATTGCAACCCCTGCTTTTTTTTTTGCTTTCCACTTGCTTGGTAAATCTTCCCATTTTAACTAATTTTTAAGGTAATTATAATTTTTAAAGTACAGTTACATTAATTTTCTCATGTAACACAACTGAGGTAATCAAAAAAAGAGTGTTATTACCCCATAGTTTCAAGTGAGGAAACCGAGGTTTAGATCAGTTAAGTGATGTGTTTAACATTGCTCAGATATTATGCAGCAGAAGTGGTGCTAGAGTTTATTTCTTTGATTCTAATTGAATACCTGTTTAAAATTAAGTCCTGCTGCTTCTCTGAGGTAGACAACCTACCAACAAAACAATGACAGTAAAATAAAGATAATACTAGAAGCCCTCTGTTATGTTGCTATTGCTATGTAGCAGGACATTGTGTTAAATAACTAAGGAACACTTTGCCATTTATCATTTATCATGTGCACTTTACAGATGTGGGAAATGTGTCTTAGATGGGGTATATACCATCCTGTAATCTGACAATCAGCAAGACATGGAACACTGATGCAAATCCAGGTCTGTCTGCTGTCAAAATCTGGGAGTCCTCAGAAATCTTGCACTGGGGGATCTCTGGGTTGAAGGATCTTGCAGGTACTTTGGCATAATCATCAATATAAATCTTTCTCCAATGTCCCTATAAACGGTTTTCTAGGTCTTTGGCCTAGAGGAATCAATCTCCTTACTTCCTGGGGCAGCCTCTTCCATGGTTGAGATAGTTCTCATAGTTGTTATCACCAAAGGGAGAGAATATTATTCTTACAGCAACATACATAGAATATTTTCATAGGAAAATGCCTTGATAGTCTCACTTGAGGGAAATCTAAGGCCCTCAAGGCCTGGGAGTTGGTTGGTGACTCTTCAGAGAAAGGGACCAGGGGATTGCATTACTAAATTGCTGTTCCTGAGGGCTGGGAAAGGGCCAGAGAAAAAGAAAGGGGGAAAAGAGGGATGAAGAGTGAGATAAATGATGGCAAGCTGTGTGCTTCTCCATGAAACTCTTCTTTAACCACCATTTCCCCAAACAAACAAGCAAATAAAATGTCTGCAAAGTCTACAGAACCCTAAAACATTTGTTGGGCTTTTAATAGACCTCACCAAAGAAATCAAGATAGGGCTTGTAGACAAGGGAACTCCCTTATGATTGTAAAGCTCAGAGAATTGGCAAACAAGTCTGGGATTCAGGCTCATCTAGGTGGTGGAATTGGAGGCTGTGGTAACTCTAATTACATCTCATACATCTCATAGTCTAGAAGGCCTCAGTTGATGCTTGAGGTATAGTTGAAAGATTCTTTCCAGATCATTGCAGTGATGTATTTTTTTCAACTAGATTGTTCCAAATAGAGAAGAAAAAAATTAGTCCAGTAGACTCTTGACGTGCAAATGAGATACTATTTGAGATTTTCTTCAATTCTCATTTTTATGTAGATTACCATAGCCCATAGCCCATGATCTATTCATGAATCTGTAAAATGAGAGTAATAATACCTCCCCAACAGGCTCTTTGTGAAGATTAAAGGAAATCCTGTATTAAGTGGAGACAAAATACCATAGAAAGGTAGGTATCAGGCAATTAGCTGGGCTCATTCATTTGTCAAACTACCTGCTTCTCATTGTGCAATCCAAATTTGTGCCTCAGCAAAATTTGAAAATGGTGGCTTGACATGGCCTTTAGAAGTTAGCTTGAAAATAACTGAAATCTCAAATGTAAAATGTAAGAGCCAATGTCTGCCAATGTCAAGCAATGTATTCAGAATATCTTCCATATTCCCTGGGTTAGAAACCCCAGGTATTTTTTTTTCTTCCCTTTTTTTTTATTCCCTTTTTTTTTAATTTTTTTTATTTTTTTGCGATGGAGTCTTCCTCTGTTGCCCAGGCTGGAGTGCAGTGGCACAATCTTGGCTCACTGCAACCTCTGCCTCTTGGGTTCAAGCGAGTCTCCTGCTTTGGCTCTCGAGTAGCTGGAATTACAGGCACATGCCACCAAACCTGGCTGATTTTTGTATTTTTAGTAGAGACGGGATTTCACCATATTGGCCGGGCTGGTCTTGAACTCCTGACTTCAGGTGATCCACCCACCTCGGCCTCCCAAAGTACTGGGATTACAGGCATGAGCCACTGCATCCGGCCAGCCCCAGATCTTTGCATGTCAGCCCTCAGGTTCACACTGAAACAGATTAATGATGCCAGCTTTTTCTGACAGCTAATACTGATCTCATCTCAGGGGCCAAATTCTCCTTCCTACCAATTAATATCCAGGAGCAGGTAGTAACTACTGATTAGATCCCCACTCTTTGACTCTTGTGTCATCAACAGAGGTATGAAGAGATGTTGTTTAACATCATGGGAGAATCATGTTGAGGACTGAGGGAGGGGCTGGAATCAGAGATCAAAGCTTGGCTGGATGCCAGGTTTGTGGGCAAAGATCATCTTGTTTTGTCTCCCACAGGATTTTTGGGAGACTAAGAACTCCACTTGTTTGATTAGAGAATATGAATCTTCACAGCAGAGATAAGGAGTGAGATTGGTATCACACATAAGTTTGGAAATGATTGGGTGGTCCCAAACATACTGTAAGCATACATGGGCGAGCCAGAACTCGAGTTTGCACGTTTACACCATCTACGTGAGCCCCTGTACTTCCAGCATGGTGGATGATTGACTCTCTTTGGAAAGGGACCAGCTCAGGTCCCCTACCCCTCTGAAGATAAGACAGGGGAAGCAATGACAGGAGGGGAGAGGCCCAGAAATTGCATTCCCAAGACAGCCAGAAGGGATCAGCAGAATGGCTCGGAAATGTTGTTTCTTGCAGGAAAGACGTGGCATTATCTCAGAACCATCTGGTGGCAGCAGGAACAAGAAGGGGGAAGGAGGCTGTGAGCGGTGGTCACGTAGCCTTCTCTTACTGTTTGTAGACACCCACAATCCAGCTATTTCCTGACAGAAGCAGGTCAGCTAATAGCCTAGACTCAGGGAAGAATGGAATTTCAAGGAATAAGAGAAATAAACTGTAGGGTTTCTCTAGCAAGAAAACTTTGAGTCATGACTTAAAGCTTCCTGTACCATAGGCAAAGTCCCCAGATTCAGGGAACATGTAGGGTGCACTTGACATTTCGACATGAGATTAACCTGGATTTAAGTGGGCTGACTTTCTAGGAGTCTCAGAATAAGATGGCATTCGTGGTGTCCCCCAGGGCTTAATCTGGCCCACATATGCCTTTTGTTTAACACACATTCATGCTAACAGAATAGTTGGCTTAGTCCACAATTTTAAGACATCAAGGCATTTTGCATAAAATATAGATTTCTGGCTCCTCTTGAAGAATGGAAAAGCTGGCAATTCTGGGCCCATATTCTCACATACCAACATTTGGTTGGAGTTGAGTAGTCACTGCCTTAAGAAGGCAGAGAACAGCTGTCCCCTCCTTGCACTCCCCACCCATCCACTTAACTCAAAGCCCCTGGAGGCCTTTGTATTTGTGACTCTTCCTCTAGAATGCAACTGCCACAAAGGCAAGGAATGAGAGCATATGTCCTGAGTGGAGCTCTATCTCCAGTGCAGTTCTGCACAGTACTGGGTTGTGCGTAGGAACTTAATAAATGTTTGCTTAATAACAGAGAATGAATGAACCCAGCTTTGTCAAAGCAAAACAGATCTGCATTTAAATCCAGGCTACGTGATCTTGGGTCAGTGATTGCACTATCTAAACCTCTGTTTTTCTCATCTATAAAGTAGGAATCAAAATATTTGCCTCATAGGGTGGTACGAGAGAATGAATGCAAAGTGCTTAGCAGGACGCCAGCACATAGCGTGCACCCAATAAATATTTGCTGTATGCTTGAAAGAATGTTTAGTCACAGCGTTGTGATCCATGGGCCTTTGGCCGGATAAACTAGAAATTCATTTTATGAAGCCAGCATAAGAATGGTGGTGGACTAGTAAGGAATCACAAATGGTGACAAAAATAGCAGTTCTCATGGCAGTGAGGGATTGCTGGGCAGAGAATGGTGACTTGTTCCTCTCTTAAACTGTTGATGATTGGGGCGATAGCATAATTTACAATGGTAGAGAGAAGGCTCCTAGGTGAATTGTAGAGAGGAAGGTGTGGGTTGTAAGCACAGGCATTGGAGACAGACGGATGTTTAATATGTGCTAGACACTTTGCTAGGCTACTAAATTGTTTCCTCATTACAGAATAAGGGTGATAATACCTACTTTATGGGGTTCCCTCTGATTAGTTAATATATTAATTAATGTAACATACTTAACACACTGGCTGGCACAATAGGATATGCTTAGCAAAAAAATAGGTATATTGATATTAGAGGGAAAACATTTTGAGGTTTATGGTCCTCATTGCAATTCTAGTGTTTTTTGTTTTGTTTTTGTCTTTTTTGTTTTAATGCTCCCGGTTTCCATAGCAGTCCATACTGTTTTTTTATTCCATCACCTTGCTGTGTGACCCTGGGCCACCCGCTTTTCTTCTCTAGGCCTCTGTTTCCTAGAGAGTAAGAGAGTTTCCTTGTGCAGTGGATGCTGTGGTGTGCCACCTAAATCCCACCTTTAAAACAAAGGCATTCAGTGCCCCCAGTGGTTGCAAACATTGCCTGCTGATGGCCCATAAGTAAATTCCTCTTTGAAAATGGCTCTCTTTACCAAAGGTAACTGCCTTATCCAAGGTTACACACAACCTCTCCCTGGAAGCTGGTCTGTGCAGAGATACGAAGGTCAGAGAGGTTAATCTGAGACATCTCTAAAAGGCCAACCCAGATTCAGAACTCCCCCATGGGATCAGCTTAAACCTCTGTTTCATTCTATTCAACTCTCTCTGCCCAGTCCTGTTTCCCTTGGTCCCTTATAGATGTTCCCGAGAGCACTCTCCAAGAAACATCTGGCAAAAATCTCCCTCTATGAGTCTGTTTCCAGGAAACCTGACCAGTGGCATTTTGGGTAATTTCAGCTTCAGTCTGTCTGATCTCAAAATTATTTTGGTTTGTTGTATTTGGGTTAGGTTATAAGGAATTGAGATGCATTACAGAGGAAGATCAAGGATATCTTCCCGTGAAATCCTTAATACAGGCTCTTTAGAAAATTCTCTGATGAGGATCTTAAACTAATGTGAGAGTGGGGCTAATACTTTCAAGAAGGACATGAGGTTTTAAGCAAGTAGCAGATGTCATTTCGAGCTGCTGACAAAGGATTTTGGAGCTTGAGGCACACGTAGTACACAACTCTATTAGACATGACTTTCAAGGACCTACATGGAAACCTGGACATCAAGCCTGCAGGATAGATGTTGAAAACACTCAAGTTTTCTTCCCCAAAGTGCTGCATGCAGATTCTGCTGAGACTGTATCTTCTTGCCAGCAAGAAGCATAGACATTGGCAAATGCTGCCTCGATTTCAGGACTAGGAAATTATGAAAATCAGCTGGGATAGGGAGATCTGGTACTGTCCAAAAGCACCAGCTTTTGCTGGAAGTTTTCTCCCTGACAGCAGGCATTTCCGTGCTTGGAAGGGTGAGAAGAGCTTGCCTTTTACTGCAGAGATGTAGGGATATTGACCAAGGCAGGATGACCCCAGATGTTCCTTCAGTACCCTTCAGAAAGTGAATAGTGTGCTCAGTCCCTCAGAGTGTGGTAAGAGCTCCTCCAAAAACAGTGTGTGCAAAAGGAGTCACAGCTGCAGCTGGTGTTCGCACTGGTGTCCCTGGGGACCTGACACTTGGAGTCATGTGAGTCCTCTGTCTGGCTCAGAAGCAAAGCTGCAGAGCCAAGAAGCTAAATCCATTCTTCACAAATACTCCCATGAGGGGAGGATGCAAAGCAGCCAGGCTAGACTCATAGGAGGCCAGGATGTGGGGATGGTTTTAGGGTCTAAGCAGATGAGCAGAGAAGGAGTCCTTCTTGCAGGTCTAGGTAGAGAACATTTACCGGAAACTCCTGACATATACAGAGGGGTTAAGGATGTGTCTTACAGTCAGAAAATAGACACTTCCTTGGGCAAGGTATTTAACTCTTATGAATTTATATATTCTCCTTCTGTAAAGGGCATTGGCTTTATAAGTTGCTGTGAGGACTCAGTGAGGTCACATACTTGCAGCATGTAGCACAGGCCCTGAGCCTCAGCATGCACTCTGGAGTGATCACTGTCTTTATCTTCATTCTCCAAGGTGGCTGGAGGTGAGAGGTGCAGGCTGGAGCAGTGTGAGCTCTGGGTGCTTTTAGGACAGGTGTCCACCAGGACTCCATTTAGGAGATCCTGCCTGCAACACATAGCAACTTGTGCCTGGAATTGTTATTGTGTCCAGACTGGGTCATCCTCCTGCCTTTGAAGCCTGAATCACTGTCTTTGACAGAAAAGGATTATCTTTCCCTTCAAATATTCCTTAGTAGTTTATTCTAGTCTCTCTTGACTCCAGTGGACATCTAGTTTAAAATAGCAGAAGCGACTAGCGGAGTTATTTTTCTTCATTATTAATGGCATTATTGCAACAAATTTTGATTTATTGAGTGCCTATGTGCTATCTCATTTAATCTTCATTCTCACTACTGAGTGAGGCAGCTTCGTTACACAGAATGAGTTTAAGAAAAAAGAAAAAACGGGGTAGAAGCAACATAGTAGCCAATAAAGCTGGTTCATGAGTACATGTGGGATTCCACCTGGGGATTCCCAGAAATCACTGGAGCATACTCTACAGGACCATGGGTTTTTTTCATGTGGCAAGAGCAGCCACAGTACATGTTAGGAAGTCTTCTGAAATCTCCTAATCCAAGATTTTATAATTTGGTATAAAACATCTTCAATATCCTTCTCCACATCTCTGGGTCAGGATTTCCCTAAGCCAGAGAAAACAAACTTCAATTCTTACCTTTTAACACTCTCCTTGACATGGGAGTTCACCTCTTTAATTAAACCTTTAGGCCAGGCATGGTGGCTCACACCTGTAATACCAGTGTTTTGGCAGGCTGAGTCAGGAGGATCATTTGAAGCCAAGGGTTTGAGATCAGCCTGAAAAACACAGTGAGACCCCATCCCTACAAAAACAAAACAAAACAAAACAAAACAAAATTTGCCAGGCATGGTGGTGTGTGCCTGTAGTCCCAGCTACTCCGGAGGCTGAGGTTGGAGGATCACTTAAGCCTGGGAGGTAGAGACTGCAGTGAACCCTGACGGCACCACTGCACTCCAGTCTGGGTGACAGAGTGAGACCCTGCCTCTAAAACAAAACAAAACAAAACAAGACAAGACAAGACAAGACAAGACAAGACAAGACAAGACAAGACAAAACAGGCTTAGTCCAGGCATGGGGCTGTGAGGGAGAGAAATAGACTGATCTCAGGATTACTGAGAAACGTCTAGCACTACCTGTGAGAGTCAGAACCTCTTTGAGAGCATTTCTCAAAGCTTTCTTGTGGATTTCCCTCCTGATGCACTCCTTTTCCGTGAAATAAGTTAGAACCTTCCCAGATTTCCTTTGATTTGGAAAGGTCCCTAAACACAGGACCTGGCTTCTTTCCTTCCTTTTGTCCTCTTTTCCTTCCTTTCCCTTCCCTTCCCTTCCCTTCCTTTGCTTTCCTTTCCTTTTTCCTCCCCCTCCTCCTCCTCCTCCTCCTCGTTCTTCTTCCTCTACCATTCTCTATCTTTGTGCATTTGGGCAAATGACTCACCTTTCCAAACCTCAGTTTTTCTCTCTAAAATGTCTGAGGTAAATTCTAACATCCCTTTCAGTCCTAAAATCAAAGTTCACACTAACACTCAGAATAGTAAATAAGAACTTGGACACTGGAGTCAGGACTGGGTTTGAAGCCCAGGTTTGCAACTTACTGCATGATCTTAGGCTAGAAGGGCACATTCTTTGTACCTTCATTTCTCTAATATGGAGAGAATGCTGACCTACGGTGAGCAGGATTTGGTGTGATAAATGTATTGAGTGTGCATGTACCTAATTCTGCTCTAAGTTCTTTCTACGTGTTGACTCATTTCATTAGCAAAATACCTCTGTAACAAGACATTTTACTTTGTGAGTGTCTTTGCTCATTTTTCTGTCTTGTTGAAGGTTTTCATTTGTTTGCTCATTTCAGGCTTAATGTCATCATTTTCTAGTTTTGACTCATCTACAAACACAACACAAGGAGTTTTTCTGTCTTCATTCAATATGTTCCTTAAAAATATATTGTAAAGTCCATGGCCAAGAATAGAACATTAAGAAAATAGTGATTAAAACTTTGTATGTTAGAACACTAGAGAATTTTTGAAATATTCAAATGGCTGGACTCCATACCAGACAAAAAAAATCTAAATTTCTGAGTGTGGAGGCAGATATTGATGTGTTGTAAAAGTTTCCTTGTTTAACAGTTGACCAGGACTGCAAACCACTACTCTACATCCTGAATCTAGGGATTCCATCTAGACTAATTTGCCATTAATGAATTTGTGTAAGGTAGTTACAAACTACAATTATGCCTGTCTTATCATTGCAACCACATTTTTGCAATTACCCAGCTATCAAATCTCTCCCTAAAATCAGAATACATTATTTTTAGTATGTTCCTGTTCAGGCTACTCTAGTAACCCTAACAGACAAATGCTAGCTCCTGGTGAAGACTACTTTCATGACTAACTGTTTAGAAATACACTTTAGTGTTTTGCCAAAATTAATGGCACAGTTTTATCATTTCTGAAATTCAGCTTTTTTTGTAAAGGAGAAACTATTTCTAGTCTTCTATAATTTTACTCCATACTCTTCAAAGATTATAAAAATTGGCTCCCTCATCACACCTGCAAACTTTCTTAAAATTTTTTTTTTTTTGAGACAAAGTCTCGCTCTGTCACCCAGGCTGGAGTGCAGTGGTGCGATCTCGGCTCAGCGCAACCTCTGCCTCCCAGGTTCAAGCAATTCTTCTGCCTCAGCCTCCCATGTAGCTGGGACTACAAGCATGAGCAACCACACTCAGCCATTTTTTGTATTATTTGTAGAGACAGGGTTTCACTATATTGGCCAGGCTGGTCTCAAGCTCCTGACCTCGTGATCCGCCCATCTTGGCCTCCCAAAGTGCTGGGATTACAGATGGGAGCCACTGCCCCCAGCCAACTTTCTTAATTTTATGTGATATAATTTATTTGCAGCCTCAAGATTAAAGACTCTTAATGCTCTTTCCCTATTTCTTACCTATTTCAGGTTATAGTGATATATCAGTTATTCATTCAATCATTCATTCAATAAATGCTTGTTGAATATCAACTTTGTACCTGGCACTATGCCTGAAAAAGTTAAAACCCGGGAGTTATCTGAGACTCTGTTCACTAACACCTCTCTCTGATGAAATCCTCTTCACAAATCCTCTTAATCTTCAGCATCCCAACTGTCTCATCTCCTCAATGTGTGCAAGTCATCTAATGGTTTTCTAACAATTTCCTTTTTGCAGCTTAAAAATTTGGATGGACAGCTTACAAATTTGCTCAAGTGTCCAACATCTAGTATGTCTGTCTTTTGGTGCCACAGTTTAATAATCTCTTATACTACCGGGGTAAATGGGTAACTCATTTACCAAACCTGGTGAATGAATGCATGCAGAGCATACACCTGCCCTCTTGGTTGTTTTTGTAAAGGTCTATTGTGTAGCACTCATACTTAAAGATAACTTATGTTGAGAAAAGTTGAAATAAGTTGTCCTTTCTGTTTTTTCCTTCCCACTTACCCTAAGGTAGTTTCAACTTTAAATATTCTGCAATTATACTTCCAAATTCTCTTTATACATTAAGAAAGTTTATTATTATGAAGTCCATCATGTGCCTAATTGTTAAACATTTCAACTCCAATAATCCTCATAAAGTCCCTTGAAGATGGGTACTTCTATGTCTATTTTACAGCTTGGGAAGCTGAGATTCTGAGTTACTAAGTAAACTGCCCAAGTTCCAGCAGATACCAAGTGGCACAGCTGTGATTCAGACCTGGGGCAGTCTTATGACAGAGCCCCTTTGCTTTATGCAGCCACAGTTAGAACACCCAGCTTCAGTCTATTCCAGGTTTACATTGTTTGGTTTTGTTTTTTGAGACAGAGTCTCTCTGTCGCCCAGGCTGGAGTGCAGTGGCACGATCTCGGCTCACTGCAAACTCCACCTCCTGGGTTCAAGAATTCTTATGCCTCAGCCTCCCGAGTAGTTGGGACTATAGGCATGCGCCACCACACCTGGCTAATTTTTGTATTTTTTGTAAAGACAGGGTTTCACCATGTTGGCCAGGCTGGTCTCAAACTCCTGGCCTCAAGCAATCTGCCCCCCTCAGCCTCCCAAAGGGCTGGGATTATAGGCATGAGCCACTGTGCCTGGACAGGCCTATATTGTTAATGGATAATAGTATTCATTCCTACTGGATCCAGATATACCCACTGAGTCTCAACACATTATTCCCATAGCCATTAATTATCCTCAGAATTGGATGTAAGTTGAAGGCTGTTTGTCATACCTTCACAATATGATGGATACTAACCATATGTTAGTATATAATACAATGATATGATGTTGTGTTAATCATAACCTAAACAGATTACTTGCAATTTTACAGCCCTTGTAAAAAAATCTTAATTTTTTTTATCTGAATCCCTCCCCATCCTTTTAGAACAAAGACCGATTCTATATGATAACCAGTGTTCTGCATACTCTGGCCCCTTCCTGCCTTTCCAACCTCATCTTGAACTTCTTTAACCCATTTTTTCTGTGGTCTAGACACAGAGAGAATCTTTCAGTTCCTCAAATAGTCTATGCTCCTTCTGCCATAAAGCCTTTGCTCATGCTTTTCTTTCTGTCTGTGATATTTATCCTTTCCTTCTCTTCTTCCTTTAGACTTTTGCATGCTGTCTCTTGGGCCCTTGGCTAGATCAGACCAGACTACCATCTACCCCTTTAAATTCCATCCAGCTGTCTTTAATGGTGCTTATCATCATTAGTGAACATGCCATTCAGTGTGTCATTATTTAATCTTTGTGTCACTCCTCCATTAACCTTCTAACCCTCAGATCCAGCACATAGTAGGAAGACAATAAACAACAAATACAGATGAATGTCTTCAAATTCTGAATCAATTACAGGAGGCTCCTGAAATACCAGGTTCCTCTGTGCTTTGTGCATTTTAATTTTCAGTATTAATCACAATTAAATGTACAGAAGACTAGGTCAGGAAATAACTTATTTGTAAAATAAGGCAACGTTAGTAAGATGGCAGCCCTTCCCTCCCTGGTGGTCCTCTAGTCACATATATGTGTTTTCCAGCACATGCTTTCTTGTTGGGCTGCTTCGTTTCCATCCAGTGGCGTCGGACACCACGACAGAGGGAAAGGTAGAAGTGCTAGGGTCAGCCTGGGGTTTGTGTTCCAGCTCGAATACTCTGTAGCTGAGCAACATTAGTCACATTGCACATTATTTCTCAGTTTCCTCATCTGTTAAGTGCTTCACTCATAGGACTGTGGTAACACTCTAAATGAGTTATGAGTCTGAAGCACCCACCCGGCACAGAGTCTGATTTGTTGTCTGAGAATTATTTTCCTTCCCCTAGTGTACACTATATACCTGCTAAAACAACAGTGCATTTCTTAAATCAAGTTATATGATTAAAATAGCTGACACTATGTCATGTACATTGTTCTAAGATTTCCCCCATATTAACCCATTGAAAACTCACAAGAGCCCTGTGAAGCAAATACTGGTAATTTCAGCCTCATTTCATGCATGAGGAACTGAGATTCAGAATGATTAAGTAACTAGCCCACAGTCAGGCCAAAATTTAATCCCAGCTAGTCTGGTATGTTCTTATACTGCAACATGATCCTGTGTCTCAGCTGGAGAATTAGCAAGGAACGATGGGCAATGAAGAGCTGGTTTTGAAAAGAAAAATCTCTCCCAATTCTACTATTATCTGGGTGACCTTGGCCAATTCAATTCTCTCTTCTTTAAAATGGGGATACTATCCCCTGTCTCCCGTGTGGAAGCTGAATGAGATGGCAAATGTAAAACCCTTGTACACATTTGTCATTTGCCTGTGGCTAAGACAATTTCTCTTTCTTCTTATAGAAGTATAACCTTTAAGTTTTCTCACCAACAACCTGGCCAGGGTAACTTTGGCCTTTGGCCAGCTCTAGAGCTTCTCGAACAAAAATTGTTGACATTGAGCCCACACAAAGCTGGAAACTCCCAGAGGGATAACTGTGCAGGCTCTGACCCAGCAAGATTTCCCCTGAATTCTACAGAGTTTCAACACATCTGAAACTCTTAGAGAGTAAAGCCCAAAGCTCCGGAAACAGAGAGCCTGGAAAGGAGAAGAAGGAGCTCTACTCTTTTGAAAGAAGGGGAATCTTGGTGATTAAATTTCACAAATGTGGCTCCAGCCATACCGCCCCTGACCTTAAGAACTGTCATGAATGTCTCTCTAGGAAACACTCCTCACACACACACCACCCCAGCATCATCCAGAGTGACGATTGTTAAAAGAAAAAAAATTATCTGACATTGACGTTTGCATTGTCAGAGGCTCCCTGCTCTATAAAGGAGAAGTGTCTGCCCAAGGTGGCCTTACGGTAGATGTAGAGCCCTGGGGAGGGGCTTTGAGTCTGCAGCATGCTTCAACCCTCATCCACGAAAGGGAGAAAATCATGGCTACCTCCTATGGTTATTGTGAAGAGGAAATGCAATAATAAACGTTCAGAGGCTAGGACAAGGCCTAGCCCTTGGGAAGCACCCAATGAATGGCAGTTATCATTGTGGTTGTGTTGTAACAGCAGCTAGGCCACTTGCCCAAGATCACCCAGCAAAATAAGTAAAGAAATGAGAACTGTAACAAACATCTCATGGACTGGCAGTCCCAGCTCTTTCTGCCATATGAAGCAGCCTCTCCCCTGTGTGTCTAACCGTCAGCTTCTTACTTTGTGTGGTGAAAGGGCTAAACCATATTAGAGAGTGTTGTGGGATAAGCAGTGTAAAAATGCCTCCCGCAACTCTCCACTTCACTCCATCCTATGAGATCCTACACCATTAAAATTACTCCCAGCCCCTTATCCCTCTGGGTTCTCTGGACCCCTGAAAGTCTCCCTGAAGCCTCAGGAACTCCCTGTGGGATAAAGGCACATGTAGATTTTTAAAAATGGTGTTTTACTCCAAATTCTTATGTTTTGCTAGGTAGTGGGTTCCAGGTGTGACATCTCACTGTCAAAGGGATATCTGTGACCCACAATAGTCCCGAGCCCAGGGATGGTGGATCTGGCTGTGTCCTGGCCTGGGTCAGCTTTGCCAGTAAAACAAAGGCCATGTTCCCGGTCCGCGTGAGGCCTGAGGGGATGGGACCCTTGTTCCCGTGGCAGCAGGTGTACAGGGGCAGGTGGCACTAACAGGTTGTGGAGATTTGAGCTGGGGAAGGCAGTCTGGTTGGTGGACAGGCAGGAGTTTGGGGGTAGACAGAATTACTTGTTTGCCTTAAATTAGCTTGGGATATTACATAGGTGATTTTGCTTCTCTGAATTTCAACTTCTCTGCCCGTGAGAGATCTTAATGCCCTTCTTGTGGGGCCCATGGGAGAATTCAGAGGGTAGTTCATGTAAAGTGACCCAATATGTGGCTGTTCACATACCCGTTCCTCTTCTCTTGGAATACAAATACAAATAATGGATCTGGGTCCCCGGAAGATGAAAGAAGAAGATTAAAAAGTTAACAACAATCCTTCAGAATTATTAATGTTCTATGCAATAAATTGTTTTATTGTCTCAATAGCCATATGAAATAGAGACCATTATTATGCCCTTTTGACAGGGAAAGTGGAGAACACTGAGAGTTGGAGAGGATAAATGACTTGCCCATCACTATAGATGTGGCAGAGCTGGGACGTGAACACAGGCCTCTGTCTTCTAAGCTCACTGGCCACCGAAGCATGTCTGTCATCCATGAACAGAGCTGGCTGTGCTCAGTCAAGCAGTTGTTGTCCAGGCCTCCTTTCAGCATTTCTGGAGACTCCCTGCAGCTGATAACTCTTTTGAGCAAAGTTCTGCTGCTTCCTCTTTTGGTATGGCCTTGTTTCATCCTTTTCTTCTGAAACACAGATCCCCTATTAGCTGTCCACTCTGAGCCACATGAGGGGAATATGCAGCTGGGGCAGGGGAGATGGCCCTGGCCAGTTAGATCCTCCTGCACTATGTCCAGGCTGGCCTGAGCCTGGAGCTGGGGCTGTTGGCTGAATTTGGCTGCAGTCCATCAGGGATGTACTTCCATTTATCTGCTGGTCCAGTTTGCCCAATCCCCTATTGGTACATGGCTCCTCCTCTGTCAGGGCCTAGCCCCCGCTGTTCCCACCTGCCACTCCCTTCCATTTCCCACACCCTGCTGTTGACTTCCCATAGTCCTCCCTCGCATAGTCTTCAAGGCCTTTCACAATCCAGCCACATCAGATGTCAATCCTTCCTGCCCCCACACCCTACGTTGCTGAACTTCTCATCACACGGTATCAAAGCCCTGGGCCTTTGCACATGGTTCTTTTTGCTTGGCACGCCTGTACATTTCTGCCCTTTTTCAATGGCAGACTCCTTCAAGTCCTCCCAGACCAAGGCCACCATCTGCCACAACTCTACCGTTCACATTGTAATCTATGGAATGACCCCAGCACCACTGCTACTACTACTGACACCTACTTTTAGATAAAGGAGATCTGAGTGTTAGGGCAGGAGTGGAAAACCATGGTGTATTTGGATGTGAGGTGGGTAGAATTTGCAGATTCCCTCAATTCCTTCACCTCTCAAATAGGCATGCAGCCTTCCAGATTGAAAGGAACTCAGAATCTGCTCAGAGGTCTATGCAGGCGCGGGTTGGTCTCTTGGGCAGCAGGACTAAGGCCTGGTCATAGCTCTACTTTCTGGTCTTAACTTTTCAACAAGAATGGCCAGAACTTGAGATGAGTTGGAAAACTACCCTTAGCCTGCCGTGTCCCCAAGAACACTGGGGGCTGGTGGCTTCTCCCTCTGGGTGCCTGTAAAGGGATCCTTTGAAATAGGCTATCTTGGGGAGGCCTATTTGGCTGCACATTTGGGGAGGCACATTTACTCTGCTTGCAAATAGCATTTGGCCTTCGCCAACCATCTAGCTTTCTGATTCTCTGGTTTCTTTATGGGAAAAATGAGAAGGCAGGTCAGGTTTTTGTTAATGTTCTTTTCTAGAGTCGATATCCTATGAGCTGGTGATCAAGCCTTAAAAATTTTTAATTAATTTTTTTCCTGATTATAAAATAATGTATTCTAATTGTAGAAAATCTGGACAACATAACATGAAAAAGTGTAAAAAAAAAGCCAATCAAAAGCTTAGCTCTGAGAAAAAGTTAATATGTCAGGGATAATTTTTCTTTTTTCCTGTAGTATGTATTTGCATGCTCAAGTATTTATTTATTAAATATTTATTATACAGCTTTTAATAAATTTAAACCTAAATATAGCATTACGATGTATAATTATTATTCAAAATATTAGTTTAATAATATCACAGGATTCCATTATATAATTATTTTCATGTTGTTAGATACTAAGACTATTTTATGTTTTTTGCCATTGTTAATATTGTAATGACTATCTTATCTTAAACCTATGTGTACATTTAAATCATTTCCTCAGTTCTATTTAAAAATGGAATTAGTAAAGAATTGGCAGGATTTTTTTAGGTTTTTGATATATAATAGTCAAAAGACTTCAAAAGAGTGCACTGCTTGACACTTCTTCCAAAAGTGAGCATGTAGAGACTTGAGTTTTATTTATCACATATAGGGTTTGATTTTTTAAAAATAGTTTTATCAGTTTGAGAAATGGTAATCTGTTTTTATTTTAACTTGCATTTCTTTTGTTACTTATAAAGTTAACATTTTTCACACAAAATTGGCCATTTAGATTTCTTTTTAAATGAACCCTTTGTTCATGAGTTTCACTCATTTTTTTGTGTGTATAGTATTCATCTTTTCTTTCTTTCTTTCTTTCTTCTTTCTGTTTTTTGTTTTTGTTTTTGTTTTTTTTTGACAGGACATCACTCTGTCACCCATGCTAGAGTGTAGCAGCAAGGTCACAGCTCACTGTAGCCTAGAATTCCTGGGCTCAAGGGATCCTCCCATGTCAATCTCCTGAGTAGTTTGGACTAAAGGCATGCACCACCATACTTGGTTAATTTTTTTATTTTTAATTTTTTGAGAGACAGGGATCTTGCTATGTTGCTCAAGCTGGTCCCTAACGCCTGGCCTGAAGCAATCTTCCCACTCCAGCTTTTTGAATAGCTGGGATTAAAGGCACAAGCCACCGGACCTGGCATGTTTTCTTTTTCTTCTTGATTTAACAATCAAAATCAACCCTTATTGATTTTTGAGACATCTATTATACAAGGCCAATAATCATGATTCATACATGTGGCAAATATTTTCCACATGTATTATTTCCTTTAACTTGCTTACAGTGAGTTTTGATATAAAGATTTTAAATTTCATGGAGAAAAGATTTTTTACTCTATACTGTTCCTTCTTTTCATGCTTCGAAAAATCTGTCTCTATCTTGAGATCAGATGGTCTCATATACTTTCTTGTAATTCATTTCTATCTTTAATCAATTTCAATTTAAGTGACATATGAAAGGGGCAACTATTTTTCTCTAATAATTAATAAATAGCTCCACATTAGATCAATATTTATTCAGCCTTCCTTTCAAAAATCACTTACTACAAAGCCTCTAGTCCACATTAAAATCTTACACATAGGGAGCTCAGTTTATAGGCTATTTTGTTTCATGTGTCAATTTTCTTAGCCAGTAACATTATCCCTTTTCTTAAGCATTATAGTTCTGTAATAATTTTAGTTACCTGGAAGTTCACGTTTTATATTTTTTATTTTTATTTATTTTATTTTATTTTATTTTATTTTATTTTATTTTATTTTAAGACAGAGTCTCGCACTGTCGCCCAGGCTGGATTGCAGCGGCGTGATCTCGGCTCACTGCAAGCTCCGCCTCCAGCATTCACGCCATTCTCCTGCCTCAGCCTCCAGAGTAACTGGGGCTATAGGCACCTGCCACCACGCCCGGCTAATTTTTTGTATTTTTTAGTAGAGACAGGGTTTCACCATGTTAACCAGGATGGTCTCGATCTCCTGACCTCGTGATCCACCCCCCTCGGCCTCCCAAAGTGCTGGGATTACAGGCGTGAGCCACTGTGCCCGACCCATGTCATCTATTTTTTCTTTCAAAATGTATTCAGCTACTCTCTTGCTTTGACCTTTTCGATGAATTTTAAAATCAGGTTGTTACCATGGAATACTATGCAGCCATAAAAAAGAACAAAATCATATCCTTTGCAACAATATGGATGCAGCTGGAGACCATTATCCTAAATGAAGTAATGCAGGAGCAGAAAACCAAATACCTCATGTTCTCACTTATAAGTGGGCGCTAAGCATTGGGTACTCATGGACATAAAGATGGCAACAATAGACACTGGGGACTACCAGAGTTGGGAAGAAGAGAGGGTGGCAAGGGTTGAAGAACTATTGGGTTAGTACCCTGGGAAAGGGATCAATTGTACCCCAAACCTCAGCATCCCAATATACCCTTGTAACAAACCTGCACGTGTACTCCTTGCATCTAAAATAAAAGTTGAAATTATTTGTTTTAAAAGAAGATGTGAAAAAATCAAGTTGTTAAATCCTCTCCAAAACTACCACTGATACTTTTCTTAAAATTACGCTGTTTATGTCTGAATTTGAGTTGGATTTATATTACCATACGGAGTCTTTTCACCCAGTGTAATGCATATTACCACTTAGTAAAGTCTTTTAAAGTTTTTCTTTATGGCTGTAAGTAAAGTCTCTGAGTTCTTAGAGGTCCTACTTACTTCCTCTTAAGTTTGTTTCTAGGTATTTAAAAATATTTTTGCCAAGCTATTGACAGAGGCAGACAAATGCCTAAGCAGATAGGGGCAGGTCCCTGGCAAAACCCCATGTCCAAGCTAAAGACAGTTTAAAGCCTGAAAACCAAGCTACAAGTTAAATCTTCGGACTGGATTGAGTACTTGTCGTCTTATTTGGCACACATTCATCTGATTAATCTCCACCCTTCACTTATTTAACATATACCTACCTTTTCCTAATTGGTTTTTCTACACAGTCATGCCCACCTTTGAGTGGTGTCTTCACTTTAACCTTTTTGCGTACTCACAAACCAATCAGTATGCACTCCCCATTCTGAGTCCATGAAGGGACCCAGACCCAGCCATGGGGCAACTATCCACTCCCACAACCCTCACCCCACATCACTTCTCCACTGAAAGCCATTTTCATCGTTATTCTCCATCTTCCTCACCCTTCAATGCCCTGCATATCCTCATTCTTCTTGAGCATGGTACAAGAGCTCAGGAACCACTAAACGCAGGTATAAGCTATAACACAGATGAACTGGGGCACATCAGCATGGCTGAGAGAGGCCCAGGTGGGGTGTTGCCAGCCAGGGGTCCTCAACTTGCAAAGTGACCGAGTAGAAAAATCCTACATCACTATTAGAAATGTGATTTTATTTTTTATTACACTTTCTCAATGGTTATTATATCAGATTTTATATTTATATTTTACTTCTAGGCCCAGCTTACTGATATGTCTTATTAATTTAACTTCAAGTGTAGCACACAAATCAAATATAAATAACATTTTTTGTTTCTTAATGGTACTAAGATGCAGTGAGTTCAGTTTTATTCCTGTTCTTAAACTACATCCACCCAACACCAAGTATTTCTTTATACCCATACCCAGTGCCTTTCATTTGGCCCATGCTGTGCTTGGCAGTGGAGCTCAGAAAGTTCCACTTTATATTCACCTTTCAGAGTTAATTTGTCCTTCAGAGTCTTCTCCCCCAACCCTCCCTTAAACCACAGTGAGAAGTTGAGTGTGTGTATTAATTATGCTTTCTGGCAGCCTCATGATGCTCATTTGGAGGCTTCCCGGACTTGGCAGCACTGACTTCCATTTTAATTAGCTTCTCAGGAGGTGTTTGCACAATTCATAAGATAAATAAGCCTGCACTGGAAGTGGGAAGCCCAGTTTATAGCAGCCTGGTCTCCTGAGTAAAGCTCCCTGGAGCAATGTTTCTGAGAAGAGTGATCTAAATTGTGACAAAGGAAACAGTGGACTTGGTTGAACTCATCCTCACTATGGATCGGAAGCTTGGGCTGTTGCTGGAAATTAGTGCAAAGCTGAACCATATTGGAGATCAAAAAGGAAAGAAAAAATTAGTAATTCTGATTCTGTCTGTACTTTAAAAATTTATACTTTGTTCATCATTGGCTTTTAGCATTAATTTTGATTTTTCAAGAATTATTGCATTAAAATATTCTTTATTTTGATTACTGAGGGTTTTTCTTGGCATTCCCTTACATTTTGTACCTGATATGAGTACCTTATTCATCTCACTATCATCCTGAACCTGCTCGAAATGCCCCTATAGTGGGTTGAACTGTGGCCCACCCAAAAAATATGCTCATGTCCTATCCCCTAGAGTCTGTAAATATGACCTTATTTGAAAAAAGGATCATTGCAGATGTAATTAATGATCTCAAGATAAGATCATCCTGGATAATCTAATGCAACTTAAGTCCAATAATAAAGATCCTTATAAGAGACAGGAGAAGAAAAGACACAGGCATACAGAGACAGAGGAGGTTTGTGAAGATAGATGCAGAGATTTGAGTTTTGCAACTATAAGCCCAGGAATGCCTGGAACTACCAGAAGTTGGAATAGGCAAGAAACATTGGGAGGGAGCATGGCTCTGCCTGTACCTTAATTTTGGACTTCTGGCTGCCAGAACTGTTAGAGAATAAATTTCTGTTGTTGTAAGCCTTCAAGTTTGTAGTCATTTGTTAAGGCAGCTTTAATCAACTAATACAGTCCCAAAGGCAAGTGTGTTGATAGAAGTCTATAAGCCAGACTGGGGAGAAACCTCAACCCTTAGGTCCAAGCCTGGGCAGCTGTAGGTGTTCCAAAGTTAGCAGAAAGAAACAAGCACAAAAGAAAAAAGTTGAAGGCAGTTTCTGGTGGATAAAATGTGTGTGTGTTTGTGTGTGTGTGTAATTTTTGTTGATTTATCAAATGTTTATTGAGTACTTTCTATTTGCCAACCCCTGTGTCAGGCACTATGTAAATGCACTAACACATTTGCACATAAATGCCCAAGCACAGATGTGCATGATTTAAATAAAATCATAAAAGATCAAACTAAATTATGAAGCAACTACAGAATTCTGATCAGTTTTTCCCAGAATGCTTGCCACATCCCTTCCGGCTCCTTAATAGATCTAGCAAAACCTCTTCTCTATTATTTCTTAATGGCTTTTGTTTACTGCTAGCTTGGTACTTTTTGTATTATATTATAATGGAAGATTCTCTTACCTTCTCTTTTCCCCCATAAGGTAAGCTCAATGAAGCTCAGTGAAGTCACAGATTGTCTTTTTAAATCTCTATTTCTCCAGCACTAAATACGTAGGTACTGAAAGAATGAATTAATCCATTTTTTAAAGAACAGAACCCAAATAATATTTTGAGAAAAACAATCAAACTCAAACTCAAACTCCTAGGCTCAAGTGATCCTCCTACCTCAGCCGGTAAATTAGCTGGTACTACAAGTGTACATTACCACACCCTACTTTGAAGATGTTCTTTTTTTTACACACATGTAATAGAAAGCCTTACAATAATATGCTTTCATTTCTTCATTCTCTGTTCTTATACTGTAGCTGTCATTTGTTTTACTTTTATATATACAACATAAATTATATACTGCATTGTTTTTATTTTTGTTTAAAGACGCAACTATCTTTTAAGGAGGATTTTTGTTTTTAAATAAGAAAAAGGTATGTATGTAATAGTATTGTTACCATTTCTAGTGTTCTTCATTCTTGGATGTAGATTCACATTTCCATCTGAAGGAAGTCCTTTTGTTTGAGGACTTCCTTTAGCAGTTCTGGTAGTGTGGATCTATTGGGACCATGCATTCTTTTATCTTTTTTATGTCTGAAAAGGTATTTATTTCACCTTCACTTTAAAAAGGTATTTTCATTTAGTAAGCAGTTCTTGGCTAACAGGATTTTTTTTTCTTTTCTTTTTTGGTGTCTTAAAGATGATGTTCCATTGTCTTCTTGCTTCCATTACTTCTGGCAGGCAATCTGCTGAACTTATGTTCAGTAACCTTTGTTACTCTGTATATAACATGACATTTTCCCCTTATCTGAATGTTTTTAAGGCTTTTATCGCTGGCTTTGAGCAATTTGATTGTCATGTGCTTTAACATAATTTTCTTCAAGTTTTTTTGTGGTTGGGTTTTTTGAGCTTTCTGAATTTGTGCATGTATTTTTTTAAATCAATTTTGGAAAATTTCCAGCATTTAAAAAATAATATTTTAATATACTAAATATATAATATAAGCATTGTAGATATTTAATTTTTTTGGATTTTGGAAGAAAATTAGTTTCAGGGACAACTATACATTATTAGGTCATTTGAAATTGTCCCAAATCACAATGATCACAACGATGATTGATTCATTTTTGTTTTTTCTTAATTCTCTTTTCTCTGTGTTTCATTTGGTTTTTGTTGTTCCATCTTTAAGCTCACTAATCTTTTCTTCCACAATATCTAATCTTCTAAAATTAACCCTATTTACTGTATTTTGAAAATATCTTCCCTATCTCTACTTTACGTAGTAAACATATGGAATACAACTTTTACTGTTGTTAAGAAAAACTCTAACAATTTTTCCTCTGTTTTCACACCAAAACAATAGTCAATACCAAAATACTTTGGTATTTCTCCCCACTGGCAAGCAAGCAATCAAATCTGTAGCAGACATCAGCTAGGTGTTCTTCAATTGAATTCCATTACTGTCTTTTGGAGATAGCATCAGATCCAACAGTTTGAGGGCTGAGCCTCAACCCTCAACCCTCAACCCCACAATGTCAGTTGCAAGTCTGGGCCTCCAGAACTTCTGATTCACCTGCTTCAAGTTCGAGTTCTCATGATTGCCACTTTGGGTTCCATTAATTTGCTAAAGGGGCTCACAGATCTCAGGGAGACACATTTACCAAGTTGTTATAAAAGACATTTTAAAGGATACAAATAAACAGCTGGATGAAGAGATACATAGGGCCAGGTCCAGAAGGATCCTGAGTGCAGAAGCCTCTGTCTCCCTGGAGTTGGGATGAGCCACCCTCCCAGCATGTGGTTGAGTTCTTGTTTACCTTTCTGTCAGCCTTCATGAGTTCAGCTCTCCAGAAGCCCCATGAACCCTGTCCTCTTGGCCCTTTTATGGAGACTTCAGTGGGTAGGCATGATTGAAGCATGGCCAACCATGTCAAAATATGATTGAACAAAAAGAGTGTGATCTACACCCAGCAAGTCCTGTCTGTTCAGATTCTACTTGGCATCTCTGCAACATATCTTTCTCCAGGATATGGGGCAGGATTCCCCCTCTGGAATGAGTGTTTCATGATCCACAATTAGATGAGTGTCCTGCCTTAGGCAGGTGAAAGGAGGGCAGACGAGTATCAGAAAGAGAGAGAGAAAAAGAGTCTATTTGTAACTTCTGTAGATCTGTTTGTAACAAGGGCTATGGGAGTTATGAGCCTGCAACTGTGGATGAAAACCTATATACATGAGAGTTATATATATGAAATATTACAAATCTATTCTTGTCTCTTAATTCTAACATTCAGAGTCAGTATTTTAATGATTTTTCTCCTTTCTATCAATTACAGTCTCTTCTCTCCATGCCTGATAATTTTTTATTGAATGCCATATACTGTGAATTTTACTTTGGTGCTGGATAATTTGTATTTCTATAAATATTCTTGAGATTTATTCTGCAATACAGTTAAATTGCTTAAAAACACTGATCTTTTTAAATCTTGCCTTTAAGATTTGTTAGGTGGGGTTGTAGCAGTGCTCACTCTAGAACTCATTATTCCTTACCTGTGGAAGTCCTTCCTGAGTATTCTGAAATTGCCCCCTGAATCATGACATTTTTGGCTGATGGATACAGGTACTATTGTCAGTCCTGTGTGAGCACAGGGCTTTGTTACTTCTTATCCTTTCTAGCAGTTCTTTGCCTTGAGTAGTTTTCTGGCACTTGTGTGCTAATCAGTGTTCTGCTATATACTTGAAGGGGGCTTTCTGAATTCCTCTCTCTGTGAAGCTCCTTCTTTTCTGGTACTCTGCTCTGAGAACTCTGCCCATCTTTTTCTTGCCTGATTCTCAGCTCTGGAGTCAGCCGGGCTCTGCTTGGGTTACTCTCCTCTATTCCATGGCTTGGAGACACTTTCAAGGCAGTAAACTAGGACAATCATGGGGCTTATGTCATTTGTTTCATGTCCCCAGAAATGACTCTTTTATTCACTCATGTCTTGAAAACCAGTGAATCATGATTTTTCAGTTTTTTTTCTTTTAGTTGTTTCAGGCAGATGATGAATCCAATTCCTGTTATTCCATATTGACTGGAAGTGGAATTCTGAGACTGCCTTTTCAAACTTCATATGTCCCAGCCCCACTGCCTAGAGTCTGATTCAGAATCTGTATTTTGCAAAAGCAGGGCATTCTGATGTACACTCTTAGTCATGAACCAGGAGACTAGATCTTTGCTCTTTAAAGGGTTGTTCAAGTACCAGCACTATCAGCATCACCTGGGAGCTTGCTAAATATACAGAATCTCAGGCCTCACCCCAGACCTACTGATTCAGAATCTGCATTTAAACAAGATCCTTAGGTGATTTATATGCACATTCAAATGTAAGAGGTGCCAGATCTGCTAACTTCAAAGTTCCCTTCCAATTCTAAAGTTCTATGTGCCTGTGAAATGGATAGGAGAGCAAGATAGATTGTAGAAAAGTTATAGCATGTTAAAAACCTGAGGTGGTAGGGTAAGTTTATTATATTAACTGCAAAAGACCTAGGAAAAGGAAAAATAGGAGAGCTAACAGGACAAAAAGAGCAACTACTTATTCCAGTTACTAGAAAGCGCGTAGCAGGTCTTAGGTACTTAGTAAATCATTTTCTTGACTGACTGACTGACCAACAGATGACTGGTTAGACACACTATCAAGGTTGGCATTGATAGGATTCTTACAGTGACAATTTAGACACAGAGAGCTCAAAAGAGGCAAAATAATTTGACTCAGAGGAGATAGTTTAGACTACTTAAGAAACATTAGTATTCAAGAGAGTTTGGTAAAAGCAGGTCCCAGAAAGTTAATTCTTTATAATTGAGGAAGTAACTAAGGGACTTGCAATTCCATGTAATTACAACCAAAGAGGAAGAGATTGCTGTTGAGGAGGAAATAACAGGCAGCTTTGGAGAAAGTGACCATGCCAGCTCCAAATTTACAACAGCCCGATATCCTGGTGTCAGGTTCTAACTGAGGTCCAAGGGGAGTCAGTGGATGACAGGTGGGTAGCTGGAAAAACACTTGAATCATATAGTTTTGATGTGGCTTTGTTCTGTCTCTGGACATGAGCAAACCTAGGCACAAGCAAGCCTGGGTGCGAGCCATGGGCACAAGATGTATGTACAGTGTTAGCAGGGTAACTATACCTTTTACAGACAATAGTGGCTCTGAACCAAGCACAGGCTCATGTGGGTGATCACCTAATGTGCCTCTTACGGCATGGTTACATAAGAGCGGAGGTGTGTGCCTGCGCTCCAAATTTGCTGAGTCATGCTGGACTGGTTATCTGCCTCAGCTTATTCTTGACCACAGCACATCTATTTTCCTTACATTCCACCCCCTAAGCCAAAGGAGACATTAGCTTTGGACACACAGGTCTGACACATAGGCCTTATACATAGGTTCTGGACACACAGGCCCTGGACACACGGGTCTGACACATAGGCCTTACATTCCACCCCCAAGGGAATGGGAATGGAATGTAAGGCTGAGGGAGTTTTTCTAGTGGGGAGACGTACCCACAGAGAGGAACCCTGGACCCAGAGGCCACAGTAGTAATACAGGGGGCAACAACTCTAAGTTATGGCAGGTAACCACCCCATGGTGACACTACCCCAATGTTGCTTTCTACATTAAGCCAGGTTTTTATTTCCCTACCTTTATGTGCATTGGGGCAGGCAACAACATGTTACTGTTCATCCCCATACCTGGTCAGAGGAGGTCATCCTTCCTCCCATAAGTTTTGCCACATGGCTTGGCCCTACATGGGCCGGTGACCATCTAGCTACTTCTGTAACTTCTGGGTATTTAACCACAAGGTTAAGCCTCAGTAAACTGCCCAGTCATTGGTGCAGATTACTGTAGGTGTCACCTCCTTAGTGGTCACTATTCACACTGCCCTGAGTTCAGACCATTGGCAAATTTGTCCACACCTGCTTTCAAACCATATGGTATCTATAGTAACTTGGACTGTAACAGTGGTCCAGGCAGCAGTAGCACCCCGGCTAGATTCATCTGTATACTATGCCCCATCAGGAATATGGGGGTGCCTCAGGCCTTATGGCCTTATCTTGCATTAGGACTACAGGTCCCAAGACCTTTTGCAGCTCTGCTGCTAAGGGACTTGTACTCAGAGTACTCCACTACTCTAAGTAGGCACCCCACTTTGCTAAATTGGGTGTCTGTGCTGTCCCAGTCCTGGGGGTCATTACCCAGGAACGCATCATTACCCCATCCCACTATCTGGTAAATCATCTGCATGACAACTGCAGCCCATCCTGTCACACTCCCACAAGCATGAAGGGCGGCATATACAGCTGCTAGCTGTTTCTCTGTCAAGGAATACCAGAGCTCAGCTACCTTCCATTACTGGGACTAAAAGCCTACTGGCATTCTCAAGCGCTTCATGCACTGGACATGAGCGAACCTAGGCACAAGCAAGCCTGGGTGCGAGCCATGGGCACAAGCTGTATGTACAGTGTTAGCAGAGTAACTATACCTTTTACAGACAATAGTGGCTCTGAGCCAAGCACAGGCTCGTGTGGGTGATCACCTAATGTGCCTCTTGTGGCATGGTTACATAAAAGCGGAGGCCCCAGCCGAAGCCATCTGTGGTCACATAGCACACCCAGCTCAAATGGGCACCCCGGTCAACCACCCATAGGGGTTGTGACTGCTGAATAGCCCATTTGGCTGCCAGGAAGGCAGTCTCAGCCACATCATCCCAATCTCAGGCAAGAGAAGTGTTGCCGCTTCTAAATCTGCAAGAGAATCAGAGATTAACATAATATTATCAAGAAGACCATGACATATGGTGGGGCTGTGCATATAGCCCTGCGACAACACTGTGAAAGTTCTTCCAGGACTAATCCCTCTGTGAGTGCTTTGGAATACATTATTTCTGCTTCTCAGGCAGCCAGTATCAATGATTCAATCTCTCTCCTCTATTTTCAATTGCTTTGTCTTAGCAGGGTGCTTTCCATTTTCATTAAAATATACTTAAGTAGCTCTTAAGTATGTTTAGTACTTTCAAAAGAAAAGTTTCCCTTACCTCTCATCCTCTTCTAGATAGCGCTTTATCTCAATCTTCCTTATTGCACCTGAACTTCTTATGTGTTCTCACTGCCTCTATTTTTTTCTTACTTCCTTTTTACTCTTTACTTACTAAAAACTAGCTAATGTACCATCACTCCAAGTTCATCAGTGATATTCGTATTTCTAAATAAAATAAATATTTTCCTTTTTTAAAAAAATAAATCTCTCAGGAGGATTTAATATTGTGACCCACGTCCTTCTTTACTCTCTTTGTTTAGCTTTCTTAGAAGCCAGAGTCTCTTGGTAGTTGTCCTAGTTCTTTGGTTTCTCTTTATCAATCTCCTTTACATGCCGATCTTTTTATGTCTCTTATGAACTAATAGAGTACCTGACGTGTCAGTCTTGTCTCTCACAACTTTTCTCATTCCACACTCTCTCCCTGGGACATCTCATGGCTTCAGATTCCTTATGTATGATCCCTGTGATAATTCCCATCCTGGACTTCTTTGAATTCCAGACTGTCATATTCCATTGTCTACTTCACATGCACTTTGGTGTCACAAAGCCACTCACATCAACACACTCAGAACTGGAATCATGCTTCTGTGCCAACTAATACTTTCCCAGTGTTTCTTTTTTTCAGAGAATGACTTAACCTTTCTAGTCATATTGGGCAAAAACTCGGGATCTAGTCTTGATTCTTTTTCTTCTCAACAGAATCCATCACTAAGATCTATAAATGCAATGTCTAAATAAGTCTACATCCATCCATTTATATCCATCTTTCAGCCTCACTTTAGTCCAAGGTATCATCTCATCTTGGCTGGATAACTGCAATAGCCTGCTAACAGATCTCCCATTTCTTTATTGTCCTCTTAAGATTTGTTCCTGCACTGCAATTAGGATGATCTTTCCAAATGGAATCTGATCATATCATTTCCCTATTTAAAAATGTTGGCAGACACTCATTATGTTTAAGAAAGAGCTCATTCTTATAATAGTCCAGCAGGTCCTGTGGGACCTGGCCTGTGCCACCTCACCAGCATTGATTCTGACGATTCCACTACCCCAAGTGAAACCAGTCAGCTTTCAGTTCCTCCTGGATGCCCTGCTCCTCCCACTCACTACGGGGCTTTATTACAAGTTGTTTTTATAGTCATAAAGGGCTCCCTTCCCTTTTTCTTACAAATTAGCCAAGGTGATTTTTAAAAATTAGTCTCACATTAGTGTATTTCCATCCTTTGGATAACTTGTACCAATTCCTAATAACACATCCACTTTTTTTTTTTTTTTTTTTTTTTTGAGACAGAGTCTCTCTCTCTTGCCCAGGCTAGAGTGCAGTGGCGCGATCTCGGCTCACTGCAAGCTCTGCCTCCCGGGTTCACGCCATTCTCCTGCCTCACCCTCCTGAGTAGCTGGGACTACAGGTGCCACCACCAGGCCGGCTAATTTTTTTTATTTTTAGTAGAGATAGGGTTTCACCGTGTTAGCCAGGATGGTCTCGATCTCCTGACCTCATGATCCGCCCGTCTCGGTCTCCCAAAGTGCTGAGATTACAGGCATGAGCCACCGCACCCGCCCAACACATCCACTTTTAAAAATGTTATTATCTGTCTCTTTGACTGCAGCTTTACTTAATGAATAGGGTTTTCCTCTGCTTGTATGTCCCTGTATCCTTAAGGTCTAATAGAATACTTGGTCCACAGTATGTACTCTATAAATAGTTTTGAAATAAATGAATTTATGAATGGCCTCAAAAATACTCTTTCCCATTCTCTACTTTGTACATGCTCTCCCTTCCCCTGTAACAAATTTCTTCCTGCTCTTCATCTCTCGATCCAGGTTTATTGACAGCTTTCTACACATTCTTAAAGACTCAACCTTGTCCTTCTATCAGAAATGTTCCCTAATTTACTCTCCCAAAGGAGTTAGATGCTCCCAATTTTGTGTTCTTTATGTGTTTCTTTAGTCAGCATTTCTTATACTGGACTGAAGGTTTTTGTTTGTACATCCATTTTCTTATATACTCCAATACTTAAAACATAGGGACAATGTCTTAGAACAGTGCCTGAAAGTATTCAGGACTCAGTACATGTTTACTGAATTAATCAATGGTAGGTTCTGAAGAACCCATTCAAATGAGATAGATTCCCCTGTCATCCTTCACTACTCCATGGGGATCCTTTTTGAAACTGTATTTGATGGAAGAAGACAGTGTTCTTCAGTTAAAAGAATATGTCTTTAACTTGCATCCGTGTGCACAAATATCATGTGCTTCTGCTAGACTTGCCACGTAAAGCAAAGGGGAGTTGGGAGAGCATCTCTGTTCTTTAAGTAGTTTCATGTTTCTAGGCACATGATTTCCCACAATACTGAAAGGGCTTTTCAATGTGTTTTTGGCTTATAATTGGTGATCTATCAGAAATCAGAGAGAACACAAAGCAGACCAGAAATCTGGGGGTGTGTGATAGGCAAATATTTTCCCACTCTTTAGAAAGAAAGAGTCCAGCACTACACGATGTCAAGCATGACATCAATTGTATGAAAAATTCTGGAATGGATTATTATCTCATGGTTTGTAGGCCGTTTGAGAGGGCAGTAACTAGCATTAATTCCCTAAGGACAAGACATGCTATCACAGTCTCTTTCCTCCGTTAGTTAGAGCTAATAGATTATACTAAGAAGGCAAATGCTTTAGACATGGTATGTCTGAATTTCAGAAAAGTCTTTGATCACATTTTTCCTGATATGTTTTTGTCCAGATTGGCCTAGGTGATGGTGTGTATAGGTGAATTTATAATTGACTTAGTGCCATTGCCCATGGAACATTGACTAATGGATCAATGCTGATGAGGCAGACTTTAGGCAGCTTAACACATACCCATCCCAGTCCTGTTCTAGTTAACATTTTACTAAACTGTAAACAAAAATATAAAATACATTATTATCTTTAGATAATAAATTCTGGTAGGAAGGGCATAGTTTGTGAGCTATCAGGATGAGAATTCAAAATAATTTTTAGGCCAAAAGTAATGAATTAAAACAGCAATATGAAGATTTTTTTCCATGCACATATTATCTCATTTAATCATCATAGTAGGGTATTAATATTACTAATAACCCTCATTTATTGTATGCCCTGAATGTGCTAGATGCTTACCTTTGCCTTTCCAAATAATATCTTTTTTTGAGACAGAGTTTTGCTCCTGTTGCCCAGGCTGGAGTGCAATGGTGCGATCTCGGCTCACCGCAACCTCTGCCTCCCAGGTTCAAGTGATTCTCCTGCCTCAGCCTCCTGAGTAGCTGGGACTACAAGCATGCACCACCATGCCTGGCTAATTTTGTATTTTTAGCAGAGAGGGAGTTTCTCCATGTTGGTCAGGTTGGTCTCAAACTCCTGACCTCAGGTGATCTGCCCACCTCAGCCTCCCGAAGTGCTGGGATTACAGGCGTGAGCCACTGCACCTGGCCTCCAAATAATTTTATACATATATAATATTTCTGCTACAGAAAAGGAAACTGAAGGTCAAATAAATTGCATACCTTCTATGACATTGTACAGGTAATGCTGGAGCTGGGATTTACAAACAGGTCAATCTGACACTCAAACTGAAAACCCTCTTTCTTATACCCTACTTGTTTTTCAGATGAAATGTATCAGAGAAGTATAAATTCTGCACTAAAATTCAGAAACTTCATTGTATAAGAACAAAGTGGAGAAGATTTAGTTTAACAGTGGTTCATGTGAAAAGGTATGAAGCATTTGGTTTGCCTGTAAGCATCTTATGAATTATCCAGATGAGTCACTGACATCCCTCCAAATGAATACAATCTTGGATTATAGAATACAGCCCAGAAAAAAGAAGGGCAAGAATCACACTGTGCCCTACCATGAGTGAAATATGGTGCTTGGTTCTGAGGCACTCACCCTAAAAGAGCACTGTCTATTTGAGCAAGCCCAGAATAATTTGACCAGAACGATGAAGATAGGTCATATGAATAATGGTTGAAGGAGCTACAATGTAGAAAACATGCTACATTTAGCTGTATATAGTTAACATTTGTTCATGCATATTATGAGCCAGACACTATTTTTACTATTTTACAGCTTTAATTCATTTAATTCTCAAGATAATCTTATTAAATAGGTGCTGTTATTATTACTTCTATTTTACAGATGAGGAAATCGAAGTGCAGAGAGGTGATATAAACTTTCCCAAGGTCACATAGTCAAAAAGTCTGGTTCCTATTTTCAAGTGGAACAGGAAATTAGAGGAGAAATTACATACCTTATTTAGCTAGAAATATTTTAAAAAATCAAACAAGAAAGGTTGCTCTAGAAGAGTACACTTTGATTCCCAGAAACCTAATAATTTACATTATTTCAAAAGGGCCTTGCTGAGTTATCTATTACCTGATGCTTTCAAACAGGCATATTTTTGGAGGGATTCTATAGCATTGAAGAGGATGAATAATATGATTTACATGTTTCCTTCCAACTCAATGAGCCTATCAGTGTCAGCATAGTCCCATATGATGGGTTAAAGTGAGAGCATTTATCCTCCCAGAATCTTGAAGCTTATGTAGAAACATCTAGATTAACTGGAACTTGATTTCAAGAACCCTAAATTAATCAAAATGTGTTGCTGCCTTCTGCTTTTAGAGGTGATTTTTGGATGTTTTTAAATATTAATTAATCCCTTCATCCACGAGTACATACATTCAGATAACAAAGATTTATTGAGCATCTACTGTATGTAACACTATGCCTGATTTCATCTTTGGCTGTCTATTGTTAGCTCCATTTAATGATGAGAACATTTAAGCTCAAAAATTTAAGCAATTTGCCCAAATCCCCACAGGTAGGAAGGTACAGGAAAAGACTTGGAACACAGGTTTGTCAAACTCTGCTTTTTCCAGTGTACTCTACTCCTTTGGCAAGAAAATCAAGTAGATCCATATTTCACAAGTAATTTCAATAAAAAGGGTTCTACTTGTGTCTTGGGTCATTAGCTCAACAAACATCACCGGTTCTCCTTTCGCTTAGGGCTGGTATAGTGTTTGTTGGTGAAGAATACAAAGGTTAAAAAAAGAGACCAGGCAAAAAACATTGTTCTGTCTTGGAGAGGGTTCAGTGCTGGGTGGGGAGACATCTGAGAACAGATTATTGCAATTAAGTGAGAAAAGCTGAAAGTTAAATTGCCTAGAGTGTGCATTCTTCTGATCTTCCTGTTAATTGAAATTTTACATCATCAACATCCAGATTGATGCAACAAATGTCTGAGCATGAACGCTGTGCCAGGAGGAGAAAGTACTAGGCATGGTTTCTGCACTCATGAAGGGTCTAGTTAGCTTGGATGCCTGAGGTCTGACCTGGTTCTTGAGATTTCCGTATAGGAAACTAGTGAAACTGTGCAGTTTCATCTTACCTAAAAGTTAGTTAGAAGTCAGCCAGTAAGATAAAACCAGGATATAACAAAATTTACTGTTTAAAATAGCTATATTGGGCATAATATGCTGTCCATGATGAGTTCACAATGAATATCTGAAGACAGTGGGGGTGAAAGAACACCTCAGCTGCAGGCATGATTCTCTGTTTTGGAGCGGTGGATCTCTACTCCAATTGCACGTTAAGATTACCTAGGGAGAGACTGGGTGCAGTGCCTTGTGCCTATAATCCTAGCACTTTGGGAGGCTGAAGTGGGCAGATTGCCTGAGCTCAGGAGTTCGAGACCAGCCCGGGCAACATGGTGAAACCCCATCTCTACTAAGATACAAAAAATTAGCCAGGTGTGGTGGCATGCACCTGTAGTCCCAGCTATATGGGAGGCTGAGGCACAAGAATTGCTTGAATCTGGGAAGTAGAGGTTGCAGTGAGCCGAGATCATGTCAGTGCACTCCAGCCTGGGGGAAATTTTTAAAATCTGATGCCCAGGGCTTTGCCCAAGATCAATTCAATCAGAAATCTGGGAGGAGGATGGGCCCCAAACAAGTGTTTTTAAATATATGTATTTCCCACATGATTCTTATTTGCAATAAGGGTTAATTAAGAACCTCTTCTCAGTAGAAAACAAACCTGCAAATATTTCTAGCTCTGGGCATTGTAAAACTCACACCTCTGGCTATTGTAAGCAATTTATTTTGCTCCTTTTCAAACTCTCAGAGATGGTGAGGCACAATCAGATATCAGAGATGATGGAAAATGTTGGAAATAGCTCTGCAACTAGCAGGCAAGCTGGTTCTGAAATGTCGGCTCATCTTAATTTCAGCTGTGTTTAGAGAAGACCATCTTACTGGTTCACAGAGCACTCCCTTGTGGCTAAATTATTATGGGCCAACACCGATTCTTGTTTGCAACCTTCTGCAACAAACACACACATAAACACACACACACACACACACACACACACACTCTTCTCAGGATAAAATATTTTAAAATGCTGACTTTAAGATTTCAACAAAGCATTAAGTATTTTTCTTATATATAAAAAGTTCTTTCCAGAAAGAAAATCCTAGCCATATGACCAACAAGAGGCTGCATGGATCACTGAGAAAACCCTGAGTGTCCACCCATGCTCTGTGGGTTGTGGTTTAAGATGACTCTTTGGACCTCAGATTCTTCATGTGTCAAATGAATCAATGGGACTCTCTGACTGCATTATACTAATGTTCTATAATCTATGATTCACTTTTCTAGAGGACTCAGCCAAGTTGGGGATTCCCTTATTTATCTAGTAGATTAAACTCTTCAGACTCTTAAAGAGGTAGAAGGAAATAGTTCGAGATGAGCAAAGTGGTTTTGTTTTGTTTTCCTTCCTCAACCCCCTTCCTGCATCATTGAGCTGGGTGAACAGTTGCTAAGAAAAAAGCGAAATGTTCCAAACTAGGGGACTTTTTGGACATAGATTCTGAAACTTCAGTTGTGATGTTGGCTGGACACAGTGGTTGGCTTTCTTTGTGGGGAATGGCACAAGAGAAGAGAAAGATCTGCTTTTCATATGTCAGAACTAATTGTGAAATAAGTGGGCCTACAGACTAATCTAATCATGCTTTTCTTTATTCACCTCATATAAAAGTCTCTTTAGAATGCATTTGAACACAATATATAATAATAATACTATAACATACATTGTGAGAAACATTTGAAAATGATAAAATGTCCACCTGAAACAATGCAGTGTTCATAGACATACATTGGTCATGCACATTTGTGCCATTTTCTGTAATTACTGAGTCACAATGCTGAACTGAAAGCATGAAACATATTTTACAAACTGAAACTGACATCAGTAAGAGGCCTAACAAGTGTTATCAGAAGAGGCTTCACATTTGCGTAATTTGCTACATCAGTTCACATTTTATTATAAAAATTCACATTGTTTTATTGTTTTCTTTTGTAATGAACTGGAACATGACATTCCTGCTTAATGGCAGGCAGGAGGCTACCTCTTCAAAGTCAGTAGTTCGGGAGCATTCAGAAGAATCATCTGTGAGCAAATGTAGTGTTTCCTTTTGAACCAAAGCCACAATGATAGTAGGATCCAGTTATAACCCAACTCATGCCCACATAGATTTGGATAGAACCTGGGTAAAAACTACATCCCATTGCCCCCTGCCCCTATCAAGCTATACAAAAGTAAAAGCTCAGTATAAACCATTTAGTATCTAATGTGAGAATATTGTTTCCAAAACTGGTTCATAAAGGGGTTGTGCAGAAGTAGCAACTCAGGCAGGGAAAGGGCAGACCCTTTGAACAAAAGCCCACCCCTGTCCTCTCTGCCAAGGGGGCCATATGTCTCTACTAAGTGACGTTTGGGTTATATAATACACAATACAAAACATTACAAGAAAAAGTCGTAACTCTTAGGCAGAGTTTTCTACACAAATTTAACACCACCATTGGCAGGCAATGTTAGATATATAAATTAATAACTTACAAAACATTACATTATATACATTAAGTAATAAATACACGGTTATAAACAGGAATGGAGGTGTTAGCGCAGAAGGCAGTGCAAGAGAAGGACGGCAGCATTACATTGAAAACAGCCTAACGGGGTGAAGAGAGGAGGTAGGGAACAGGGCCAGGGACTGTACAACTCCTGTGGGGGGCAGGGTCCAAGACACAGCAGGGCACACTGCTGAGTTCTATGCAGACTCTCACGGTGAACGACACCACTGCTCCTTTCTACCCCCTAATTTGTTCAATTTTATTCTGTTTACAGCAAAAAGTTAAAAGTACTGTTGGAGGCAGGCAAACAGAGAGAAGTTTTAAGAGTGACTGTGGAGTTGGACTGGACAACAGGGGAAGGAAGTAAAATGTGGTTAGAAGTGTATCCTTTCTGTCTGTTTGCAAAAGTAACTGTAGTAAAGTGAAGGATATTGCCCAAGAAAGAAGGAAGACTATTTTCTTTCCCTTTTCCAGAAAGAGTCAAAAAAGTTTGTCAACTTTGAAAGCTTATCTGTGTAGAAGTTGATACTAAACTCCAGGTATTCAACAGGCATTTTAAAGACATGAAAATGTTTTACAAAAAAGGCACACAGGTTGGCAGACAAAGGGACAAGTGAGAAGATTCATAAATGAAGTTATTAGTCAGTGAGTTCAGTCACTGTCGGGGATAAGTTCCCGAAACTTAGTGCAGAATGATCTCTCAGTTTTGTGTCTTCCATTTTCAAGCCATGTGTCTTGATCAGAATCGGCCCCCAGCAACAGCTTCAGCCCTCTCCACCAAGCTTGCCATCAAGGCAAGTCAACCGTGGGATTTCCTGAGCTGCTATTTGCTTCCTGGTCTTGCTTTCTGACTCCAAACTCAAGTAACTGAAAGGCCAGGTGGCCCTTGTCCTGTGCAGGTCTTGGCCCCCATGGTGGGCTGGCCCTACCACATAGCTGGCATGCTCATCAAGGATAGAATGTTCATCTCCACAGGGAGAGGGGGATTATGTATCCACGGGGGACTTGTCTTCTGTTGCAATGTCTATGTCAGTCTCTCCCAGGGAATCTCTGTTTTCTGGATCAATCACACAAAGCGTCTTTGTGCTGCTGAAATAGCTGTGTCCCTCTCCCTCCTTCTCAGGTCCTTCAGAATCTTCCTCATCGAGAGTCAGTTCAAACTGAAACTTCTCCATCAGACCCTGGCAGTCCCTGTTCTGCTCGTCCAGTGGTGGTGAGGGACTTTGAGGTATCATGCTCTGATACCAGTTCCTGTTATCTTCTAAGGTATCGAGAATGTCCTGAGCATCAGGCTGTACCAAATCTGCCCATGTCTCCCACAATGGATGGACAATGTAGTCGATGAAACCAACCTGGAGAAAAATAAGATGACACATCTGTTATTGTGATGGTGCTTGAAAAGTAAACAAGGTTTCCTGGTTTCCATGCAAAGAAAGAACATTAATAACTTCAGAAAGATCAATCATAATGGATTCCATGATTTGGGCACTCACAATACAGTGGGTCTTACACTGAATGCAATCGATGTATTCTCTCTTAATCCTGGAAGGTAAGTATTGCTGTTTACTATTTACAAAGGCAGAAACTACGACTTATTGAGATTAAATATCTTGTCAGAGGTCACATAACTAGTGACTGGTGGAGCTGGGACTCAGTCCCAGCTTCATCTGATTCCAAAGCCCGTGTTCATCTTGCTACAACAGACTGCATTTCCTTTTATGTGCGCCAGATAAGAAGTCTGGATGGAATCCTCATGATTTCCAGGGACCCAAAGACAAAGAATGACTTTGCCACTACTTGGATTCTGTGAGTCATTTTCTGAAGAAGGCAGGCCCAGGTCTAACGTGTTTTGACTCAATATTTTTTCCTTGTTAACTTTAAAATATGTTGCTATTCCAAAGTGATGAGGAGCTGGCTCCTGACTACTCTGGAATTTCTCAAGTTCTGTGGAATGCTTTTGGCTGGTAGAGGAGTTTGATGAAACACGTGAAAATACTTTGAGCCCTGAAAGAAACACATATCCCCTCGGTGGACATCCATGCAATTGTTTTGGATCTACAGAGCACGCAGTCATTTCCAACAGGTGAAAGAAGGGAAAATAAAAAACAATTAAGCAGTTCCTTTTGCTGATGTTCCTGTGATTAAATACCAGGCTTATGGCTCTGTTATGGTTTACTCAGGGGCTATGCATCCTGCATGAGCTAGCAGTGTGGCCTTACGCTGGCCTCCTCATTGTTGGACAAACAGGAAACACTGGGGGTGGGGACAAGTAGAGAGAAAGAACAGGCACTAGTTGAATGAGGGAAGGGAATTCCCCTGCCATGGTCTGGGGAGCTACAGAGATGCTGCATTGGGATTTAGGGGTAGATGGTCAAAGGGCACCCACCCATGGGACATTATATAGGTCTCTTTCCACACTACTGGAAACTTTCCTTTATTAACATGTTGGTAATTGGCCAGTCATTTAATACATCCAAGTTGTACTGTACACAAGAACTTTGGTCATATGTGATTCTTTCATAAATAAAATTATATATATATATATATATATATATATATATATATATATAGTATGATGTGTGTGTATATATATATATATATATGTATGATGTGTGTATATATATATGTATGATATATATATATTTTCTTATTCTTCTTCTTTCTGGTGCTTTCCTAGCCTTAAAAAGGAAGTTTCACAGCAAAGTCAGGGAATCTCTGATCTATACTGGTTACAAAAACTCAACCGTACATGATTCAGATATTTCTCTCACTTCCACCCACTCCTTTTCCCTCCCTTTTACTTCTTTATGTGTGCTTAATGAATGTTAGAGACTATTTTCAAGGTGTTTTCCAGGGACCCAAAATAACAAGCTCAAGGTAATGGAGAAAATTGAATAAGCTGAACACAGTGCAGTCATTTCCTTTCTTCGCTTGTTTTGCTTCTGCTAAGAAATGCTGAGAATGTTTTTGAAAGGTAGCTGCTAGTTATTTATTCCCTAGATCACAGGACGAGAGAGCTGTATGAATCCTGAGAGCACCCAGTAAAGAGCTTTACTGCTGGGCCAATCAGACAGTGTTCAGCAGAGCCCATTGGTGGGAAATACCAGAGTGGATAACGATGTCATGGCAACAGGAAGACCTGTCCCTAAGATGGAGAGTGAAGAGCTTTGGATGAGAGAGCTGCTGTAGTGGACCAAGAGGACAGCTTTGCACCTGACATGCTGGGGAAATATCTACTTTATCTATCTTGCAAGGCTGTTTGGGGATCCAAGTAAGATAATGTATGGAAAATGTGTGAAATGCTCCACAGAACATCATATAAACATAAAACATCACTGCTATTAATAAAAGGGTGTTATTCCTCCTTACTGATTCATATCTTGTTCCACTTAAGCCTTTGGGCTATTCGAATTAACCCTCATTAACAATGTTAACTTGCATTTTTACAGTATATTAGACTTCAGAGCACTTTCACAGATTTCTTTCTTTTTTTTTTTTTTTTTTTTTTTTTTTTGAGATAGAGTCTTGCTCTGTTGCCCAGGCTGGAATGCAGTGGCACAATCTCAGCTCACTGCAACGTCCGCCTCCTGGGTTCAAGCAATTTTCCTGTCTCAGCTTCCCGAGTAGCTGGGACTACAGGCACACACTACCATGCTCGACCAATTTTTTGTGTGTTTTTGGTAGAGACAGGGTTTCACCATGTTGGCCAGGCTGGTTTTGAACTCCTGACCTCAGGTGATCCGTCCACCTCAGCCTCCCAAAGTGCTGGATTACAGGCATGAGCCACTGTGCCCAGCCCTTTCACAGATTTTTTAAACTCATTTAGTTGGGTTTCTCTAAGAAGCAACAAAATAAATATTGCAAAGGAACTGTATATTAATATTACAAGTATATGCAAATTTGGAGTATCCAGGTAGTAGGGAAAGAGGATAAATACTGAAAATAAACAATCCAAATGTTTTTGGGATAAAGATCTTGGACAGTCTATGAACTCATTCTCAATCTCAGCTACTTGGCTCAGCCCATTCGTTTTCTTGAAAAATCTTTGTATGGATACTGATACTTTCCATTGCTGCATATTCTGCAGCTATTGGCATCTGGACATTTCTGTATTCACCCCTCCAGACTATTGTCCCCTGTCCTGAGCACACACAGAATGTGTTGCTTTGGACACAACCAGAAAATGTCAGCATGTTCTCAAAAGCATAGAAGCATCCTTGGGAGGGAAGACAAGACAGGGCTTTGACTATGCAGTAAAAGAGACTGCCTCTGGTGATGGTCACCGTGGGCTTGATTAAGGACAGAAGATAAAAACAGAGGGCTGGAAGCAAGGATGAGGAGTAGAGTTCTTGAATGAAGACAGAGCTAGGAGAAATCCAGAGGGTTGGGATGGAGGAGACACTGATGTTCATATTATTCAGCTGGATTTGCTAACATCAGAGACAACTATCTAAATGATTTAGGGACACATAGTCCAAATTTTGATGGGTTTCTGATGACTACTTTTCCCCACCCTGTGAAACTGAGTGTAATGGAGAAGTCGCATGAGTCCTGACTATAATGGAACAAAATGCGTAGTTGTCTCCTTATTGTTTCATATATACATATTCTATTGGAAAAACGGAATTAAATAGAACCCTCCAGCTCTATAATCAGCAGAGCTCACAAAAACTTTGAAAATCTCATATTAGATACCTGGGATTTTTCCACAGAAGCTGTGTGTTTATCACACATTGGGCTAATTTCCATTCCCCTCTCCCGCTCTTTGTCTCCCTGCTGGAAAAATTCCTCCATGATGCGGTCTGTCCATTGCCGATACAATTCCAAGGACTTGGTGGGGTTGCTCAGGTCTGCACAGTGTACCATGTTGCGAAGGACCTGAAATCATCAAGTTTTGGAAATCTCATAAAATTAGGTGTAAATACTGCCGGAACATCTCATGCCTCTCATACTAGTACGCTTGGTACTAAACCCGAGAACATTTTAGTTGCATTATAATTATGACATATGCACCGAAAAAAAATGGAATTACAATGATGCTAGCCTGGGTCAGTTATTTACTTTTATAGAGTCCCAAAGGGGAAAACGTGTGTCTTCTTAGACCGACAGTCATTGAATTTAAAAATTGGAAGGAACATTAGAGGTCAGATGCTGCTATCATTTCCTTTTCTCAGTTTGGAAAGAATGCAAAGAATTACTCAAAGTAGATAACTTCATATTTTCCACTTGTGGAAAGAGGAGAACAGCTGATGGCAATTTGTATATCCAAAACAGACCTAACAAACTTCAAGTCAATGGGATTTAAATCCAAACACAAGCTTTTGGAACCAACAGTCACGTATGCCCTATTACAAATAGATTTTGCGATTTATTTATATAACTAATAAGCAGTTCCACAAATAGAGATTATTTTTCCTCATAAATTAGAAGATAAACTTGAATGTCCATTTTCCTTAGCTTGTTCTTAAAATAAGCCCTAAGCTATAGGAGTAGCCTAGGATATACCAATAACTGAATTTATCTTTGTTTTCTTTTTCTAATTGTTGTTCAGCTTAGTTTGGTTTGGTTTTGTGTTAAATCAAAGACTTTCCTCAAATACCTGAATGCGATCGGTATAGTTGTCTAGGAGAAGAACGCCTGAACTTGTAACTTTCTTCGTTTCTACCATTGTCTTCAGGTCTGCCAGCAGGCTCATATGTTTAGACATATCAGTTGCTAACACCTTGGGTAAAAAGAAAATGAAAACTCTTAATAAATTCAGTCTATCAGAGAGAATGGCAGTAAGTGAGGAATGTAGAGAGGCTAAAGTCTTACCATGTCAATAACCATCTTCCTGAGTGTCTGACGCTGCTTCTTGGTGAGATTCATGAAGATGTCACAGTGTTCTTCTTGCAGCAGTTTGAAACCCACAGCAAGGTGATGATTTTCCAACACAGATTCATCATTATACATCAAAGCAAGTTCTGAATCTAATAAATCAGACCAAATGATGACTTAATTAAAAAGGGATATGATTTGAATGTTGGCATTATCTCAAAGTGAAATCAGACCTAGTTCTCTCCAAATTATTTCAAGAACCACCAGCTACATGTCATTTCCTCTTAGAGAAGCAGTGGCCCTCTACAAACAGAAGTCATCAGTTTCTAAGCAAAAAATGCTTCTACTGGTGTATAAGCTTTCCCTGTGATTAAAATTCATTGTATTTTAAAATCCTTTTACTCCTTCTATATCTCAGATGAAGAATTTAATATTAGGTAAGGGCATTCCTGAGCAGCTAAATCCTATTTTTATGTATCTTCAAAAATTTTGTACTTTGGAAAAGAACAACATGAAAGTACCACTAAACTTTATGAATTGTATTGAGACTTTCAAGCTATATTCACATTTTACATTCTCCCTAATCTCCGGCAATTGTGAATTTTGGATGGTTAAAGATAATGCTTGATGTAAAACTTCATTTTACCCAAATACTGTCACTTTTTAGAGCTTTCTATTAATATGATACTAAACATTACTACTTTTTGGGAACAATTCTGATGTCAAATTTTCTGTCTTTTGGCTCTCTCCACCAGAAATTGCAATATCTGGAAACCTAAGCTGCAGCTTCCAGCCTGCCTTTTATATAGAAGAATCACAGGCATCTTTTGTTAGACAGAAGTCTGCTTGAGAATATGGTCATCAGACTTATGAAACCACATTTTCTCTTAATCAAGAATACCAGACAAGTGGTGGTAATGTGTTACTTAATTACAGGTTCTGTTACACATATATCATTGCTTTAACAGTGTGCTCTTAGTTACAACCTCCAATGAGTACTCTTGTTTTGTTCATCCTGTGATCAAGGCCACAGATCTACAAGCAGGCTTTATATGTTGCAGTGCTATAGGTGACTGTGGTAGATAGACCATTTTTCTGTGTGAGGCTAACTGGCCTATATATGATTCATGACACCACATTCTACCAACTGATACAATCCATGCAGACATGTAGCTGCCCCAACATTTTGTTTGTTCAACAGAAGAATGAAGTAAAAGGACCCAGTGTACTCCAAACCTAGGTCATTCAGATATTCTTTGGATAAAGGTCAAGGACTGATGATCAGGACTCTTTTACAGCAAGTAGCTCAAAAAGCATTTCTAGAAAACTGTCAGTACTTGATGTTATTCATGACTACAATAACCAATATTCTCAAAGTACTTAGATTTCCAGCACTTAGAGATAGTACATTATTTGAGAAAATGAATGGATTTTCAAAGGTATGAAAACTAAACATTTTAAGCATGACAAAAGCTTTGAGTATGGCTTGGAATCCTAAGGCTAGACCACCCCTGGTCACTCAGGTCATTGCTACTCCCAATCCATAATCAAATCTATGCAGTTGGAAGAAAATGTATGGAACTTTTAATGACCCTTCCTTCTGAACTGTGGAAACTCATTCCAGTGCTTTTTATGGCATCTTATTTTTACCTGGAGGTTCCCATGTGCAGATTCAACATTTGTGGCTGCTTCCCAAGCAGATAGGGACAGTAGTGAGTTACTATGCTCTGTGCGAGAGTTTTGCATAATATAAAAAGTCATTATCATGGGATCCCCAAACCTTTTATTGTTCTTTATGAATAATTCCATATCTATTATTCTTTCCTTACATATTGTATTTGCCAAATTTTGAGTACTTTTTATGGCTCCCCTATGACCCTCTCCAAGTTCTCCATGCAGCTCAAACATTGTGTTGCCAGATTGGACTGAGTATCCACGAAAGGCCTGACCAGTTTGAGAGAAATGGAAGGATTGCCTCATTATTATCCTTGTGATTATCCATAATGAAAACATTAGGAGGAAAAAAATTAAGCAGTGAATCATACAATTATCTGGAATGACTGCTGTAGTGGTGAACTCACTTGTGTTGATGAGAAACTGATTGGAGACTCCAGGATGATCAACGTCATGGATGGCAGCTGCAAAAATGGCAGCCAGGATCTCCAAATCTGTGAAGACAGCCTGTCGGGCAAATAAACACATTTAACTACACATCCAATTCGCCTATCCTGCTTATTCAGTTTCATTTGTAAAGTATCCTACTTTATTCTTGTTGGGAGAGGGATTGTTGATTTATGTAATATCTCAATATACTAATTTAAGTAAATGTAGATTCTGTTCATCATCATAAAGTCTCTGATGTGAAAGGGATGATGGCCAGAGCTCAATCTCACATCAAGCCTAAAGGCTGATGCTTGGAAAGATATTAGCACAAATCTCATGGAGTGTGTAAACGTCTAATGTTTGTTTCTTGGACCAGTGATGTGGCAGCATGGTGCTTATGTAACACAAGCAGATACAAGTCAAAGAAGCAAGTCAGACTGGCTCTGCTCTGAGACATAACAACCTTCATATACTCTTAGCTGAATAACTTAGAGAAAAATGGCCAAACTCCCGATTCATAAGATAAGCAATAAATTATTTCCCAAAGCTAAATTTATGGTGTGGTCACAAGCTTTCAGATATTATTCATTCATTCAGTACGTACCCACTAATCACTTACTAGGGGAAGATTTGAGAACCTTTCTAAGAAGTGAAACCTGAGGCCCCACTGCTGAATTCCTTCATGTCATGTCATGAATGCTTCTCTGCCCCCACCCATGCACAATGATTCAAACCTAGTATTAATAAGGTATATACTGGTGCTCATTCTAGAGCTGAAATGTCTTTCCTCATCCTCTGTGATTAGTTAAATCTTCTGGTCCTTCAAATGCCAGCTTGAGGTGGGTTTCCACCTCTCCTATAAAGACCAATCACATTACCCAAGCACTCATTGAGCTCTCCCTTTTCTAAAAAGTTTGCAGCACTCATCATTGTCAATTTCTGGCCACACAGCAGGTATACTATTAATAACAGTGAGCAGTTGATAGATAGTGTTGCCTCACTCTATGATACTTACACAGGGTATAAAAACAGTACTCTTTCTCTCCTTCAGAGGGATCAAACACCCTTAGCTCCATCTCACTTTCTCAAGATTTCTTGGATTTCTTTTCTTAGAAAATATGCAACACAAGCAATAGAGTTGCCACAAAAAAGTTGTGGCCAATCTTTTTTCACCTTCCAAACTGAATCTGTAAAGGTGAGGCTGGACAGGGCATGGCCAGTCTCTTCCTGCAGTGGTCCAGCACATTTTGGGAGTACTTGACCATCATTTTCATTTGTCAAGTAAGAGTATGACCTGCTGTACACATTGTTGATGATATCGGTATACACAAATGCATTAATCTATGAAGGAAGGGAGCCACGGCCACCTTCTCAGAGTTGGTATGGCAAATATGAATATTGTTTCTCCTTGTTTCAGCATCATTAATTCTTCTGTTCTAGATTTTTAGTTACTACTTCTTCAACACATTGCATCAGTTTTATAATTTTTTAGGAGACTAAGCCTCTGGATGCTTATTACTAATAAGAAATATAGAGAGTATTTTATATTTCTGTGATATCCCCCTTGGAATATAGTGCTCTATATATACCTAGGGTGGCATTGGGCAGTTCAGATAAGTAATTGCATATTGAGAATATACTATTTACCGGACACTGAACAAGATATTTTGAGATACACTGCATCCCTTAGTAGAAATACAATGAAGAATAAGACATGATTCCTGCCCTGAAATTCTGTTAATTGCTTTACAGTTAAATACTTTTAATAGTAAGAGATGTAAAGGGAAGGTTACTCTGATATTAGAAAGCAAAACAAGTAGAAATGTCATTCATTTTTTATAAATAGCTCAGTTAATGGATGTGATACATTTTATAAAGAACCTGTTCAAGTATGCAGGGTGGTCTAATTACATTAATTTTGTAAGTATATTGTATATTGTAAGGCACTTTTTAAATTTTTTTTATTTTTATTTTTTTAGAGACAGGGTTGCCCAAGCGGGAGTCCAGGGGAGCAATCATAGCTCACTGTAACCTTGAACCCCTGGGCTCAAGCAATCCTCCCAACTCAGCCTCCCGAGTAGCTAGGACTACAGGCACATGCTACTACATCCAGCTGATATGGCATTTTTGAAGGAGGATGGGCAGGAATGCAAAACAGGTCATAATTACTCACGTCTAATGCTGGTGTAGAAAGGAGAACATGGGTCGACTGGGCTACATCAGCAGCGTGCAGGCTGTTGTGATATGCCACGTCAGAATGGTAATGGTCTTCTAAAGTCATCATGTAGGTTATAAATGTGTCAGATGAGATTCTGAATGTCTTTAGGAGGTCTCTTTCCTGTGTTGTAAAATGGATTAGAACATAAATAAGTAGATGTCCAAAAGTCGAGGAAAGTTAAATCAGAAAAGTAAGATGGAAAAAAAAAATCATAAAGAGCCATCCAATTGGAAAGCCAGTATTCACTCCTGTTCACTCACCTGGAATATAGCATACATGATGCATGTTAGGGGTCTATTGTGAGAATATCCAGCCACATTAAAGATGTTAAGACCCCATTTGTTCAGGTCTTCCAGCTCCTATAATTAAAAATTTAAAGGAATTTAGGAATAAGGAAAGTTGTGCTAACATGCCTCATTTTTTTAATTTATTTTTTGGACATTGGCTGTTTAAGTCTTTAGAGTGTCTCCTTAGAGTGCTTTAGTTGTGTGAAAATCTGAAAGTTAAATGACCTAGGAGGTCGGGTGTCCTCTTCATGATAGCTACAAGTTTCTGAACATTTTTTATTCTGAAAAGGGAAAGTATCTATTTATAAATTTAGTTGCTGACCTATATTGGACATGCATCAGTCTTCAACCAATGTTGCTTTCAAAGGTGGCCACAAGTGAATAGAGATCACTCTAGTTCAATGTCCCTGTCTCTCCCCTTGCTGCTTACTGGCCCATTAGTGACAGCTGGAAAACAGTCTCAGGGAAAACTCCTCTGCCCTTTGGTTATCATCACTGAAGGCCAGATCAGGAAGACTCAGCTATCAGAATGTGCATAAGTCAACCCAATTGAATGTAAAAGGTCATGAAGAATGCCAGTCATGAATTACATCCTAGGGCTCCTGGGCCACAGACGGACCTGGAAGAAACATCACTCAGGCCTGTGTTGTGAGATTATTCCAAGGTTATCTGATTTAAGGACCAATTTATTTCATTCTTAGTAACTATCCAGAGTAAGAGATCCAGGCTCTCCACCACGACTTGGCCTAATGTTTAATCAACCTTCCTCTAATGACAGCTTTCAGAAGGTCTTACTGCTCACAGTAAGCTCATTTCATATTCTCACAAGGCTGAGAGGACCTCAGCAGTCACTTTGTGTGGCCTCCTAAAGGATGTATGAATTCTTTCTATGCCTCCCTCCACTACTGGAGTTTGGGCTCCAGAGTCAGTGCTGTCAGTTTCTCTTTATTTCTTTTCCAGCACTACAGATTAGTGCAGATTTTCCCATTGGTCCTTGGCATACAGTCCCTGAAATGTCCTCTGGGATAATTCAGACCTGCCTATTGACCTTTCCTTGGATTTTCCCCATGTCTCTTCAGAAGGATTCTTCATTCATAATGAACTGTCCATAAAAACCTAACTCAGGACAAAACAAAAAAAAGTGGTTCTTTGGTATGGAAAAAGGATCTTCCATCAGATGCCCCAACAATGGCATTCTTAATGGCTACCCAGCATAAGAGATCCAGGCTATCCCCCAAGACTTGGTCTCATGTTCAATCAACCTTCCTCAAATGACAGCTTTCAGAAGGCCTTACTGCTCACAGTAAAGTCATTTCATATGAGCTTCCCTAACACAAAATGTAATAATAATGCAAAAGCAATCCATACTATTTTCTAAAAGGTATACGGTCATCCGTCTGCTGTAAAGCAGAGAGCTACATGCACAAAACCTGAGCTTATACACACCTTGGCCAGGTGATCTTCATTTTCAGTGTTGACTCCAAAGCGTGAGATGCTTGTATTGTTTAGGCTTGAACTATGCATTAATTTCTTCACTCCACTTATCTGGGTCATGAGCTGCTGCTTTTTCTTTTTCTCCCTGTCTTTCTGGGTAGGAGATGGGATCTCCACATCATTCTGCTTGTCTGCAACAGACAAAGGAATATGTTTTTCAGCACATGTGTCTATGAGAATCCACTGCAATATTCAAAACAACTCTAACCATCTATAACAGCTTTAGAATCTTATAAAATAAAATCTTGTAGCACTATTTCACTGTATCTCTAGGGCAGTTCTATAAAGTAAGTGGGGAAAATATAAAATTTGTTGAGAAAAATAAGATTTGTTGTTCCATGTTATTGCTAGGCAAATTAAGGCCCAGAGGAACGAAGTAACTTGTCCAGAAAGCAGCAAAAATAGGACCCAAGACCAAATCTTCTGTTTTCAGTGTAATTTAGGGGTATATAAGGAGTGTATAAGGAGTACACACTTATACATTTGCAATGTGGGGCACTAATACTTATATGTAGATTTTTAAATAAAGGGATTAACATATTTTTGTATAATAAAATGTCCATCAGATTAATAAAAACAGGCTTCATGATCTGCTCATCTTATTTTTACTTAAAAAAAATTTAAAAATCCATATGGCTTTAGCAAGGGCTCAGTTTAAATAAGCAGTATATATGTTAGAAATATAAATGGTTCATAATCCTCAAACAATTACTTTAAGGGCTTGGTTTATTACCATTTGAGGTTTAGAGGAAGACTATAATTTTGGTTTTATTTCATGCCTGGAGTCTATTAATTCTACCAATAAATAATAACAATAAGGCCTCTTGTTTGTAATAAGCATTACACTTATTAACATGTTTAAGGTTATTAAATATTTATGATACTTCATAATATTTTTTAAAATTATGTTACAACAAGGTAACAGCAGAGCTAGGATTAGTGAAAAAAAAAGTGCCTACCTGCTTATAGAAGCTCTTTCCTTTACATTGTGCTATTAAAAATATCAGCCATCAAATATTCCATTTCACTTCACAGGGAGATGTATCTTCAGTACTTCTGAAAAAAATGCATTAACTCTTTCAGGCCACAGGGATGCTGGTGGGTGCACAGAGGCAATTATTAAATTGCATAAAAACTACTTTATTGAACTAAATGACACCCTGTGGCTGAAAGAGTTAATGCAGCTTTCAAAAGTACCTACATTTACCTCCGCTGGTTACAGTGAAAATTAGTAGGAAGACAACTTTGCCATTTGAAAATGACATGCTCCCAGATGGCATTCTGGGATCTAGACGATTTGTTTTGACTCTTGCAGATAATGGCACAGTCACATGTTTTCCCCAGAGACCTCTGGCTGCTCATAGGCCCCTGTGGACACTTCATCAGAGCAAAGCAAGCACAGTGAGACAGTACTGGCTTCGTGGTATACCTCACCTGCTCTCTGTGGGACTGAAGCAAGGGAATTATCCATCCCTAACATATCAGTATTGTCTCTAGGTGTCCACAAGCTCCTACACTCACAAGCCTATGACTTTTGCTTAGGAAGGAATTTTAGTGGTCATCTCAATTAGTTTAGGGGTTTCCAACCTAGTCCAGCATCAGAAGCACCCAGGAAACTTCAGAAAAATACAGATTTTTCTGAATAAGCCCCACCCAATCCTACTGAATCAGTATTTTTTTTAAAAGATTCCCAAGTGACTTGGATAATCAGAGCCAGGTTTAAGAACCAATAACAATCCCACACTCTCATTTTTCAGATGAAGTCAGCAACTTGCCCAAGCTCAGAGGGCAATTTATTTAACAGATATTTATTTTGCAATTACTTTGCTCCAGACACAGTGATTTAGTAGCATAGAACCCAGGCCTTGAGGTTCCTGTCAAAAATCTTTTTCCTGCCACACAATCTCTGGCATAAAACCTATATATTATATTAGTTTGAAATTACTTTTCTCCCTGTCACTTTACTCCTAATAACTACTACTTTTTGCTAAAATGAAAGGCTACCATAGGGCCTGCCTTTTTACCACCATTCTTCACCTCCGGTTAAAGAGGCTCTTAGATTCTCCTGTGTCACTGCACATATAACCATTTCTAGTAGGACCAGCAGCCTTTTCCCTTTGTTTAATTAAAGATTCCCTGCAACAGTGAGTAATTGAGCTGAACCACTACTGTGTCTGGAACACTGCAATAATGAAGAAGACCATTATTCACAAATAGTGCCAATTTGACATTAATGGGTGTTTCCCTATGCAGGCATTGGAACAACTAATAGGTTTCCCTATTCTGAATTTCCTCTATTAAATGCTTAGCCAGCACAGTGTGGAAATAATCAGAAACTCAGACTCAAAAAAATCACAATAAACACTGAGTGAATTTACATTTATGGAATAGTCAGAATACAGTGAGCAAACAGTTGGCCTGTATAAAACAAACAAAAAGCGGATAAAAAAGTAGTCTCATCCAAATTCTGTTAATGGCATAATTTGAGGCTCATGTCTTGCTAGATCACACTTTTCAATTATGCAAAATTCCTAAGCTCTTTTCCTTGCATCTTGAAAATTCTAAGTTCTAGGTTTTGAGAGGGTAAGTAGAGGATTTAAAAGGATAACTTTTCTCTGTTCATGAAAATATTAACTAAATTGTAATATAACATGTAAAAATCTTGCATTATTTATTCTCCTTCTCCCTAGGTCCTGCTTTGTTTCCCTTGAAATTAGACACTTCTATTTCCCCTTGCACCAGCAACCTGGAGCCCATTATGTGACAGCATCAATGAGTGCCTGGACTGGTAAATATAGTCTACTGCCTGCCTTTCTCCCTGTCCTCCTGCACCACTTTTTTTTAAAAGATAGGAATGACACAAGTTTCACCTATCTCTGGATTAAGGGATTTCCCTCCTCCCTGGATGACACATTTTTAACATTTAATGGCTTTTATTGAAATATTGCTCTTCAAGTTTAAGGTAAATTGCTAAGATCTTCTTATTTTGTGCTCACTGAGGTGGTTGCCATGGTCTTACAGGAACCTTTTATATTATTAGAAACTGTTAATACTTTTTTTTTTTTTTTTTTGAGACAGAGTTTTGCTCTTCTCGCCCAGGCTGGAGTGCAATGGTGTGATCTTGGCTCACTGCAACCTCCATCTCCTGGATTCAAGTGATTCTCCTGCCTCAGCCTCCCCAGTAGCTGGGACCACAGGCATGTACCACCATGCCCAGCTATTTTTGTATTTTTAGTAGAGACAGGGTTTCACCATGTTGACCAGGCTGGTCTCGAACTCCTGACCTCAGGTGATCTGCCCATCTCGGCCTCTGAACGTGCTGGGATTACAGGCATGAGCTGCCACGCCCGGCCTGTTAATAAACATTTTATTTTTAGCTCCAACAATCCTGATTCCTAAAGACTTGTTTCCAAAATGATATATGTATCAGTTAAGAGTCCTTATGTGATTTTCTTCTATATGTTCTGCGTTCCTAACAGCCTTCTTTCCTCGTTAAAGGATTGACAGGGTATTTAGGTCTAGATGCCAAGAAAGCCAAGTCCTAGTTCTGGCTGAGGAAAGTATTAGCCAAGCGATCTTGGTCAAGTTACCTCATCCCTCTGGGTCCCCTGTTTTCTCTCCTATAAAATGAGGGAATTGGACTACAAGGTTTTATGGTCCCATGCAGATCAGAAAGTTTATGAAGAAGGCTTTATGGTCTTCCAGGAACATTCATCATGCTCACAGGATAAGACTAAGAGTTCCATGCCCTTCACTGGCAGTCTGGAAACAAACTTCGTTTATTTGTTTTTTGAGATTGTCAGATTACAAGCCTAGGGTTCACCACAGAGAATCTAGATGGCCAGGTATGTCTTAGCAAAACTGATAAACTCAGTTCATATCAGAGTTATAGTAAGTTAGAGTTGGAAGGGATTTGAGATGTCATCTATACCAGTGTTCCCATTTTACAAGTGAGGCAACTGATGCATCTTTTGTTAATATTACAGGTTTTTTTCTTCCTATATTTTCTCAAGAACATTTAAAATTCTAATCTGCCCGTCTAGTCTGTTTGATGGGGTTTACCACATCCACCCTCAAACACATACACCCACTGACACACACCACCCTCTTAATGCTAAGAGTCTATAAGGATTGAGATTCTAATAACCTTCCTCAACAATTTGTTCTTGAATTTAATTTTTGGAACAATGAGAAGACAAATGACTGGTTTTGCTCAAGAGATATGCCTAAATAGCAAGCAGAATAGGCAAGAAAGTTGACATCTGCCTCATCTTGAGACAGTGTTGAGACTCAGCGCTCATATTTAGCATCTTTTTAAATTTTTCTTTTTATTTTTTCCTACTCTGAGGAATGAATCATCTTTATTATCTTATCAGCTTTCTTTCTTGGTAGACTATGGTGATAAAAAAGATTAATTAGTAGACTAAGATATTCTCGTTGTCCTTGATAAGCAGATATTGAAAGAGACTACAAACGAAGAGGACTGCTTAGGTCCAGTCTTGGATGATTAAGGGCTCAGGGACTTCATATAACTTTAACTCCAGTAGTGAGTGTCTCTTCTGAGAAGTCTTCAAGCCCTCGTATTTTAAAATGCAATGCTTATGAAGACAAAAATGGGTTCTTGCAGTTTTGATTTTATTCTCCTCTCCCACAGTCATTAACCTGTAAAATGTCCCTAAAACAGCTCCCAGCTAATGAAAAATCGTTGGGCATTACACAGAGCAGGGTATATCTGAAATGCTCAGCAGAAGATCCCTGTCTTCAAATGGATAAAAGGAGAAGAAAAGGATCAGTATTTAATGCTTTCTGTAAAGTTAGATTCCAGGCACCTCTGGGAGCTAGGATGGATGAAAATTCTTCTCCTTTGTTCTCTGACAAAGGCGTTGCAACTGCAGCTGGAGAAAATCAAGTGCTGCAGACACTCACATACTAGAAACTGTTAGAAAGGCACTTGTTAATCACGTCTGGTGACCATCCACTGCAGAGTAATGCAGTAAGCTCTGTATGAGGCTGCTCAAAGAGAGGGCTGATTGATCTGCTGATAGCAAGAACTGCTTTGGTGTTAGAGAAATAGGATTGATTTTAGAAATAAAACCAGAAAAGGTATTTGTTTCAGTAAGGCATCAAGGAAAATGCTCATTGATTTAATGCCATATGGCTATTCCAAAAAGAAGAGAGGATGCAGTGTTCAGCTGTGAGAATGGGTCGCTTCCCTGGAAAGTGAGGTTTCATAAGCAAGCGTAATTCAGTAGCAATATAAAGTCAACAAAATCAGAATCTAAATGCTATCCATTTACTTTGATGTACAGATTTGCAGATTCTGTAGGACTTCTTAAATCAAAATAGTCCAAATAGGTTCGTTAGACAAAAGTGCCTTTAAGACTGAATTCAAAAATCCCAAATAATCAAATAACACGCATGACAATAGTTGAGGACCATTCATGCAATCTTTTTGGTCAGCAAATCATGTGTTAAATACCAGTAATGTAACAACAGAGAATAATAGATAAAGCATCAGATTGGGAAGAGAACGAGGCTGCTTGCAGAAGATGAAATCCTTCAGATAATATTAAAATTCTCCCCCTTACCATCCATTTTTCTTTAATAAATAACTTAGCAAAGCAATAGTCAAATTATTTCCAAAGCTTATTCTCAAGGACCAAATCACTATAGAATTATTCCTCAACCATATCCCCTACAAAACATCATAGAGGAAACCTTTTGCTCAAAGCTCAGTTATTGGAGGAAGTGAAAGGCTACCATGTCAGAGAAGCTAATGGAGCTGCCTCTAGGGCTTGGGTGATTGGATTTCCCTCATTACTTCAGAGGTCTTAGCAAAGATGGAAGTAGGCAGGCAGACAAGGTGGGGCTGAGGGCCGTTTAAATACAATTAGCCCATAATAACCCTCTGTCTTGGATGGGTATTTTAATTCTTTTTTTTCAAAAACATGATCTTCCTGCTTATTTTTTTTTCTTTTGAAGACTGGCCTTAGTTATTATTTTAAATGGATTTTTCTATGACTCAACTCCATCCCAAATTCACATGAGGATGTCCTTGATAGGTTGTAGAAATTAATTCTGAAAACCCCAGTTATAAAACAGGTTTTTCCCAGTTAATATCTTACCTAAGAAAGTATTTGAAATGTATTCAGACACCTGGTTCCCTGATCGGCTCATCTCTGAGAGGTGTGTCAGCTCCCGGTTCAGCATTCTTTTGAACTGTTTATAAAGAACAAAAATGCATTAACCACTTTAAAAAGAGCAAATGTTCATTTTAAATGTTTCCAACTTTACTGTCCAGGAATCAAGAGGTTGGATGAGCAGATACCATTAGATAAATAATACTGTTTCTACAAAATATATCTCTTCAATTTGAAATTATTCCAACGTCACTTTTGGAAAAGAGGTTTTCTTAAGATTTCTTAGAATTAACATCTGATTACTTTTGAAGATGCAAACATAGGAAAAGGAATTTTAATAGAGGTCAAGATAATTCCACTTGAAACTGTACCTACTTTTAAAAATACATTTGTCTGAAATTACCTCTAAAATATAATTTAATAACCTATTTGGTGAGAGGAGATTATATGTGAAAAGTTCAAGGGAAAAAGAAAAAAAAAGAAGCATCTTTTAAAAAACAGAATTCAGTAAAAAGAACAGGATTAAAACACAGCATAGTACACTTAAATAAAATGTAATATAACATGCTCTTATTTCAAAATAAGAGGTCCCAGTGGGTTAAATGAACACACAAATCAAATTATTACAGATGTCCTGTACTTCACAAAAAAACACACAGAGGTACGTTTCACATTTTATCAAAGACACAGAACACAATCAAATTAACCCACCTTGATGTAACCCCAAGATACAGATAACAAATAATTTGCCTCAGGCATTTTGGAATGCTCTCCTTGCCACAATCCACAAATCCCTTTGAAAGAATTCACAGTTCTGAGAGAGCAATCCCGAAAGGATCAGGAAAGCCCTGCAGATTCAGTGATAAAATAATCAAAACTTAGAAAAGACAAAAACCTCCAAAATGTATGGCATTTCCTAAGCCAAACAAAGCCCATCTTCGCACTCCATTCTTGCAAGAAGCCTATGCTCCCTGCTTATTTCCTGGCAGAAGAGAGTAATGAAATCAGGAATTGCACGAAGGAGCAAGAGCCTGTCCAAATGTATTCAGCTGGCTGGTTTGAAGCACTTATGAATTATGAATAGCCCTGGTGGCCGAAGGGGTTTCCACTCTTCTACATTAGTCCTACTCAGCTGAACTCTGCAAGGAAGAAGAAATTCTTCTTTCCTGAGGAGTTGCCAGACTAGGAAACACAGCCATCTTTTAAAAAGGAGAAGATTAAAATGGAGGAAGCCCCATGAATATTTAAGTAAATCTGAAGTCAGTACCCTCCCCCATTTCAACTAGGTGTTCCTTAACCCTCTCTCTCCACTGCAGACCAGAATTCTGCAGATGCAGCCTCTGCACAAAAATCCAGCCGCTCTAATTGATCAAAGTGATGATGCATTTGATTAATCGATTTTCTGAACATTTAAGCAAACATTTAAAAAAGGTTAGGACCATGGCTGTTTTTAGACTAGGCTGCCAGTACACAAGAATTTTTGTGAACTAGCTTTTTGGAGGATTATTTGTCGCACACACCAAGCGTGTGCCAGTGCATTTAGCCTCTTTTCATAGTAAAATGAATGGGAATGGAATTAATTTATTTTATTTGAAAAGTACTTCCTATGCAGCATGTAAGTTTCTGCCCTCCATCAGCTCATTAATATGCATATTAGATTGCATTCGACAAATGTATTAAACTCTTTTAACCTTTCCATCTAGGATCCAGAGTGTGTTAGGAAATATGAACATTCATTTACTGAAAGAATGGTGAATTGTTTGAGATTTAGTGTTACATCTTCTAACTCACATTAGAAATCTGAGGATTTAAATTAATTTTTATTTTATTTTAGCAATCCAGGGCATGTTGAGAAAGTCATTCCTTCCCTGCAGGTTTCTCTCTCCCTTCTTCCCAGCCCCTCCCTTCTCCTTGTCAGCGTTAAAGCACAGGCAAGGGGAAACACTAGAGCTTTACTGCAGTGGGATTCCCCGCCCCAGGTTCACCCCATTTCCCTCCTCATCTTTCCCCTCTGTTACCCTACCCCTGTACTCCCAGGATTTATTTCATCTATAGCAAGTTGAAGGAATAGCAAAGCACCATGGCAACAGCCCCAACTTGCAATTGGCTCTTTTTCCTGTGAGGCATTCCCCTTTCAAATGAGCATCCGCATCCAACAATAGCTTTATTTCAAGCATCCAAGCCCGGAGTCATGCCATCGCCTGTGCCTAGGAGACCTGGCTTTTGGAGGTGAAGCCAATGCAAGCCAGTATTTCTGCCTGCTGGCTCACTGCACCAGGCATTGTTCTCAAAGATGTCCAATCATCCTCCTTCTGGGTAACCCTGCTTGCGTATGTGTGTGTGTTTCCCATGATACAATATGTTTGTAACCAGGCATCTCTGAATCAATCATCTCAGCTAGCATATTTTACTTATTGAACCTCTGTGCAATTTTGAATCCCAGGTGAATCACATGAATTCCAAATTATTTCGTTTTAAAGACACAACTGCTCAGTCACAATGGCCTCTCATTTTAAATCCTCAAAAGACAGGCACCTAGGCTGAAGACTCAGAAGCTGAAGAAAACAAGTTTATATGCTCTGACCGATAAGCTGAATTTTGGCAAAGAAGTGAACTTTAATTGGATCATTGTAAAAATATGTTGTAAAAAGCTTAGAGACAGATGATTTCTTCCATAATTTTCTCTGCACTAGACTTAGGCAAATATAACATTCAAACAATTGTCTCATTTTGGCTCCTTTAGTCTCTCTGAAATACTTAGGAATGTTTTAGAGTCAATCAGGTTTGTAGTAGTTCAATAATGCCCTTTTTTCACGTATTTGCCAACCATTTATTGAATACCTAAAATGACCAGGGAAAAGAGTGATGATATAGCAGTGAAAAAAAAACAAAGGAACAAACAAAAACTCTTTTCATGCTTTTAATCAGCTTTCATTCTAGTAGGAATAGATATATTAGGGCATGTTGTTTAACCACAACAGCAAACAGTCTAGAGAGGGTAGGACCAGTTCTTTACTAGCTATATCGGCAACTCTGCTCAGAAGATAGGAGCAGGTAGAAACTGAATCATAAAAGGCTATAAGAGGAAAGATTTCTCTGTTTATTTTCTTTCTATAGTCTTCCATTGCCACAGGACCCTGTTGGGATACATTGTCAATCACTTTCAATATGGAATCAGGGAGGTGGCTCTCAGCTGCAGGGCTGAAAATAAACCAAACTCCTCACCTTTCCCGCATAGTTTACTGAAGGGATCAGTGTACTCATGCAAGTCATTAACAGATGAATATCACCTTCCTCCTTCCCAGGCTTAAACTAATTCTCCTATGAGCCTTTTGCTAAGGGCACAGCAATGCTACCAAAAAACATAGTCATCTTAAGGCAACCATAAAACACACAACATGGCGAAGTATGCAAATGGAGGTCACTTAGTGTCAGAAACTAACCTAGTCCTTTAAATGTTGCTTAGCAACAACTGTTGGTTTTCCTCCTCCATAAGGGAGGGCCCAACCACACTGATGTGAAAGCAATCATTGCTCTCATCAAAAAGCACTTATGAAGGGCCCATTTATGTTGGGCTCTGTACAAACTAAGAAAGGCAGACATGGCCTTCAAGGAGCAGACGGCGGGGGGTGGAAGGGTATCTTTTACATTCTAGTATATGTAGAGTCCAGTTAGTATGACTAGTGTTTAACTGTGTGATGAGACACATTAAGAAATAGAATAGATATGAATTATGTTTGAAGTTAAGCCTGAGGAGACAGTTGAGGAGCTAGGCTTAGTTGGGCTTTCAGCATCTGACTCCCACATGGGAGTGTTTCTGTTGAGCCAGAGGCAGCCACAATGTAGTAGACAAATCTTGACTTTTCATTCTCAGCTCTCACTCTCCTGTGTAGTTACATCACCTCTCATGTGTAAAATGAGAATGATCAACCCTAACATTTCATACTTGTATGATAAATTCTGTGGCTGCCTCCTACAGTTTGGACACATTATTTACCAGCAACCAAGACTTCCCAGAAAACAAAACTCCCTCTACATGACTGAGGAAAACAACTCAAATTGAAAATGCTTCAGACCATAACAAAGGAAGGGAAGCATTTATCATCCCTCAGAGTTTCATAGTGTAAGACTTTTGGAATCTATTTATTAAGTTACACGTTTCATCCAGACTCGAAGGTAAAATAGCTCCTGGGTAAAACTGTGTCCCAAGGAGTTACTGGATTGGAAGGAAATGGGCATTATTTACTTTATTAAATTCAGTAGAGAAATCCACAAACAGGAACACATTATTTTAAAGATAAATGTGTCTCTACCATCTCATGTACACAGATACTATTTTCCCTAAGAATCTGCCTTCACAGGAAAACCCTGTTACAGCCTACCTAGAAATAATGTCCCCAGAGGAAATGGCCAATGCCCCTTTTCAACACAGACAAGCAAAATTTGTGAATAAACTCTAATAAAAAATTCCTCCGATGCCTTCTTAAGCTTATGCCCAACATTAGATTCACATACACTGCTAGAAATTGCTTCTATTTTTTGAAAAGGGAAGAAGGTATATTTTCTAGATATGTGATTTAATATTATTGGCCTAGAATATACCTTTTCTATAAAATTGTCTGATTTTTGGAATAAGTTCCTTTAATAGTGAAAAGTTATTTTAAAAGTAGAGAATAGGTAATAAAAGCTAAAATTCAATTACACTTGATAGGAACATTTTGTTTGATGGCTTCAATTTTTCTTTAGTTTTAACACTGCATACAGAGATTATTTCTTCTGAGCCAGTTTCTTCTGAAGTGATAGGACACTTCTTCACTTTTCTATATTTCTCATGGGAGAATTAGTTTGAGCTTTATGCAAAGATCCGCAGGCAAGATAGGCACTATCTTGGTAATGAGTTCTTAGTTAAACTAATCACATAGGAGGAGTGAACTGGAATGATCGCAGGCTCTTCTCAAATCTAAAATTTGGGGATTTTATGTTTTTGAGAATAAAACAGTCCAGAATAGTGATAACACAGGAAGCTAGTATAAAGCCCATGAAAGAGCTTCTTCTAAGACTAATTTAGGCCTGTTGAGGGTGACCTGAAAATCACTTAGGAGTGACTCCTAAGTGATTAAAACTATTCTTCACCCTATCAAAGACTAGCTAAAGCAGGTACCTTCCTCTCATGGATAACCTCAGGATGAGGTCAGTAGGAGAAAACTGTAAGAACAGAGAATAAAAAGGTGTCAAAGAGAGGAAGGCAGCCCCAGCAGTTAGTTACTCTTGTGGGTGGCCGTCTACGCAGGAGCCCAGCTGTGAGACAGGCGCCTTATTGTGTGGGATCTTCCTGTTTTTGCAGAATGAAACAACTGCCGAAGTCATTAAAGTCACAATGACTTTATTAGGGACTAACTTTTGACTCATGTTTTATACTTTGTTAGTCATAACTTAAAAAGAATTCCCGGGCATCAGGAAAGTGAAGGGGCTGAAAATTCCTCCTGAAGGCACAGAATGCCTTCAGTGCATTCTGTGCCTTCAGTGGTAGAAAGAAGTCGAAACTGCAGTGGTACAGTTTAGTGAGAAATGAAGTAAACAGAGTCTGTCCCTGTCTTAGCTCTGGCCCTAAGCAAATATGTAATCTTGGGTAAGCTGAATTAACTTCTTGGGGCTCAGTTTCTTTAGTGGTAAAATGGCTAGCTTCTAATCTTCCTTTTGACTTTCAGGAATTTTGCATGGGAAGAAATGAAGACCCAAAGAAGTAAAGCAAATCTAAGTTTTAAATGAAAAAGAAATAAACAGAATGAGGGATATAGTGTGCTTGTCTAAAACTCCTTATGAAACTAACAATTTCCACAATTCTTAACATTTCAGATTATTTGACAATGTGCATCTCATCTCTTCCCTCCTTTTTGTGTTTCCCTATAAACTCTACCAATCATTTGAAACTTGATGTCCAGTTTCTTTATTGACAGGTTTGTCTTATTTGAAAAGCAAGTGCAATTGAATTGAGTTGGTAACATGGTCAAAGAAGTAATAATGGACATGCAATTGTCCATTAACGTCTGCTTAATCAGCTAGTGTTCCATAATGGGTCATCTTAGCAAACAAGTTCTGCTGTACTAACATCTGCAGCAAACCTTTGGTGTGCCAGGGAACAAACACAGTGAGATCATTCTCACTGTCCATGTGCCAAATCAGAAAGAAACTCTTCTAAACATGTTAGAATTGAGTGCTTCTTGTCTTAACTGCTCAGCAACGTAGTAATCAATAGGTAAGTATACAACGAAAAACAAGCATGAATATATCTACCATTATTCTGCATCAAAAATTATGATGAAGCAACAATAGAATCAATTCTACTTGCTAGTTAGAGGACAAGTCTCTGCTCAAGTGACATATTAAAAGGCAAAGCAGGGAAAAACCATTAATGCCTTCATACAGAATTGAAAAATATCAAAAGATCAAACAAATTTGAATATAGCTGCTCTATAACTAATCTCCTAAATGAGATTAGGGCTTGAACAGCTCCCCAAATTATTACATATTTCTTCCTATCTATCTAACCCTTTTCTGCTGTCCATTTTTCTCAGAATTTCTGAAAACTTCTCAAGAGATGATATAACACACATTATTGGAACACTAAAAAATTGACGTTTCCTAGACCCAAAGTGATTCCCATAAGAATGTTTATAGCAATTTCTCATGATCCAACATTCTCTCAACTCTGAAAGTTGCTGCAGTGATGTAATCAAATGGACAAAAGATACTGTAACTATTTATACCTAAAGACTGATACATTCACTATGCATTTTAAACTATATATATAATATTTATAAACTATATTATGTTTCCACATATATAAGGTTGCCAGATTTAGCAAATAAAAATTCGGGGCACCTAGTTAAATTTGAATTTCAGATAAAGAAGAATTTTCTTTATCTTTTTTTTTTTTTAACTGTAAGTATGGTCCTGATATTGCATGTGCAAATAGCCTATGAAGAGATTGGATTTCCAGGCCATACACTCATTATATATGTTAAGTTTAGGGGCACTGTATATTTTTAGATAATTTAAACTTTTCAAAATTTTCTTTTTGACAGAGGACTTTTCTTCCAATGAGAAACGTAAGACCTAAAACTGTTCCTGGAGCATCACAATTTCATTTCATATACTTGATCCTTCCCTTTTAATTTGTCTGTTAATAGAGAAAGACAAAAAAAGGAACTTTGAAGATTTGAGATGATGATCTGATAATTAAATTTAGCAGAAACCTTTTTCAACAGATGACAAAAATCATCATAGTAACTGAGAAAAATCAAGGAATCAAGGTACATTATTCAGTCACTCTTTTGTTTTTCCTTTTAAGCCTTTCTACAACTTTTTCTGTACAGGTATAACGGCTAATATTTAACTGAAAGCTTCTAGAGTCAATTCTAAGGCCACAGGGCATTAATATGATTCCAAAGTAGATGACAAAGGTTTATTTTGAAACATTTCGCAGCTAGAAGCTCTACAACTTATAGTATTTTTCAGCAATCAGAACACTTACTGTGGATCAGACCCACAGACCATCCAGTCTAGTGTCCTTTCCTGACTAGTGAAAAATAACACCTATGTTTTAGGACCTTCATATCTGACATGAAAGTAGTTACACAGAACAGGGAAACTACCACTCAAATATTATACTTTCTTTTCATAACCCTTACGTATTGGTCATGATTCTCTTTAAGAAGTTAATTCCATTTTCAGTCTATAGTACCTCTTAGGTTGTTTTAAATCCTGCCTTATTGAAGTTTCTAATATTTTTTGCAGCTACAAAAATCTATCATAGCTTGTTTTTGAGATTATTACTCTACCCCTTAAAAATACCATGTAGAATACATTGTATTTATTATTAATTGTATTGATTTCAGCTAGTGACTTTCATACATCCCTTGAGGTAAAAGACAATGGAATGCTTCAAAACCTGCCTTGGGAATTGCCACTTCTAGATTAGCGATTTCTCAGGGCTGGGACAGCCTATTAATCTGGCAATTTTCAAGATCAACTCTAGGGCCTATCAAAAAAATAAAAGAAAGCTTTGGACTACATAGATCTATCCTTTCCTTCCCTGAAAGCATATATATTATTATCTGTTTTGATATTTCAGTAATCCCTAAGCTAGAGTATGCACCGGCAAATTGAGGAAAATTTGTAACAGGTTGGAGGTTTGCACACATAAACTATTAACTAAAACTATAAAAGATGAAAATAGTTTCATAACATAAAATAGACATAAATTTCATAGACAGCTATTTCTTATGCAATTTTATCCTATTAAAAAAGGTAGTTGGGCTTGTTATGTATTTTGTGTTTTCCATTATTAGCTATCATAATTTAGAAGAGATGGAGAGATGCTTTGAACAACAATGCACCTCAAGATGCATAGGTTTGTTAGGTTCACGGAAGGTTTATAGAGGCAGCTTCTACTGCAAACATGAAGTAGAGGGAGTGCTGGTTGCAGGTTTGCCTTACCAGTGACCTCAGCTAACCCAACGTCATAACAGCATGATATAGGAGCATCTGAGGATTCAACTGAGTCCGGAAATAAAATATGACATAGGAGCATCTGAGAATTCAACTGAGTCTGGAAATAAAATATGTACTGTAACTTAGTCTGAGAAACTTAGCAAGTCATTGAGTCTCTTAGAGACTAGAATTTTCTATCTTTGAAATGGGAAGATTAGGAATAACATATGTGAAGTGGCTGCCAAGGTGTCTGAGACCAAGTGTGTGCTCTTTCTTCCACAGGATTTGTACTTGAAGCTAGGTTTTATCTGTAAATTTCAAAATAATCTGAGCTCATGGTACCTTTCTCACTTTGGCTTTGCTTTTGGGTGGAAGTTTCAGTTGGTTCTTTGATACTTGAACACCTTCTTTTCATTGTTGACAGCAGCATATATAATTAATTACAGAATTCCCATAGCATGCTGCTGCAGGTGTGATGCACTACTATGTCACATAGATTATGTGACACATGAGTTACTCATAGAAGTTCAGACTCTCTGGTTGACATTTAGATTATTCACCAGTCTAAGGAGCGTAAACAAGAATTGCCAGAAAGATAGATGAAGCAAGTCAAATGAAAAGCACCATAACTCAAAATGGTCTTATGCTTAAGTTAAACCGTAAAAAAAGAGTCTATTTGGAGAAATCCAGCTGTTGGTAACTATCCATTCATGCTTCTTTGGTTTAGCCAATTTTCTCAAATTAAGACACTTTACAACTTTTTATCTATTGACTAAAAGCTGTGACTGACCACAGACTACCTGACATGAGGATAACTGCACCAAGTATGCATTTTGCTCAGATTTTCACAGTTAAGATCAATGTGGTAACACATATGAATTAATTGAATATGTGGCTCAGGTGAGAGGAGTGTCACCAATATGCCAGGAATGAAAAACATAACCAAATGATGGCAGATAATTAGGCTGCTATTCTCCAACAGATATGGAGAGTGGCTGAATTACAAACACATGTGCTCATAAATAGGCTCCCCAGAGAGTGTGGAATAGCCATTGCTAGTCTCCAAAGGGCTTAGATTCTTGTCCACAGGATGCAGACTTTTTGAGAGAATAGTAAGCCAAATATTGCAAAACTGAACCAAAAGCCAACCGAACAAACAAAAACCCCAACCAAAACCATGCTTCACATTTCTGCTCACAGGAAGAAAGCACTGGTCCCTGACAACTTTGTTCTTTGTTATCTGACTCTGGATGAAAGAGAAGGGTAGGAATAAGCTTTCCCTTTTTTCAGGGTACTTTGGGGGTCATTGGGAACCAGATGAGGGTTTCTCATGCAACCTAACAATTAGAAAGCTGGAATTAGGCATGGCAGGCCCCTACATGTAGCCATTGCCGCACAACAGGAAACAGGATTCCAGGGTTCTAATGGATTTATCACTAACAAATACTTGGTCTTGGACAAATTAGATTAAGTTTCTGAACCTCATGCAATTGATCAAAAAATATTTATTCTAATGCCTACCATGTGTCTACAGCTAGTGTAACTGCTGGGGCTTCACTAGTGAACATGGTAGACACAATTCATGTCTTCAGTAACTTTACAGTCTAATGAAAGATATCAGTAAAAACCAAGTTCCATGATCAAAACCAAAAACCATAAATTGTGATAGTAAATTGCAAAACCAACAAGCAGCTGAATTAGGGTAATAAAAGAAGGTCTTTCTAAGAGGTGATATCTAAACTGAGGTCTGAAAAACAAGACTTCGCTGATTTCTAGCTTTAAAATTCTGTGATGATATGTTTTGTTAACAAGTTATACGAGAATATAATAAATTGTGGATTTCCCTTTAACTTTTATTTTTAACTCAACTTTTGAGCAAAGAGAACAACTTTGCTCAACTTTTGAGCAAAGAGAACAAGATTTGATTCTATGTCTTGACATTTAGTAGGTAAAGGACTTGGACAAATCGGTTATCTTTCCCGAATCTCAGTTTCATATCTGAAAATGGGGATACAATAAGACCTTCCTCAGGGTGAGTGTCATACGAGAACACAGGTAAGAGCGCTGTGTATGCAGGAAGGGATGCTTCAAATATGTTTTATTACCATGCTACATTGGATCTAACAACACAAAAATAAGAAACAGCTATAACTCAAAGAGAATAACGCTATTTAATGCTCTATCCTGGTACCACAGGAAGCTTTGAGAGCACATAAACTTTAAGTGAAGAAATGGGCCTTAGAAATCTCTGCACTGTCTCATAACTAATGTTCCCTCGGGCAGATGCAGAGTTTTCTGGGAAATGAAGTCCTGGATCATGTGATTAGATTTGAAAAGCAGTGATTGGAAATTTCTGAATTTTTCCTAATCTCTATTCCTCCTTTATTAACTTTACGAAAAGGAGCTCATATTTTGCTCATTTTAACCCAATGTATTTAACTTTTTTAAAACAAAGAGAATCTACTCCTACCAAGGAGTTCATACTTTTGTTTATTTTTGACAAAGTTCTTCTATTTTAGCACTGTATTAAAGGCCCTAAAGAGTCTTGAAAAGCAGTATGTGACCTTTCTCAGTTTGCAAATTTTACTATGGCAGACAACATTAGACAATGACTTTATCTTAATACTTTAAATATGTAAAAGAAAAAATATAAATACAAAAGCATTTTTAATTAATTCCAGTAAGTTGAAGCAAATTCTCTGAAATTAAATGATACTGATTTTTAAATATTTAAAAAACAATACTAGCAAATGTTTACAAGATATTCTCAAGGACACTCCCATGCAATGCACAAGAAAGATGCAAATAAACTTTGCACAACCAGTTCCTGAGTGTTAAAATACAGCAGGAAAAAATTCACTGGTAGCTCTCCCTGACAAGAACACAAATAATATACTGAGCCTGGCCAAGAAAAACTACCCATTGCATTAGTAAACATATATGTATCTAAATCATCTGACTCACTTATAGAATGGAGCCAGCAATAGCAATAACAGCAGACAAGGCTACAGGCATTGGGGGGCACTGTGTCCTTTCAGCTTGCTAAATGGGTAGCATCTGGCAGGTTAAATTAATCCTTGTGGATTATGAGTGAGAGATCCAGAGTGGGAGTTGGAGTCCATTTCATTAGTGACCCATTAGAAGGTCCCTAGCTTCTCACCATCATACAAAAGTATACTGGAAATGCACATTGCCACTGGATAGTCTAAAAATGTTTCATAACTTTAAATTTCTGAAAATACAAAAAAAAAAATTCTATCTTTATTATTGTTCTGTGCCCACCAGTGAGGTCATTACCCATGCCAGCATTCTTTAAAAGCAGGATAATCTATTAAAAGTGCCATGTCAACAAATTTCTTAAATGATCAAGAAAACTGCAGACAGCTTTTTAAAATAAACCAAAAATCAACTACCACCAACTGACAAAAACTTTCTTTGCTTTTCACTTCCATCCTTACAATTAAACAGAAAGAAATCTATGCCTCCTTGGCATGTATTAGCCCGAATCCTGCAAGGAAAGTGGAGTCTCAAACATTCAAACTTGCAATCTGAGCAGACATAAATAAAATCCCAGATAACTAAAATGTTAGCTATGGTATTAATTGATAAGATAGGTAAGAGGATGGCCTTTGAAAATGTTATGGAAGTTAGAATAGCTAAGGGAGGGTTTCAAAAAAAGCCCCACAGTTTGGCGTCCTAGGAGCAGAATCATAGCACAGGGTCTGATCTGATGACATGTTTGAGCCAAGGGGAAGTTTTCTAGTCAATGGAATATGAAGATGGAGGGTAAATCCCTCTGTTTCTTTATTCTCAAGTGATGATAATATTCTTAAGCCATATTTTCCATAGATTTTCTGACATTGAGGGTAGAGAGGAAGTTGGAAGTCCACTGTTTTAATCAAGAGGAGCTACTAACAATTTTAGTCTCTCTTTTTTAAAAAAAATCTGTGCCTTTCCTTTTTATACACAAATGATTCTCCTAGCCTGTAAATGGATTTTCCCTCAATAAAATCTCCATTTTAGTTTTTTTTGTTTTTTTTTGTTGTTGTTTTTTGACAGGGTTTCACTCCCATCACCCAGCACCCAGGCTGGAGTGCAGAAGTGCAGTAGTGCGATCTTGGTGCACTACAACCTCTGCCTCCAGGGCTCAAGCGATTCTCATGCCTCAGCCACCCCAGTAGCTGGAACTACAGGCATGCACCACTGCGTCCGGCTAATTTTTTGTATTTTTAGTAGAGACAGGGTTTCTCCGTGTTGGCCAGGCTGATCTTGAACTCCTGGCCTCAAGTGATTCGCCCTCTTAGGGCTCCCAGAGTTTTGGGATTACAGGCGTGAGCCACTGGCCTGGCCTCATTTTAGCTTTGTTTTGTTTTTTTTTTTTTGAGATGGAGTTTCACTCTTGTTGCCCAGGCTGGAGTTCAGTGGATGTGATCTTAGCTCACTGCCCTCTACCTCCTGGTTTCAAGTGATTCTCCTGCCTCAGCCTCTCTAGTAGCTGGGATTACAGTGTGTGCCACCATGCCCAGCTAATTTTTTTTCTTTTTTTTCTTTTTTTTTTTTTTTTAATTAGAGACAGTATTTCATCATGTTGGCCAGGCTGGTCTCAAACTCCTGACATCAAGTAATCCGCCCACCTTGGCTTCCCAAAGTGCTGGGATTACAGGCGTGAGCCACTGCGCCCAGTCACTTTTTAGCTTTTTAATTCAGGTTTTCTGTATCTTATTCCAATAACCAAAACACTAAGCTTTCTTACTCACTTAAGAATTCGAAATTTTCTTTTAATTTCTTACATTATATACTAAGGAATTTTCTTTTACTTTGTTCTACTTTGAAATGTAAATAATGATTAGAAATTATGGAGAAAAAAGAGCTAACGTTAGACTCTCAAGGATCTTCTGGAATAATTTCCCTTAATAAATATTATCCCAAGATGCTCAATTCCTCGAGTCATTTTCCCTTGATTTTTCCCGACATTTAAATAATTACATTAATAGTTTATTATTTATCCAAATTTTATGGCAAAATACTTGCAGTATCAGCTAACTTAGGGATCTACACATACTAAGACTGATTTTAAGTTGGCTAAATACATAAAAATGTGTCTCTATATGCTGTGAATTAGACTTATTTGATTTAAACTATTTACAAGGCAGCTGCCAACACCATTGTACCTAACTCCACTAGGATCTTGGTAATATGACTCAAGAGTCTAGAAATTATATTTGAGCTGTGAGAGCTTTACATAATCTGGCTCATTGTGCAGAAACATTCTAGGGTGTAGGGAGAGGGTCAAACTGGAATCACCATCTCACGTTCAACTTTCCATGCTAACAGCTCTGCAAAGTGGCAGAGAGAACCCAAGGCTTAACAATCCAAGTGGTAAAACTTTCCAATTTATCATCTTCAGTTTCAGAGAGAGGAAAGAAAGAAATAGAAAGAAGTTAAGGGCAGTTACACTAACCACAGGGTATTTTTACTACCTAAACTTTGACATTGGAATGAGTGAGAAAGCAAACAACAATCAAAAGCCTCAAAAATTTAAGGCTTTTTTAAAAATTCTGAAATTAAAACCAGGGGCATTTAAAGTAACTCACTCCAACTAGTTCTTGCTATGTTTTGATCACTAAATTTTCAGGCATACTAAATTAGTTCTCTTTACTTGAAATTATTAAGACACTTATGTATACCTTTTACTCAAGAAACGTAAATGAAGAATGAGAAGTCTAAAAGTCAATGTAAACAAAAGAGAGAATGTCCCATGTCTTTCTCAAACATATCTAGCCTTTTGCTGAAGATGAACAGTAAGCCAGATTTATGATCAGACCTATACTTTAATACCTGAATCCCACTAATACACCTTAAGACTTTGGAGAAGTCATGCCATAATAAAATTACTTTTCATTTAGAATGTGCTCTATATTTTACAAAGTTATTTGGAGTACATTAGGTACTTTAATCCTCACTTGTCATTAGTGGCAAAAGCCACCTCTTTTTCTCATCTATAAAATGACTTCAAATAGAAATAGAAAATAATACTTAAGGCTCTCTTCTAGGCTTAAAGTTCTAGGACTTTGTCTAATGTAATCATGTAAAACTATAACTAGAAAGAAAATGTTTAGATCTTTTTTGGTTTGATTTATCAAATTTCATCAATAGTGACCAAAGACATTAGATAGTTGGTAAATTAATACTTCACTGTGCCCTGTCTGATTGGCTTTAGCATAGCCTATATAATTGAGTTGAAATCTATTTTTATTTACTGATAATTTTTCTTTTTACTATTTTCTTTCTAAAACAACTACTTAAAATCTATCTTTTTAGATATCAAATGCCAACACCTCTTGTCCTAAATCTAAAATTTAAAAATTGGCTTAGTCATTTTTACTTCCCAGTATGTGTATTCAAATTTCATTTTTATAATTGCTTAAAGTTAAAACATTATGCACTATGCTGTTAGCAAAGAGTGAGGGGATGGCAGCCATGTAAAGTATTTAATAGTTAATTAAAAAATTATAATTATTTTGAGTAGCTAAAAAAATTAGAAGATGAAAGTTACTGAGCCATGAAGATACATTTTATTTTAATAAATTTACTAAACTTCAATCTTTGGGGGCTCTAGATTTCAAAACTGATACATTTTAAAATTACAATTAATTAGCAGAAGGAAAAAAGTGACTGTTGAACAGAATGGCAAGATTTATAGCTTTAAAATCTATTCCATAAGAAGAAAAAATTATCTGGCACTTCCCAAAGCAGAAACAAAAGAAACAGGAGTTTTACTGTCTTCTTCGTTTCTAAATAACTTAACAGTCCTTTCTTTGTGGAAGCACTTGGCTACTTTAAAGTCAATCAAACAAAGGAAGTTACAGTGAAATACACAAGAGACTAAACAGTTTGGCACCACTTGAGGGAAACATCACGTACAAGTGAGCAAGACAGAGAGGTGCTGGTAGGTCCCTGAAAAATGCTAGAGGGAAAGGATGCTCAGGAAAGCATATTGACAACTGGCACCATGCCTTCAAGAGTGTGAAACCTATTGACTGTGGCACAAATTTGCCCTGGCATCTTCTTGTTTAGTAAGTCCTGGCTTCCAGATGTCTGAGCTATCTCCACTTGTTGAGCACACTTTTACTCAGAAGAAAAATGTTTTGGAAGAATACTGCAAATGCAAGCACCATCGCCCTTGGTTTTTCTTTCATAGACAACAATGGCATACAACCTAGGAGCCTTTTAGACTCGGACATATTCTAAAAAAAAAAAAACAACAAAAAAAACAAACAAAAAAAAACTAAACAATTTTTAAAAGATGAGAAAAAAGTATTAAAAAAATGGAGACTAAACATTTATTCTGCTAACGGGTTGAATTCTATTTTTGAAGACTAGTGTTCTACATTTACATTTACATTTGACAATCTAAACATAACTATTATTTTTTCCCCAATGTGGAGAAAGATACTCCCCTTAAAATGATTTATTTATCAGATTTTGAGACTATTATGCTCTCTTATCAGGTAGCCAGAGGTAAAACAATCAAAGGCAATGTCCTCTTCATTTCTGTTTGTTTTTTAGAGACTTGCTCACTTGAGGACTTTCAAGTGAGTTAGGCAGAAAGATTGGGCCAAATGGATTACCATTGAGTAAAGAAATGGTTCTGTTAAAACCAATGAAGAACTATTTGAATAAAACAAAACAGATTACAAATCAAACTTACTACAAAGCACCAAATAACTTTCAAACTCTTTGATTTGCTAAGTTTTGAGAAGACTAGAACTTGGAATACTGAATTGCACTAATACTAATACTCACTAATACAACTCCATTTTGTCATAGAAAGAGTAACTGAAACAATGACAAAGAATAAATAGCTTAATCTTCTCTTTCATCTTTATTTGAAGACAATGCCCAAGGAAAACAGTGGACATGTTACTTCCAAAAATTTCCCTTACATATTACTGAAGCATTAATTCTCTGTTTTATGGTCATGTTCCATGCCTTGGAAAGGTTGTGGCATATAATGAAATTGCCCAAATCATTTGAATGATCATATAAATTAAAAAATAAGAATAACTTATCTCTTTTTTTTTTTTTTTTTTTGAGACGGAGTCTCGCTCTGTCGCCCAGGCTGGAGTGCAGTGGCGGGATCTCGGCTCACTGCAAGCTCCGCCTCCCGGGTTCACGCCATTCTCCTGCCTCAGCCTCCCAAGTAGCTGGGACTACAGGCGCCCGCCACTACGCCCGGCTAATTTTTTTGTATTTTTAGTAGAGACGGGGTTTCACCGTTTTAGCCGGGATGGTCTCGATATCCTGACCTTGTGATCCGCCCGCCTCGGCCTCCCAAAGTGCTGGGATTACAGGCGTGAGCCACCGCGCCCGGCCAAGAATAGCTTATCTCTATTTCCCTTTTTATTTTGAGAAGCAGGGAAAAAGGGAATTTGGGGTTAGTCTACAGTGCTTTGAACAGACCTTTACTATCTTATCTTAGGCTATGTTGGAGAATTTTAAGAAACAGATAGTGAAGTGAGCAAATTGATCTGAAATAGGCAATGGATTAGTTTAATACTATTATTTGCATTTTTATGAGCACTTTATAACCATTTTCTATAATTGCGATTGCTCTTTCCCCTTACACTGCTTCCCAGGCAAGAAGACTGAGCTTAGGGCAATTAATGGCCATCCTAGAGGCTGTGAGTATGGTAGCTACAGAATATAAATTTGAACTAGGCCTCACTAATAATGCTTGCCACAGTTGAAAGAACAAGATCACCCACCAACCAATCCAAAATCCCCTTAGAAGAATTATTAAATAACTCTAAACTTTTTTCTTTCTTTATATGCCTCATTGGGATCATTGATGGTAAGTCAGATGGACTGGATATGAATCCTGGCTCTATGATTTACCTTAAGCAAGTTATTTCAACTTTGTATGCCTCACTTTACTCATCTGTAAAGCAGGAATAATAACAGTACCTATTTCAAAGTGTTACTGTGAATATTGATTACAGAATGAGGTAAAGAGCTTAGCACAATGTTTGCATACACCTGTAAAGGTAGTTCTGTTGTTTACTAATATTATTCAATCAATAAACTGAAGAGCTGGGTCTTTTCCAATTATTTTGTTTTATAGAAGAGAATATGGAAAGATTCCAAATAGTTTTATTGTCTATATTACTATACCTAAGTAAAGGCAGGGCTAGAACTCAAACTCATGGCTTATTCCTAGGCTCTTTTCACTTTATTTTGCTCCCTCCATAATTTAGTCTATATAAATCTGAGCAGTAAAGAGAGAAAAGTTGAACCAAAAAAATGTGTGAGTGCCCACCTGGCTACCAGAACTGATTTTAATTCTATTCTGCCCTCTAATCCAGGGTCACCTCTAACATGTGTGGGGCCACACACTGTAAGTCTAAATATACAAAGATATACATTGAGCTATCTCCTTTACCTTGACAGATATCCCTCCATAACAGCCTGGAAGGTCAGGTTGAATTTAGAATTCTTGAACTCCTTGGATATGGGTTGGCCCTCCTCTTTCCCCATGTCCTTCCATCTCCAGGGACCTGTGAGCAGCCGTCGTGAGCCCTGGACCGCAGCCTGCTTACCCAAGTTCCTCCTACACAAGTCTCTTCACACCTCTCATTGCTGCCTCTTGGTTAAACTCCTTAGGCCTAAGGGTGTGTATGCCTGCAGCACATCCCAGGAAGAGGCTTGTGTGGCCGGGAAGTGGGTTCAAAGCCATTTGGACAGAGAATGTGGGGGTCCAGCAGATGCAAAATGTAGTTTAGAGAGGGGAGCAAAGCTGCTCCCTTGGCCCGGCCAACTCCTTACTTCCTTGGGTGGAGGGCAGCAGAAGGAAGGCCAGGCTAAGGCCCTCTGATTACAGCACAGGGCCCAGCAAATGGATGCATCTTATGCTAAGGGCGGCACTGCTGTAATCATATCATTACATTTTAGGCAAAAGTGGCATGAATATTCCTTTCAAGGACTGAGCGCCTGTCTACCCTCTCTCTTACAGAGTTCTAAGATGAATCCATTGGCCAGTAAGATCTATTTCCTGTCAGTTCTGCAGGAGCTGGCATTTTCCATAGTTATTGATTATTTAGTTAAATACAAAATGGTTCACCCCTCATTAGGGCAATCAGCCTGTCATGATCACCATCCAGTGTCATGCAGCCTAATTCCCAGCTGGCTCGGGGCCTGGTAGAATAGTGTGACTTTATCCTGCAAACCCAAGAGCACTGGCAATTAGTTGCCTTTGTGCTCCATGTTTAGTACTGTAGTATGGCTGCACCTGAAGAACTGGAAAAATAAGCCTGCATAGCCAGGAGGACTCACTTCCTCATGATGGTTATCTGTAGCCGACTTCACAATGCCTTAAGAGAAGAAGGACCATCTATCTTCCATTTCTATCTTAGCAAACATTTACTCAAGTGCTAAGTCCTAATGCTTCATTCTAAAAAAAAAGTACTAATACACAGGGCCACTCTTCAACAACAGAATATCCATTTTCACCCAGCAGCACCCAACCTTTGTTCTGCATATAAAACAGCCCCAGAGCCAAACCAATGGAGAATGAAAAGGACAGTGGAGGGCGTTTGTGGGGGAAGTGAAGACAGTGACTAGTTGCTTGAATATAGCTTTTCTGAATACCACAGTATGTTCATCTTTTGAAAAACATTTAGCATTCTGGGTAAGAATGACCCTTTTGACGTTTTTCACCTGAAAATTCTAGGTGAAAGACTAGGTTTCTCAGTACAATGAGGGAAGGAACACCTCCCCATTCCCCGCCAGTCACAATTACGCCTCCCTGGGATTGTTCTGGGTTGGTCCTTCCTCAGCCACTGTTGTTGCAACCCTGTACTTTACTGACTGCGTCTGTCAGGAAGGAGACAGGAAATTGTAGTCACCCTCACAGCAGCTGCGCCATTCCTCCTATCCTCCTCTAATGACGTTGGTTGGCTTTGGTGACACGAGGTCAGGAACTGAGCCACAGTGAAGGTCAGGAAGATAGGTCACTGTTTATGCCGTTGTTGGGCTGGGGACCCTGCTGAGGCTATTTGCTTTCTTCCTTTCTATACTGTTTCTCTTTCCGTTCCTCTTTTTATAATGGAGAGCCAAAGCATCCTGTTTTCAAAACATCTGACTGTTTTGCCACTGAGGAACTCATGCTCTGATGCATTTTGCTGAAGTGTAAGACAATTCTTCTAATTCAGGAGGTGATGAAAATTGAAACACAAAATTAATGAACAATTCTAAGAAGGCAATCTGTTGTTAAGCAAAACGGCTAGCTCTAACATGTCTAATCGAATTTGGGCAGCTGGCAGGAGGTTCACTAGCCATCCTTTTCATCTTAAATAACAATACCATTGCCTTGTAAAACTTCTGCTGAACTTATTCCATCTTCTAGTAATTCTTGGAGGAAAATAATTTACAAGACTAACCTACCTGGCAGCACCATTCTCTAAAATTCTGGAATTCCATCTGGACTGTGGCCAGCATTAAGGGATCAGAGAAATTTGGGCCAAACAGAGGACGATGTTTCTTAGCTAACTCTCTAGGCTATGAAGTACATTTGAGAAAGTCTTTTAGGAGATTTGAATCACTCAGTTTTCTTCAAAATTTAAAGGATTAAGGAAAACAAACAAACTAAAAAAGCACAACCCTACCTAGATGAAGTAAAGATGAAAGATGCTTGCTTTTCCTCCACCAAACACAGTTAACTCTCTACCAGTTGCATGTAGACTGCACTTATGTAATTCCCAAATACCCCTCAGCATAACACAATTTCACCTATCGCTGTTCTTAAGATCAGACATTGCAAACAAAACTTAGTGGCCACGTAGCTGAAACAGAACTAGGAACACAGAGTTTTTGCAAAAATGTAGTGGATACCACTGATAAGTACACTCCCTCTATAACATTTCTTCACATCACTTCCAGATCTGCAACTCAGAGATTTACACTGGCTCCTTAGTTGATAAGGGTAAGCAAAATATGGCCAAATAAGACTACATAGTAAAGGGAGTGATGATCATGATAAAGTTTTAAGATGTCAACTTGGATGGAAATCTCAGATAATTTCAGCAACATTGAAAACTGAATATGGAATATAGTTTTTTTTTGCCATGGATAATTCAGTTCCCAAAGAACTGGTGTAGATCAATTTCTTTCTGGTGGCCACAAAAATGTTTGCATTGCATTATCTCGAACTCCTGGGCTCAAGCAATCCCAAAGTGCTGCCTCGACCTCCCAAAGTGCTGGGATTACAGGCGTGAGCCACCACTCCCTGGCCTCATTGCCTTATATCATATGTGTCATGGTGCATGTTATGCTCAAGCTTAACCTGAGACAATTATCTGAATAATCAATAATTTTTTAAAGGTAGTAAAGTAAAAAGAGATATTTTTAAAAATTAATCTTAGCTGTCAGTTGGGCATCATTCATGCACTAAATAATTGCTTTCCCTGACAACCTTTCCACTGTAGAACTAGAAAATGACTGAGGCTGCATGCTTTTTACTTAAGCTAACTGTGTCAGCATTGAAGGTTAGCCCTTTTGTTAGGGTTAGCTCTATTCAACTTTCATTGCTTCCTGCACACAACACCATAAAGGAGGAGCGGAAGCCTGAGGGATTGGAATCCTCACCCGTGTCTACAGAGTGCCTGGTCTCAGAGCCTTACTAACTACTATGCTGAATAAGATTATTTTTAATAAATTTGCAAGACAGTCAATGTCTAATTCCAGCACTCTAGGCATGAATGGGATTAGAATACTACAGCATATTGACACTCAAAATGAAAATTAATGGCAATTTGTAGTTTCTCAGGGGGTACTCTTTTTCTCTTCTTGGAGTTAATTGCCTGCTTTATCTTGGTGACTCTAGTTAGTATATTTTGGTGACTATTGAAGTTTGCCATGTTCTCTATGGTGAAAGCTGTTGAAAAACTACCCCATAAATGTTGGATCTACATCTTGCATAGCCGTCAATTACCACAAAATACAGGGAACAGAGTGTCTGCTAATGCTCCAAAGTAGGCTCAAGCCTTGTGAAAGTCCTTCTACATGGAGTCCCAGTGTGATTTGGAGAAGTTACACAGCAAAGCCCTCCTCATGGGGAAGCAGTTGGTTGAGTTTTACCCCAGCCTGGAAAATCCCTGAGTTTAACCTTCAATTGAGAACTTCAGAGAAAAGTCAATAAATAGTTAATCCTCAAATGTGTTCTTTTCTTTTTTTTTCCCTTCCAACTTAAACTCTAAACTAAAATTTTAGAAAGGGACTTATTTTTGCCCTTTCATTAACCAATAAACAAAGAGTTCCAAGTAGGAAGAGTCCCCCCTCCCCTCCTTCAGGATCTCCTGAGGACACACTGCTTCCTCTGCGCAGATCCTCTGAGCCGCAGCCAGCAAGCCTTGATCCAAAGGTGGTACTTTTACCCCAGGAAAGCTGGAGAAGGGACACACACTCACTGGTGCACCTCAGGGCTGGAAAGGGCATGCTGGCAGGTGTGGAGCAAAATATCTTCTCAGCCCCAGAAACGTAGACAACAAGATGATACTTCAGGCTAGAATGACTGGGACTCTGAAATGTGCACCTATGAGGGTATGGTGTAAGGCTTTTTAACAAAGTGTATGTGTGTGTGTGTGTGTGTACACACACATATATAACTTTGTATAACTTTATAGCAATATGTATTTAATATAATATTCTCCAAGGTAAAAATACAAACAAAAAGCAACAACTCTCACTACATAAATTAGCATTCTAAGTCCAGGTGTTAATTAAACAAATGATATAATGATAGATAATTAAGGCTCTTCAACATTAAGCTTTGTCTGGGGATTGTAAATAAAACCATTTTGGGGGCAGTATGCATGAAGCAATTTCAAATGATTTCACTATGAAAATCAGCAAACTTAAAGAAAACCTCTGGTTTTGGAGACAAAGCATATTGTTTCTTTTTTATCTTAGGTCATGCCAGCATCGCAAAAGAAATCTTAGAAAATCCCAGGATATCCTTCTTTTTAGAGGGAATTTATCAAACTTCAACACAGACCATTCTTTCCCATTGATATATGAAGGTTAAACTACTTTCTTGTTTAAAAATAAATATGTGACACCTGATTGCAATGCAACAAGACTAACTCAGATTTTAGCTTCCTGATAATTGTAAAAAAATTTTAAAGCACTTTCAATGTTATATTGATTTGGAAGCTTTACAGACAGACATCTCTCACCTTAAACCTATTCCAAACTGCATCAGTAAGAGAGAAGTTTTGTTTCTGGAAATTGAAGCGTACTGAGGATTTTAAACTTTTGCTGTAGCATCAAGACACAAGTAGAGTGTGACACTTTGGAAGAGAATCTTCTAGACAAAGCAACAAACATATTCTTAGAGTTGGTAGCATTCCCTGGTGCACTCTGCTGCAGACAGGGGTGAGGGGAGCTGGAGCTCCCTGCATGATCACACTTTAATGAATAAAAAGATCATCTCTTACCTTGTTAGAAGCCATCTCACTGACAGACCGGTAGGTCTGTATGGTCTCTAGCTGGTCTAAACACCAGTCTAATTCCTCCAGCGTTTCCATTGCTAATTTTTGATAAGATTCTTCTGCAAACAAACACACAGGCATGTAGTTAGGCTGGAGCGGCTGCAGGCTGTCCATAGCAGAGTCACCGCTACCACCGCTGATTCCGGTGCTACTGAAGGTGCCCCCGTGCTCCTTCATTATTTGCACGCTGGCTCCTTCCTTCCAGCTCTCTCCACCAGGAGAACAAATCACAGTGGTGCTCTGCCTGGGATGGCTGGTGCCAAGTTTCCCCCCAACCCCCCGCCTGGATGAGGTGTCGGTGATCTACCAAGAAACTTCCTCTGAGGAAGAAGGCGGAGGGAACGGTCTCTTATAAGCTCATCTGCATAAATGTGTCCTAAAACTAAAGGCAGAAGCACCAAAGAGTTTTCTCAGACTCTCTCTGCCTTAGTCATCCCAGGGTTCTTTAGGGTATGTGATGTCATTTCTGAGTGCTTTGCCATCTCAAGGAGAAATGAGGAAAGCTTTTTCTCATTTTGCTTTTCTTCTAAATGAAACAGTCAAAATTCGGGTGAAAACTGGTTGACCATTACGTTCAAAGTCTAGGCAGTCATTCATCCTGAGGATTGTGTTCATGTTGGAATAACTTCTAATTCAGCGAACACTGACCCGCACAAGTAAGAGGCATAGGCTATTCCTTTCTCTCCCTTAAATCTTTCCTTTAATTAGAGGGAAAATGAGGTCTCCCTGATAAGACTCCAGTCTAAAAGAAGCTGTCTGGAGTTTTACGTGAACACGTTTATTGGCCTGGGAGTCCTGCAGCTCTTGTTATACTAAACAAAGCTAAAACTTCCCTTCTGCAAGTGCCAGGATCACAGGGAAATTCTGAACCGGACTTTCAGGTGGAGCCAGATGTGAACACTCTGCAGATTTTTATTTTGATTAAAGCTGGGGGCTCCAATTTGTTGCCCTAAGACTCTAGACTTTCTGGAAATATTGTTGGTATTTCACACAAAAAATATTGTTGTGAAAATCACATTTTTTTGCTAGATAATTAAAATTCTTTTTACATATCCTTAACATGTCATTTTATATCCAAAAGTTTGTGAATCTAAACAAATACTTCAGGTTACTGGCTTAAGAAATCTATCTTAATAAGCACTGAAATAACTTTATAAATGCTAGATGAATTAATGAAGCTACAGAGAGTTGTAAAAAGCACTTGGACTCTCCTATATACACGACTGTTTTTGAGAGAAATAGCATTTATAAACTCTACCAAGATTTCTGAAATACAAACACACAATAGGCACTAATAAAATGTAAAATCTCACATGGAGTTCTAATATAACATTCCTGCCATATTTAAAAGACATTTTTATACATTTATACAGAAATTCTAGCAAGACCACATGGTTTTTAAAAATTATTATATGAATAATCTTATGTCTGTGGTGTGCAAATACTTGAAGCAGAAAAGAGAATCAACAGAACTGTGATTCCAAGTAACTGGAATCACTTGGCCACAGACGCATATTTCAAAGAATAGTTGCTTTGTTTATCCCCGAAATATTCATACACTTCAAGATAAACAGGGGTTAAATTCAATATCCTGTATGTCATGCTTAAAAAGCCACAAAACCACTGGAGGTAACTTCCTCCATTTTTTTTTCACACTCTTCAAAAATGTGCAGACAAGAATTGAGGTGTTTTTAATAAAACTCATTTCAAGCCAGACTTACACATACCTTCCTTCCTTTCTTCATCTTCAATTTTGCAATGCTGCCTCAACACGAAGATTCTCTGACTTACTCTCTAGTGTGTCCGAAACAACCCCTTGCCTCCTCTGTTTGCTTCCAGAAGAGCACTTCTTCCAAGGAAGCCTTTTCTGAAGAGACAGAACCCTCCCATTCTCATTCCCTGCCTCTAATAAAGGAAAAAGTCCAACCACTTCCCAGCTGCTGGGGATTTACTACCTTCATGTCTTCCACATCACAACCTGTGGTTCTCTGTAACTAATATTGGACATTCACCAGGACGGTGGGGAGAAAGTAGCTTGCTCCTAGCCTTTTGAATCCACTGATATGCAAAATGACTGCAAGATGATACATCACATTTCTCCTTCATGCAGAGGAAAAAAGGGATCTGATTTCTATTCAAGCTTGACCAAGGAAATACATACAGTAATTATACCCGCAGAAGTACAAAAAAGAGAAGGACTCTTCAAAGATACACCAGTGAGCTCATTCATTGTCTACTGCATGGAACAAGCACTCAGGTACTTCTAGAGTTGGTACAACGTGAGATGTGGGTGAACAGGTAATGGATATGAAGAGACCTTGCTCCATTGTCCTCTCTTCTTCAGATCAGCCATCAAAATGTTTAAGCAAAAATTAATACATTTTGAAGCAATGTTAGTTAGGCTAGAGTATCACTTTCCAAATTCTTAATTCACAGTCAAGACTTTGTGTCCACTTTATAGTCTTCCTATCATGGCAACTAAGCCATGGGCACAGAGGTTAGAGTGTACTAAATAGGGGGATATCAAACACCTGCTACCTATGAATGCAATCAAAGAAAATGACCAGAGCAGCGCAGGACTGGCCTCCCTGATATAACTTTGTAGTTTTAGCACCTAGGAGATACTCAGTAAATAATTGGAGGAATGGAAACCAAATTGCCTAAGCATCCTACAAATACCTGGGCACCTGAAGGCTGAATGGTCCATCTGTAGCACTGTGAAAAAAAGCACCAGATTTGGAGTGAGAATCATGAATATTGACTTTCTCTTCTACCACTTACTGTGTGGTCCTAGACCTCAATTTCATACATCTGTAGAAGAAGGATAAAATATTTATCTCATAAAGTTATAAAGGGATTAAATAAGATAAAATATATGAAGTGCCTAGGATGGTAGCCAGTTCTTAGTAGGTGATAGATGCATAGGAGAATTACTAATGGCAATTGGAGAAATCCTAAGGCCTGGCATTGAAGGGTAGAAAAGAGTGTGAGGAAGAAAAGAAAGAGAGATAGCTGAATTGCACATTCAATAAGGGATTTTACAGTAAGAATCAGCTGCATAATTTGAAAGGCCCAGTACAAAATGAAAGTGCAGGGCCCCTTGTTGAAAAAGCAGTAAAATTGCTATAAAAGATACTAAAATATAAAGTTTTTTCCTTTCTTCTGCATTCTCTCTTTCAACTTGTCATGGTGGTTTTTTCTTCATATACTTTTTATTTTAAAATACTTTCAGACTGACGGAAAAATTGCAAAGATAACACAGGGGCTTCCCACATATCCCACATCCTAATTTCCCCATTGTTAATGTCTTACATTATTATGGTACACTTGTCACAATTAATGGTTTGGTGTGTTTAAATATTGTATTATTTCAGGCACTGGGATACCTTGAGGTGAGTGCAGACCCTCACAGCAACCTGAAGGCCCTGCCTCTTATGACTAAGGGCACGCACATAGCTCACCAGCAGCTGGCTACTCCTTCCTGATAGCCGCCAGACTGACAAGCTGTGTCCCCACCAGGCACAAGAGCTGGGGAAGTCGAATTAGGTATTTCTCCCTTCTCATGGTCCCCAAGCCCCTATCCACAGCAGACAACCCCTTGGATCTTAGCATACTGCTAAGGGTACTGCAACCTCTTAGCAGGGACATGCTGGGTACCTGAAACAGGGGTGGACAAGAGGTTCATCCCCATCAAGACCTGGCCTCTGTCTACCACAGCCATGCCAGCCCAGGGCAAAGACGGCTGCTAACATGTCCCATCTGAGGCTACAAAGCACATGTGGCTAACTCAGACCCTCCCTGTGCCTATACCCTGATTGGGGATGGAGGGCAGCAATGGTCACAAGTGCAGGTGGGAAAAAGGAAGCTGGACGATTCCTAGGGCACCAGCGAGCAGAGGAGAGGATGGTTAGGATCTTGTCCAGGGAGACAGGCAGGTGACAGGAAGTGAGGAAGTGCATGAGCCAAGGCTCCAAGCCACTGGCACATACTCCATTGTCCCATCAGACATCATTTATAAAACACAAGTTCAAAGATAGTATTATTACAAGTTTTAAGATGGCAAATATGGAGCCCTTCTGAGCATAGGGCCCTGTGCAACCCAACAGGTTACATGCCCATGAAACTGGGTCTCTTCCTGTCTTACATAAGATGGCCCTGAAAAGAAACAATGTTTAACACCACAGAAGCAAATCTCAGAGGCAGTAAGAGTAGGTCATGGGACCATGTATGGTCATGCAGTTGAACTTCGCTTTCAAAAACTTCCAGAGGGAAGAAGTAGGGAGAACCAACCTCCCTTCTCTTGCTCTCTTCTTTCCCTCTTTCACTCCAACAAGAGTGGCACAGAAAGATTTTCTTCCTTCTATAAGTTTGCTGGGTATTGCATTTGACTCTGAGAAACAGGAAGAGAAATTTAGTAAATAATTATAATATTAATCTGCTAATGATATATGGTATTCAAATAGCTCTTTTCTCAAAGGAGCTCCCAGCACACTATTCGTTAATCTTTGCAACATCTTTGTGTGATAGATACGGAAGTAGGATGATTATCTTATTTACCTTAAGGCATAAACTAAGAAATCAGAGATTAAATTATTAGAGCAAATAGTTCCCTCCAGATTCCTAGCAAGACTATATCTTGGTCTATGAAACAGAGGATTCAGTTTAGCACTGAAAGATGCACCTATTCCTGAAAATGCTGCATTTAAAGTTGCATCTTACCCTCGGATCTCTTCCATTTAAAATTGCATAACTGCTTTCCTAAATGTTGTCATTTCTGAAGTCTCCACTTCCCTTTTCTGATCTACCTAATGCACAGGGAAGCTGTGCAATATTTACTCAGAAGACCTGGTATGGTTCTTGTCCTGCATCTTGCTTCAGTGGGTTACCTTGGGTAAATTACCTATGTTCTCGAAGACTAAATTTATTTATCTCTAAAATGAGGATAAGAAAAATATCCTATTCTCATGGGAAAGGTAGAATCAGAGAATAAACACAAAAATGGACTGTAAACCTTTTAGTATTAAATATATTTTGCAAATATCTCATTTATTGTTACAGATGGGATATAGGCACATTTAGAAAAATAGAAAATTGCAGAGAAGCCAAAAATTCAAATGATAAAAAATCTCACATTTTTAGCAGTCAGAGATCACCATTGTTGACTCCTTTGTGCATGTCATGTATGTGTTTGTGTGTCTGTGTAAACATACATATGTATATAACATAAATAGGATCACATTGTACAAACTGCTGAGCAACATTCTTATTTTCAGTCAATGATCTTTTTATTTTTTTTCTGTTTCAATGATTTTTCAGTTAATCTAATACTTAGGTTCATAGACCAACTTCCCCAGCTTTTTAAATGCCAATCTAGTAGAAATGGGTGTGTGAGTTAGCAGAGTCCTGTTGGGAAGAGGGAGAGATCCAGAGAAGAGTGACAGGAAAGGGTAATTAGAAACCTCTGCCTGGCCACAAATAGCTAGTTGCTCATAGTTAGAAAACATGGGGACACATTTTAGCAGTTATGAAATCAGTGGCCCCACTGGTGAAAGACCTCAGGTGCCCTAAAAGCTGGCCCTGCAATCTGTGCAGGGAAGTGTAATCTTATGACTACACTGATCTCTTGGAAAAGTAGGCACAGGGGCCCTTTATGTATCTGGCATCATTTAACTTTGAAACCTTAAGTCTCATGGCTTGTAATACAGTTGAGAAAACTGAGGCTGAGAGGAAAAAATGCTCTGCCCTCAATTACACATGATTAGCAATTGAAAGCATCACAATATTACCCAAATATAAATTTCCTATAAATTATATCTAAATGATATTCCAACATATCTCTATATATCAGAAACTTATCTGTCAAGTCACCCACACTTTCTATCCACAGAAAGCACACAGAAAAGAGCTGTACATAACCTTTATGGGCCTCACATAATTGGACTCCCTTTCTATTAGAGAAGGTGGTAACTATTTGCAAAGTTATTCTAGTGGCTAAAACAATTGGACCAATTGCCACATGCAGCAACAGGAATGAATATCATAAACATAAATGTGGAACAAAGGAAACCAAATATTAAAATGTATATGAAAAAATAGTATGGGTCAAATTCCATAAAGTTCCAAAGAGGCAAAAACTAATCTATAGTAATAGAAGTCAAGATATTGGCTACCTTGTGGGCTTAGTGACCAGGAGGGACTTGAAGGGCTTTCTATAGGGTTGGCAATGATCTATTTCTTGGTCTGGGAACTGGTTACATAGGTATGTTCACTTTATAAGAACTCACTGATTTCTAAACTTGTGATTTGTGCACTTTGCTGTCTTTCTGGTTGTCCATGTAGGCTTTCAACAGATAGTCCCATCTAGGGGAAGCCCAGTTTAAAAAAACAAGAGCAGAATTTCTAAAAAACATTTCCTTTCCTTTTGTTTAGCTATAACAATGGGTATCAACAGAGTTTGAGTAAATCTCACATAGCTAAAAAACAACGACAAATGTTGGTTTTAATGTGACATAGACCAGGATGCCCTACTAACTCAAAATTCAGTGGAACACAGTAGAGTCTGCCCCAGCTGTTTATAAATCATAACTGTGCCATTTAATAGCAATGTGCCCTTAGACAAGAAAAGTAGCCCACTGTGCTTCCATTTCCTCACCTGTAAAACAGGAAGATAGTTTAAACTAGGTGTGAGAATTAAGTGAATCAGTATACGCCAAGCCTTTGGTACAGCATCCGGCACGTGTCAGGAACTTCTCCCCTCCTTCCCACCACTTCTCTGGTCCTGGGTCACTTTCCTGATGATATATTGACATGTATTTGACAGCTGAGTCATTGACAGAGTTTTGATTTGGCCCTGGGAAAGGAAGCATTTGTAAGGTTGGCCATGAAATCCTAAAGCGTCCTTCCCACTGTAGGACTTCAGAAAAATGCATTCTTGACATTTGTCTTAAGTTAGAGACTGTTGGTTTCCACTTCTAAAATATAGAGCTGACCTGATGGATCGTTTTTTCACAAAATTCTAACTGACATACCAGGTCAGTGGCCTTTCAGATGTGGAGAATTGTATAGGGAAGTTGTTTGTTCATTCATTCAGCAAAAGTACACTGAGCATCTGCTATGTGCCAAGCCTGCTGCTGGGTGGGTGCTGGATTACAGCAATGAACAATACACTTCAGGAGTGGTATTGTCCATTGTAGCGAATGATTATATTGGAAATCCCTTTTCCTTGTATAAATAGTAAGTCTGTGAAGCTAGGCGCCTTCTCAGCTTCCTCCCATAATCTTCTGATCTTTGTAAATGAGAAGTGTGTATTAATTGGATTATTTACATTCAGCTTTACTTTTAGCTTCATTCACAAGCTTCTAGCCCTGTAGATGTCTTACGTTTGGGTTGCTCCTATGGCTCTACATGCCTTTAAGTTAGCATACTTACTCCATTCTTCGGTTCCTTCCCATAGTGCAATAAGTACTTGATAAAATGTAAAATAGTTTCATACATATAGGAATTGGCATCTCTTTATGCAAAGGTGTTAGGTTGAGGCTACTGGCCTATTTATCTATTTATTTGGCAATCTTGGTTGTGATTTTTTCCCTTAGAGTTAGATATAATTTTTCTTCATCATGAGTTATTATGTCCAAATATATAATATTTGGTAAATGAAGCACACTCAGGTTAGAGTGCAACATTTCAAGAGGGCATGTTATTTTAACCTTGGGTAAAGTATCTATGGAACAAATCATAAGAACAGGAGAACATGTACACACTGCAATGCAATTCTTCCAAGACCAAAGTTTGCAAGCCCTATATAGCCTTTCTTTAGGCAGAACTTTGTTAGCATGTCTTTATAGATATGGAACTTTGCAATTGCATATGACAGGGATTTCACTCTGGGTGGATTCATAAAAGAAGAGGTTCACTGCCCTTAAGGGAAATAACAGTGAAAAGTAGGTCATTTTGATGCCGATCTCTTTAGCAAATTCCTCTAAGACTACAAGTAAAACAAAACTTCTAATCACAACTGGCTCTTATATATATAACTTGACAGTTTACCAAGCACTTTCACTTGCATATCTCATTTTTTTCCTTGAAAAATAACCCCAAGAGAGAAATTATTATCATTATGACATACATTTTCCATTATGAATGTGAGAAAATTGAGGCTTGGATGCATTTAACAATTTGCTCAAAGTGATATGATGCGGCTGGGAGGGAGGGAGGCAAAGAAGAAGGACAGAGAGATTGAGAGGGGAAGATGGGAAAAGGAGGGAGAATGAAGGAGACATTTTAATTATATTGATTGACATATTGATTCTAAATTCCATAACTTTTTTGCTAAACCACTGGGCCTGTTATAAATAAATGGTCTAAGTTTCTCTTTCTTTTACAGAGATAGGCTTAGTCAAGGCAAAACTATGTCTTTGATGTGCCAGCCTCATAGCACTGTTTCCTTTTGGTCTACCTCCCACTCTTTTAATGTCCTTACCCTTAGGAAAACCTGCTCTCCAGAACTCTGCCTTTGGCATTTATATGCTAACGAGAATCTGTTCTCATCCAGCTAAAACATGTACCACCAATGTGAAGGGATGTTCAAAGAACTTAATTATCTACCTGTATTGGTATTGAAGACCAATGACACAAGAAAGTGATAGGGATAGAGGCAAGCTGCTGTCCAATTATTTTTCTAACAAAGTAAATATATTGACAAAATATTTATGAAGGATATAGAGCAGTGATTAAAAGCTTGGTCTCTGGGGTTAGACTGCCTTGGTTCATATTCCAGTACCACCACTTACTGTTATAAAACTTTGTTACATAAGATGTTACTTCTCTGTGCCCCAGTTTCCTCATCTGTGTAATGAGAATAATAATAGTATCTATTTTAATGGGCTGTAGCATCTGGTTAACAAATAAATAAATGTAAAGTGCTTAGGACAGTGCATGGTACATTACAAGTACCAGATGAATGTTGGCTATTATTTATTGAATATGATACGATAAATAATTAATGAGTAAAATTTTTGAGTGCCTATTATGTTGTAGGCACATCATGAAACTCTAAGGGTATAGTGCTGAATATTAGGTTTTGCTTACTTGAAGCCTATATCCTAAGAGGAATAGAAAAATAATTATGCAAAAACTTAGTACAACTTGGAACAGAGATACTAAGAAGTGTAGAATGCTATAAACATTTATAATAGGGATAACCAGGGACCCAAAATCTGAAAAGTGGGATGTGAAGGAAGGCCTGCCTTGGAAAGTTATGAGATTTTGAGGAATAAGAATTAAGTGTCAAGGGAGAGGAAAGTATTCCAGGCAAGGGGAACATCAGAGTATGCTCATGAACGCAGACAGGGAAAGACTGATAGGAGAAGCTAGATCAAGTTATATACAGCCATGGAAGGCCATGCAAAGATCTTGTATTTTATTCTGGAAGCAACTGGAAAACTTGGTGGAGCTCTTTCAAAGGAGTGGCCCAGCCAAATTTGGATTTTAAAAAGATCCCTCTGGCTGCAATTTGGAGAATGAACTTGAAGGCAAGAATGAAATCTAGAGACTAGAAATATGAGGTTAGCTAAATAGTATTCAAGAGCCCCATATCTACAGGAAGACATACACGAGTTTGATATCTGGCTTTGCCATTTGAGTTACTCAATTTCTCTAAGCCTTAATTTCCTCATCTCTAAAATGGGGGTAAGCATATCTTGTGGGATAGTTATGAAGATTAAATGAGGTAAACCATACCAAAACACATAAAACATTACCTAGTAACCTAGTTAATTATCCATCCTAGTTGCTGGTAGCATTTGTTATGATCTAAATGTGTCCCCCCAAAATTCCTGTGTTGAAACCTACTGGTTTCAACACAGGAATTTTTTGCGTTCCTATTTCTCCACATCCTCTCCAGCATGTGTTGTTTCCTGATTTTTAATGATCACCATTCTAACTGGCGTGAGATGGTATCTCATTGTGGTTTTGATTTGCATTCTCTGATGACCAGGGATGATGAGCATTTATTCATGTCTGTTGGCTGCATCAATGTCTTCTTTTGAGAAATGTCTGTTCATATCCTTTGCCCACTTTTTGATGGAGTTGTTTTTTTCTTGTAAATTTGTTTAAGTTCTTTGTAGATTCCGGATATTAGCCCTTTGTCAGATGGGTAGAGTGCAAAGATTTTCTCCCAATCTGTAGGTTGCCTGTTCACTCTGATGATAGTTTCTTTTGCTGTGCAGAAGCTCTTTAGTTTAATTAGATCCCATTTGTCTATTTTGGCATTTGTTGCCATTGCTTTTGGTGTTTTAGTCATGAAGTCTTTGCCCATGCCTATGTCCTGAATGCCTAGGTTTTCTTCTAGGGTTTTTATGGTGTTAGATCTTACATTTAAGTCTTTAATCCATCTTGAGTTAATTTTTGTATACGGTATAAGGAAGGGATCCAGTTTCAGCTTTCTACTTATGGCTAGCCAGTTTTTCCAGCACCGTTTATTAAATAGGGAATCATTACCCCATTGCTTGTTTTTGTCAAGTTTGTCAAAGATCAGAGGTTGTAGATATGTGGTGTTATTTCTGAGGACTCTGTTCTGTTCCAGTGGTCTATATCTGCGTTCTGGTACCAGTACCATGTTGTTTTGGTTACTGTAGCCTTGTAGTATAGTTTGAAGTCAGGTAGCATAACGCCTCCAGCTTTGTTCTTTTGGCTTAGGATTGTCTTGGCCATGCGGGCTCTTTTTTGGTTCCATATGAGCTTTAAAGTAGTTTTTTCCAATTCTGTGAAGAAAGTCAGTGGTAGCTTGATGGGAATAGCACTGAATCTATAAATTACCTTGGGCAGTATGGCCATGTTCACGATATTGATTCTTCCTATCCATGAGCGTAGAATGTTCTTCCATTTGTTTGTGTCCTCTTTTATTTCTTTGAGCAGTGGTTTGTAGTTCTCCTTGAAGAGGTCCTTCACATAAACAAGGGGCCATCTTGAAGCAGAGAGTGCAGTTCTCCTCAGACACTGAACCTGCCAATGCCTTGATTTTGTACTTCCCAGCTTCCAGAACTGTGAGAAACAAATTTCTCCTCTTTGAAAATTACCTAATCTCAGATATTTTGTTATAGAAGCAAGAATGGACTAAGATGGCATTATGACTTCTTTATTACAGCAGTCTATGCTGGAGATGATGATAGCTACAACCATGTAATAGCAATGGAGATGAAGAGAGGTAAATGGATTTGAAACATTCATAAGTTAGAACCACATGGCCTCTAAGGTGGTGGAATTTGGTTGATGACCAAAATTCAAGTCACTTCAGCCTTTCAGGTCCAGAAATGTAATTTTGTTAGTGTATTTTGAGTTCATTCAGTTTATACTAGTTCAACTCACAAGAGCCCAGTGGCAAATCAGAGTCCAATGAATTAATAGAGAACAGTAATTTATAAAAAGCTTTTTATGTCTTCTGGTAATCACATGTTTCCCTATGTGGGAGGCCAAATTCTAACCATAAGATGGCTTGGTAAGCATGAAATCAGAGCAGGAGAACTAGTTGGATGGTTTAAATGGCTCCTTTCCTCAAGCCTGATATACTCAGCTCCCTTGCTGAGATAGATTGTATAATAGTTGTTTCTGCTCAAGCATTTCTATCTGCCTAAAATGCCTTTCCCAACTTTGTTCACCTGGCTAGCTCTTCCTTATCTTTTAGGATGCAGCCTAGTGTCATCTCCTCTACAAAGTTTTCTAAATATTCTGAGGTTGGATTAAGCCTCCTTCCTCTAAGATCTCACAACACCATATGCAAACCTCTATTTCCAAATGACCATATTTCATTACAAATATTTCTCTTGGTTTTTCTCATCTATTAGATTCTAACCTTCTTGAGGGTAGAGAATCTATTTTTTTAGTTTTTTGTGCATCAAGCATCTATTACCTAGTAGAAGCTCAGAAAATATTAGTTGAAATGTAGACATGCCCAACATATCAACAGATGGGCTATGCATTACCAAAAAGAAAGGGGCCTTTGCTACTGAACAGTATCAAAGACACAATGTCCAATACTTGTCCTTTGTTCTTTTTTTGCTAGTCTCCAAACAAATCACCTTCTTTTTACTGATTTATTCAGTGTTACCACAGCTAATCAGCTCTATCTTTCTTTTGCATTCATGTGTTGATTAGATTTCTAGGCTGGCTAGTTTTTATATGGGAAACATTTTGCCTCTCAATAGCACTTCTGCAAAATCACTTGCAGATTTGGATATTTAACTCTCACTGAGTACCCACATTCAGGCATCTTGTTGCAAGTCTCTGTGCACCAAGAGTTACTAGAATCCCACGTGGGTTTTTATAGCTGTCATAAGAAAGACACAAGCAAAGTTCAGAGGCTGCAGAGATAGAGTTCAAGGACATGAGGGAAAACGAGATCATGAGAGATTTGGAGGCCTGGTAAAGAAGAATGGGTGGAAGTTTGAGAGGTTGGAAAATGAGGTAAGGCAATGGACAGCATTAAGAAATATACCAAATTAGAAATAGGTCACACCATTCAGTGTTGTTTGGGTAGGACAAATATGAGAGTTCTAGTTGGTTAGAACATTTGATTTGAGTAAGTGGGTTGAGTAGGATAAACTTCCAAAAGTAGTGTGGTCAGGGCCAAATTTTGGAGAGGTTTTTAATGTTAGATTAAGGAATCTGACTTTATTTGGCAGGCAAGAAGGAACCATTGGAAACTGCTCAATGGAAGAATAGCATGCACAAAATGGCTTATAAATCCCTAAATACCATTTTATAGTTGTCTAATTCTTTGCAGTTATAGACCACTTTCTTATGCATTATCTCTTTTAATCCTCATCTACCTTTCGAGAGAGGTATTATTGTCTTTATTTTATAGAGGAAAAGCCTGATGAAGCTCAGGGAATTTTCATGTCTTCTGGTCACTACAGGCTTCACCTCAAATCCCATAACTAGAAAATGTAGAACCTGGAAACTTGAATCTAGGCTTTCTGACTCCAAGTTCAGTGCTCTTGATATATACAATACAATCTTTAAGAAGATGAGCTATTGCTCTGGTAGCAGAATTTTATAAAAATTATAAGAGTGCAGAGAATAAGCACTTGGTAAATTATTAACATCAGAGAATATCATTTGTAGAAAAAGATAGGAGCTTAAGAAGTAAGGAGGCCTCAAATTAAGATGTTATCAGAGGGAACACAAGGGTTATTTATCCCTCAATTTTATCTTTATTTGTAGAATGAAAATGGTCGAAGGAATTTCAAGAGTCAGTGAAGAGTAGAAGCAAATGTGTTTGCTGTTGAGAGTGAAGGTGCTGGGTGAGGAGGAGAAGAGGACTAAGAAATTTCCAACCTCTTGAAACACTACTAGCTAAAATCTCTTTCATCTGCCTAGAGGAGAGTGTCTCTGCCTGATGCTATCCTGAGTGATGTCTCAGATCACACACGACCTTGGATACATCACTTTATGAAAATCGCATTGTATTTTGTAGTCTAAGTGTTGTAAAGAGCAGAAAACCTGTTATATACAGTCTTTACCAGTTGACATGCGCTTTCAAGTTTACTGATTTTCTTCTGCAAACAAAGCCATTAAAGTTATCTCCATTTTTACAAATGAGATTATTGAGGCTCATGAAGGTGACATGACTTGCTTTAGAATCTGGAATGTCTACACTGTGCTATCAATATGGTAGCTACTAGTCACATGTGGCTACTGAGTACTTAAACTGTGGCTAGTCTCTGGTCAGATGTGCTGTAAGTGTAACATACATGCTGAATTTCAAAGTCTTTGTATGAAAAAATGATGTAAATTGCTCAATAAATGCATATATTTGATTACATGTTAACTATTTTGCATATATTAAGTAAAATATGTTAATAAAATTAATTACACCTGTTTCTTTTTATGTGTTTACTAGAAAATTTTAAATTACCTGTAGAGTGTTTATTATATTTCTATTGGGAAGCACTATTCTAGGTCATAAGTCTATAGCCAGGACGTGAACACTCAAAGGCCAGCATTCATTCCACCATAATTGCTTGTCTTAAAAGAGGTGGTAATAAAAATAATGATTTTTTGCTAATATTCAGTAACTTTCCAGAATCACAGACTTAGTGGATTCAGACTGAGGCAGTTTGCCTCCAGTGTGATCAGGAATGCCTTAGGGGCTATCTCAGTTGGGTGAGTCTCAAGGAGACATTTGGATTGGCTTAACTTTATTTTTGACCCACCATAAGTCAGGCAGTGTGTGAGAGACTATGTATAATATTTAATTAATCTTTGCCACACCCCCAGTAAATAGTTATTATCCCTGTTTTATAGATGAGTAAACTGAGGCTCAGAGAGGTTACATAATCTGCCCAAAGTTACAACACTAAGTATATATTAGATCGTGGTTTCTAATCCAGCCTGAATTCAAAGTTGATATTCATCACTATACCAGTCTATAGAAGAGGTGCATCTGAATCTCCTGGGGGTGATTCCCAGGCTAAACCCCAGATGTATAAAGCAGTCTTGGCAGACTGAGTTCTGGGAATTTGTTCTTTTTAGAATTGCTTCAGGTGATTTCCATCCTCAGCCAGGTTTGGCAATAACCACAATGAGTCCTTCAACATTTTTTTTCCTGGGAGTCCCACCTCCTCAATCTTGCCTAAGAGCTGATAAATTATTTTATTTTATTTTATTCTTTTAGAGACTGGATCTCACTCTGTCACCCAGGCTGGAGCACAATGGCGTGATCACGGCTCACTGCAGCCTCGAACTCCTAGGCCAAGTGATCCTCCTACATCAGCCTCCAAAGTAGCTGGGACTACAGGTGCTTACCGCCATGCCTGGCTGATTTTTAAATTTTCTGTAGAGATGAGGGTCTTGCTGTGTTGCTCAGGCCGGTCTCGAACTCCTGGGCTCAAGTGAGCCTGCCACCTTGGCCTCCCACAGTATTGGGATTACAGGTGTGAGGCACTGCACTAGGCCTGACTTAAAAAAATAATAATAAAGAAAAGAAATTTAAAAAAAAAAACAGTTTTTCTTTGAGGCACCCTTCAGTGGGACTGACCATTCATCCCAACAAGATCCCTGCTTCTCTCAAATCTTATCATCTACACCAAAATGTGGGGCCTGACAGTTTAATTAAGAAGGGATAAGCATAGATTTCAGAGATAAAACAGCCCTTCCTCCTAAAGACTTTCTTAGTAAGCATCTAAGCAGTCTAGGGCTGTGTCTGAAGTGTGCGGGGTAGGGTTTGGTGCAGCAGAGGTGGTGAGGGATGGAGGAAGGAACACTTTAGTAGGAGACTCACAGGCTCTTGAGGTGATTTATGGGGTTCTGGATGATTCAGTAAGAACCCCTGGATGTGAATGAAGACACTGAACAAAGAAAGCCAAGCAACTCTTTTTGGGTTGGGGTTTTCTGTGTGTGTTAGGAAAGATTAACAGTTATGATTTTTGCAGCCTCTGTGGGTAGACAAACAGTTGCTTTATGTGACAGATTCAGAACTTCCAATGAAATATAAAATTAGGCCTCAGGTTTCATGGCAACCCAACTCCACACAGTAGCAAACAAGAATTGTTTGAGAATGAGAGAAAGAAGCCAACACTGTGTATGTCACAGCTAGCTCACTTTCCTTTGGCCAATTTCTCCTAATTTAGCAGTACTTCCGTTCCGGCCCTAATTTCCCCTGGTTTGTAAACTACGTCACTTAACTGAACTCAGCTCCAGACTTTAGAAAAACAAAATTTTGTATTTCAGCTATGGTTTTCTTGGCATTTCTCCCTCTGAAGACTCTTACTGAATTCTGATTTTTCCTTTTTACCCTTGAAAGATTGTAGCTATCAGCTGTGCTTACTTTTTCCCTGTTGGTTCCTTTCTAATGCAGTGTCTAATGCAGTATAATGCAATGTCTGTTTAAATGTGATTAAAGATTTCAGTGTTTGGTTTAGACCAATATTTACCAGTGAAATCCTGCCAACATAAATGTGCAGGCTAGGTAGAAAATATTGGCTTAAATCAATCTCCCCCTGAACACACACATACAGACAGGACTGTAAATGTTTTGCATGTCACTTCTGATATTTTGGCCTCTTGTTGCCAGCTTCACACATATAACAACTAGACACAGATTCTGCAAAGTCTTAAAACTGGGATAATCTAGATTATAGATGCCTAAGGCAATTTTTAAAGGTTGTTTTCTCATTAGTGAAGGTTTGATGTTTTTGTTTTTTGTTTTGCTGGTTCTTCTGGCATTTACCATATAATATCATGTTATCTAGTTTGGAAGATTTCCTTGAATTATGTGAATTTGTATTATTTGAAATAGTAGTAAACAAGGGAATATTAATCTTTTAATGAAGAGATTACACTACAAAGTTCGTTGCAGAAACATACAGCAGACATTTTGAGATTGTTGAATCAGCCTTGCTGGGTGATTGCTTTAATTTAGCAATCATTTACTAAATTGAATTTACTCACTGATTGAACTTATTGAATGAATGAATTACTGCTACACTCTGACTGGATTTCAAATAGTTGTAGTTTGGATTAGAAATTATTTTTCTGAAACTGAATAGGCTAGGTAGCCAGCAGACAGAAGGCTCTAGCTGGTACCCAGCAGACACAGCCTCAGAAGAACACAGGAGGGTGGAGAGTGAGTGAGGTTTACGTGGCCAAGGCTCAGAACCAAGCCCTCAGTGAAAACTCTGAATTCCACAGTTCCCATACTACACTTCCTCGTAGGTAGGGAGGGCTGGGTCTGAGATGAGGAAGAGGGAATGACTCACCTTCAAAAAAAAGAAGGCCACTGAAGTTGCTAATGGTAAGGACTGAACAGTGCTTGATAAACAGCAAGCATTTAATAAATACTTGCCTTCACTTTGTGAGGCCGAGGCAGGCAGATCATGAGGTCAGGAATTCGAGACCAGCCTGACCAACATGGTGAAATCCGGTCTCTATTAAAAAAAAATACAAAAATTAGCCCGGCGTGGTGGCGTGTGCCTATAATCCCAGCTACTCAGGAGGCTGAGGCAGGAGCATCGCTTGAACCCACGAGGCGGAGGTTGTAGTGAGCCAAGATCGTGCCACTGCACTCCAGCCTGGGTGACAGAGTGAGACTCAGCCTGGGTGACAGAGTGAGACTCTGCCTCCAAAAAATAAAAAATAAAATAAATAAACATTTGCCTTATGAACAGGTGAAATTAGATGCATTAACCTACAGTAATTCGTGGGGTTGAGTGTGGAATTTTCCAATCAAGACTCAGGAACAGAAATAACTTCTATGTTTAATAGTAATAAAACACATTTTACTTTCTCTAACTCCAAATGCTTAAGAGCTTGTGCAACAAAAACTGAAAGACCCTAAGGGGATGGATATAAAAATAATGCTAATCATTGCAACCATCAACTGATAGTCAACCCTGAACAAAATATCTCTAATACTCAAAACAACCTTGTGAGATAGATTTGTTATCATTAATTTATAGATGACAGAACAAGTGGGAAGAGAATGATGTATGGGTAAAGGTGGTCTGGGAGCCTGGACTTAACAGTAGGTCCCAGTAAGTACGAGAGTGAAAGACACAGTTGTCATTGTCCTCAAGGAATGTGCTCCAGGAGGGGAGGAGTGCATAGACACAAAGTGAAAACAGCAAGGGCAAACCATGGACTGCAGTTGGATCATCAGAGAAGGACTGGGAGCAGCAAAGGTGTGCTTGTGCTTTGGACAGAGCAGGTACTTCATAAGTGTTTGTGAAAATGCACTGAATTAAGCTGAATTACAAGCCAGGCAACGGTAACCATACGCGGAATGGCATGGCGGCCAAAATGAAATGTGAAGCAGAGACAAGATAGGTTTCACTGAATAGAGTGATGAAAACACAGTGGAGGTTGGGCACGGTGGCTCAAGCCTACAATCCCAGCACTTTGGAAGGCTGAGAGGGAAAGATCACCTGAGATCAGGAGTTCGAAACCAGCCTGGCTAATATGGTGAAACCCCATCTCTACTAAAAATACAAAAATTAGCCAGGCATAGTGGTGGGTTCCTGTAATCCCGGCTACTCAGTAGACTGAGGTAGGAGAATTGCTTGAACCTGGGAGACAGAGGTTGCAGTGAGCCGAGATCACGCCACTGTACTCCAGGCTGGGCAAAAGAGTGAGATTCCATCTCCAAAAAAACAAAACAAAACAAAACAAAAACAAAAAACAGTGGAGCCAGATTACGAAATGAGACCAAGAAGTTTGGATTTGATGCAGGAATGCATGGAGCTATTGTAGGTTCTTGAATAGGGGTGAGGCATGAGGGGAGAGGGAATGTGCAACTATGAAGCTGGCAGGAGGATGTAAGATGGCTCTCAATGGGAAGTAGCTAGAGTTGGGAACCTGGGGAAGATTCTACTGTCAGGATTACCTGTGTAGGCTAGAATAGATGGTAGCAATAGGATAACAGAGAAGAGCTAAGTTCTAAGCAATGTTTGGAAGGAAAAAGTATATGTTTAAGGGATGGGATATGGAGGACTGGAGAGACGAGTTTCCAAAATCATCACAAAGGGTGACAATTGTGTCCAAAATTGTCACAAAGCCTTAGAGTGGGACACAAGAGCAGAAACTCCCTCACTGATACATGTGAGGGAGTTAGGGGAGGAGGGGGAGACATGTGAATTTGGACCACATTGAGTTTGTCTTGACTCCCACGTGGTTGCAAGGATTTAGGGTGCATCCATAACAAGTGGAGGAGCCCCAGGCATGGATTGCTGCGAAGGATTACAACTCTCCAGGCCACTGTGCTGCCTTCTCATTGGTTCCTGAAGAAAGGTCAGGGCCAAATACTTACAAGAGATCTCCCCCAAATTATCTCAGCAACTCCTTGTTCTCTTCCAGTCACTCTACCCCCATTTCCTCAGTTCCCAGTTGCCACACAGTCAAAGCAAAGCTATGAGTGATAAATGTTTTGGATGATTTCCAACTCTGCAGGGTGCAAGCTTAATGCAGGAGATTTCTCCTCAGCATCTGTAAGGAACCAGGCCAAATCTTCTGGGATGGAAAGGATTATTGAATCTGGAAGGGACCTTAGAGACTGACTGTATTTAATCCAACTCTTTGGTTCACACATGATGAGACTGAGGCCAGGAGAAGGGAAGTGAATCTTCAAGAAAAGAGCCATTCCCTCCACGAAATAGAAAGAACCAGTTTCTCCAGCAAGGTTCAGGGGCAACAAGAAGGGTAAATCACTCAGTCACTGCCACTGAGGCACTTACAGTCCAGCAAGACTGTTTTGAGAGTAGAAGTAATTCTATTCTAGAATTCTAGAAGTAATTTCAGAGTAGAGTACTTCTCCTTGGATGGGCATGTTAGAGAAGGCTTCCTGGAAGTTATGCATTGGCACGGTTTTAAAGGATAAATAGGAGCTTGCCTGGCAAGAGATAGAGAAAGAAGGTAAGTGCATTTTAAGCAGAGGGAAAAAGTAAAGAGACTTAACACTCTATGGTGCTTGGAGTTACTACAAGGGATAAATAATTTTATGGTAATTGATGATAGAGGAGGAACTGCTGGAGAGGCAGGCAGAACACTGCTAGAATTTAAAAAGTGGGGTTGGGGTTGTAATTAAAACATGAAGCAGATATCCACAAGGTTGTGAGTGATGTTCTAAAGAGTCACAGTCAGAACCAAAGACACAGAAAGTGCTACAGAGCAGAGGTAAACTTTTTCAAAAGAGCCAGACAATAAATATTTTAGATTTGTGGGCCATATGGTCTCTGTTGCAAACAATTCTGCCATTTTAGCACGAAGGTCATCACAGATCATAAATAAACAAATGGCTGTGTTCCAGTAACACTTTATTTGCAAAAACATGTGGCTGGCCCATGGGCTGTAGTTTGTTGATCCTGCTATAGAGAAATTTTGAGATCCTGAAATCACTCTCCTAAAGATGTCTGCATCCTAATCCCTGCAACCTGTAAACATGTGCTGTTCTATGGCAAAAGGTAGCAGATGGAGTTAAGTTTGCTAGTGAGGTAACATGAAAATAAGGAGATTATTCTGGCTTATCCAGTGGGGCCCAATGTAATTGAAAGTGTTCTTAATGCTGAAGAGGGAAGCAGAAGATTTAGTGTCACAGTGACGGAAGGTGAGAAAGGTCTGACCAGCTATTGCTCCCTTTGAAAATGAAAGGGGGCCAGGAGCCAAGGAATGCATGCAACCTCTAGAAGCTGGAAGAGACAGGAAAATGGATGTTCCCTTAGAGTCTCTAGAAAGAAACGCAGCCTTGCCAAAACCTTGGTTTGTGTCGTTTTAAGCCACTAAGTTTGTGTAATATTTATTGCAGTAATAGGAAACTAATACCAACACCCATGTGAGCCAAACCTTCTAAACATTCTGGAGAAACCCAAGCCTCCAGAATTAAGAATGGAGGCTCAACATCCACCTAAAGCTCTCATTTAGATGAAAAGAGTAGGTTAAAGAAATGTGGATTTAGATGTGAGGAAATCAGGTAATGCTTTCAGGGAGTGTTTAAAAGGAGCTGCTTTTACTATTGAAAAAGCTTTATAGATCCCTGATGAAGAATAAGAGGCACTGAGGTGAATTTCTCTATATCCGTGTTTCTCTAGAGGTTCCCAGACCTATACATTTGGGGATTTATACGTAAGGAAGGAGAAGCTCTGTATGAAGGTAAAGATAAAGGTCTCAGAGCAGATCCCTATATGCGGTGCTCAGAGCGGGGAAGTGGCGGTCAGGAATCAGCCCTGACTTTCTCTTCCACTGGCATTAGGGCACCCTCTGTCTCCACTCTCTGCCACTGTACCATTTACATCATGGGGAATACACTTTGCTGCTTTAAAATGTGTGTCATGAGGGAAATGAGAAAATGATGCTGGTGACATTTGACAAAGGACACAGCATTCCAAAGATGAACTTGAGCAGGCCTGGCATGTGCATGCCGTATTAGGGGTCACTTCAGAGACTGCTGCTGCTGGGCACTCGGAGAGGTAGGTCAGTGGAGGTCAAAGGCTCCCAGCCAGAAGTTCTCTCAAGCTACCTGCCATGGCTGTGAGTGGAGGTTGTGGATTCTAACCTCCCTTCTGCATAGTAAACATATTGAAAGCAAAGGCCTCCTCACAGCACCTAACGGGGTGCTTTCTGCTCCATAGATGGAGTCACTGCAAAGTGGCTGATTATCTGGTAAAATAAGGGAGACAGTGAAGGCATGTCTTCTCATAGCAATGATGATTTGTATAAATCTGTAAAGTACATTTCAATATGCAAACAGTCTCACATTGTCTCAAATTATCCTCATAGCAATGCTATGATGTCAGTATTAGCAAACCTGTTTCGCTGATAAAGAGAATGTGTTTCACAGACATTGAGTAACTGCCTAGAACTCCACAGCCAGTAGATGGAAAAGCTGAAGCTTGAACCCAGGTCTTTAATTTTTTAGGTTGGCGCTCAGCTGCACCGCATAACTGGTCCTCCCTTCTTCCCTTCCTTCTCTTTCTCCCTCTCCTAAAAATCTTGACTATTTATTCTGCACCAGACAACACCGTTCAAGATCCCATGGATACAAAATTAACTAAGGCAAGGTTCTGTACCCAAAGATAACAGTTCAACAGGGGAGACAGACATATCAATGTATACATTGTGATGCAATCTAATATTAATACATTTATCGAGCACTCAATATGGGCTAGGCACTATACTAAAGATTTTACATACTATTAGTGTTTAACACCTTACAAAGTAGGCATTACCTTCCCCATTTTACAGATAAGAAAACAGGTTTAGAGTCATTAAAGATCTAGTAAGTGTCAGCCAGGAACCTCATTCTCTCTTGACTCCAGGTCTTATACTCTTAGCCACTATATTGTGCTATCTTGACATAAGCATTAGCACGTAGCTGTACAGTGGGGGCAGTGGAAGAGCAATGGAAAGATGGCTTGACTGCCCAGGACAACTAGAGGAGAATGTTCCTAGGAAGTAGGACATGTGCAGCACAGAGAAATGAACTTGGTCATTTAAAGATGATATTTAAGGTTGGTTTCTGCTCTAAAAATTGAATATGAGAAGAGGGTATCCTAGAAATTGAATTCCACTTAAAGATACTTTTTTTCTGAGTAACTATTATGTGCAAAGCATTGTCCAAGGGATTCCATGGAGAATAAGATTCAAGCCCAAATCTAAAGCAGATAACAATCCTCCATTTGCATTGAGAGAGTGGAGGTGAAGCCACCTCCTGAGGGCAGCGGGGAAGAGAAGAAAGTGTTCTGAACTGGGTATTGGGAGATTTGAGTTATAGTCCCGGCTTTATCACCAGCTCACTCTAAAAGAAAGCCCCTTAGCCTCTATGAGCCCTAGTTCTTCTGCTATGAAATGTGGGTGTTGTACCAAATGATGTCTAGAGGTCTCTTTCTGCTCATATGTTCCATTATTCTAAAACTCATCAAGAAATTACAGAAAGGCACAGGGCTTACCTGAGAATCTGGGAGCAGAGAAGAGGAGAGTAGTTCCTCTATCAGAGGCCCTCCCACATGAGGCTCCCTTGACACCTGAATTTTGTAGGTGCCCAGAGGCCACAGGATGTAAGCTACCAAGGTTCCAAGCCTGCTATCATCAGCCTGGAAAAATTCCCTTAAATAATGAAGTAACAAAACAGTGGGAGAGCCTGGCAGGTACTACCCCAGGACGTCAATGTTTGCCTTGTACATCAACAGCACTAAGTGGCTGCTTGAAGCCATCATACTATTATTATTGCTATTATCATAATAGAATTATGGTAACCGACACTATTTATTGGTATAATTCTGAGCACAAGGTGCCATGAGGGGTGCATTTCTTACAATTACCTATTCCTCTAGGTAAGTCTAACAAATGCTATGATCTCCATTCTAGAAATGAAATTTATGGCTCTAGGAGATTAATAACTTGCCTCCAGTTACACAGCCGCTAGTGAGTGGCACAGCCTGTACTCCCATCCAAGACTGTCTGATTCCAAAGGCAAACTTATTCATCACCTGGCTAAACTTTGCTGCAATCTGTGGTGCTACGTATCTGGGTATTCCCCCTTCACATTGACCTGCAATGAGCAACTGAAAAGGATTTACCGCAAGTAAGAATCATACCATATTCTTGTCTTACAATTTGGAAAGTACTGTCTTATATACCACGTCATCTGATTCACATAGAAGCCCAGGGAGCTAGATGGAGCATTATCTCTATTTTATAGAAGAAGAAACTGAGTCTCAAGGGAGGTTGAGCAACTTGGAGATTTTATAAACCCATTTGCAATATTAATCATGTACTTGTCTGCATTTCCAACTGCTCTGGAACATCATTTTTTAGACCATTACGTCTTGTGTCTTAAAGTGTATCTAGTTATTTATATTTGTATTGCAGAATGGTTAACATAGAGCCTTCCCAGAAACATACTACTGAAAGGCAGGTGGTGTTTCCTTAAATCTTCTTCCAGGACTAAGTGTACATCATTTCCAAACAACCAAGAATAGTTTGGTGAATCCTGAAGTTCCAAACACTCATAAAGACACAGGATTTTTTGTTTGTTTGTTTCAAAATGTCAGTGCATTCATTGAATCCTAGCCTCTTTCCTGAATCGACAATGTATGTGTAAATTGCACTAAATTTTGAACCTTCTTTTTTCTAATTACAAGGCTGTTTGTAGTACTATAGAGTAGAACATGCAGAACTTTCTTATAATTTTTTAGTAACTATATCTAAATGCAATGTTAGCATAGCTCTGTATATGTCAGAAATGTATCTGTCAAGTTGCCCACACTTTCTATCCAATAAAAATGCATAAAAATATACATAATCTTTTGTTTATGGGCCTCACATAATGGGACTCTTTTCTCATTAGAAAAGGTGGCAACTATTTGCATGGTTATATTAGTGGTTAAATCTACTGGAACAACTGTAGCATGAAACAACAGGAATGAATCTCATAAGTACAAATGTGGAGCAAAAAATGCCCAGATATTAAAAAGTACATTAAATAGTATGATTCCATTAATACAAAGCTCCAAAGAGACAAACACTAATCTTTGATATTAAGCCAAGATGTCAAGATGGTAATTACCTTTGGGGTTTAGTGACTAGGAGGGACTTCCAGGGGCCTTCTATGGAATTGGCAGTTATCTGTTCTTTTGGTCTGGGTAGTGGTTACATAGGTATGTTCATTTTATTAAAAATCACTGATTTCTACATTTGTGATTTGTGCACTTTTCTCTCTGCATATGATACTTCAATAATAAGTTTCCGGAAAAAAATCCATGAACTCTCTAATTCCTTGCACCTTGACATCTATAACCAGCATTTTGATTCTTCCTCTGTCACCACTGCTTCACTTTGGAGCTTATCATTAGGAAGTGTTCCATCTCTATTTCTGAAATTCCTCATCTGACCTCAGCTACCTTATCTGCCCAATTTTGCATTTCCTTCCTGGCTACTGGAGGCAACGGCAAGGCAGGGTTTGAAAAAGTTCTGCCATTTACTCCTGTGGGTCTTTTTGTACACAGTTCACTCAATCTTAGTTTCAGGATCTCTATCTGTAAATTTGGGGTAGTAATGGTTACCTCATAAGTTTATGATTTATCTAATTTTTCCTATTATCACAAGGATAAAAAAATAATGTGTGCAACATGCAGCTAAAGCCTGGCACAAAAGCACCCTTGAGAACCTGACCTTGGCCCTCGACTTAACTCCTTCATTCAGCAAATGGCAAGCAGACATTTGCCCAGTCTGCTTGACTCTTTACCTAACATTAATTCCATCAACAGTAATTTAAAAACAACAATAACAACAGCAACAACAAAAAAACCGGTACTCACCACCACCTGAAAATTCCTGGAAATCTCCCATTGTTCATATTTTCTCTTCTGCTTCCATAGTTGAACAGCATAGAAACTAGATTGATTAGGTCTACCACAAATGCACTACTTTACCCTCAGCAAGGCCCTCAATCTGGGTTTACATCTCTCTACTGATTCTCCACAGTCATTATGTCAAGACATTTCCACTATTCACAAATTCCCATTCCCACTTCTATCCTCTAACTTTTAACCAAGAACACAACTTTCTACCTCACTGATGAGATAAAGGTCAATTTGAATTCCATCCACTTCACCACTTTGTGCTGTGGAGGCTTCTCTATCTCCGCTTTTAACCATCTGCTTCAGTGTCCTCCTGGTTCCTGCTCCTCTGTCTCCTCTAGTTTCTTGCAGGACCTCACCAATTTCAGTACTATCCTCACTCATTTACATCTTTACCCTCTTGCTCTCCATGGCTTTCATTGCTTCTACCTACATGTGCATTTATTTTTCTCCTATCCAACAACAACCTGAAAGCTTTTCTTTAGGCCCTGCTTCAATGATATTCTATCTTTCTCATTTTACTGTCAGCTTCCAGAAAAATAATTTTAAATTTTGTTTCCACTTCTGCACCAGCTCCTCACTCTGCACTGTCTCTGTCTCTGTCTCTCTCTCCCTCTCTTTCTCTCTCATCCCAATGGCCTTCTAAATGTGAAATTCAGTGGAGACTTCTTCTTAGTCCCCATTGTCATCTGTCACATTTGACTTAAATGCACTACGTCTATTTCGGCTACCACATTTGTTTTCGCACCTTCAAATGTTATTTTCATTTAGATGCCTCCCAAATCATTGTCCCCGATCTTTTACAAAAGTGCCACATCTGTATTTCCAACTGATCACTGCACAGCACCACACAATTATTCTACTTCTATAAACTCATCATAAGACAGCCCATCTTATGAATGAAACACTGTTTAGGGAAAATAGGGCATCAGATTTCCAGAACTGGCTATTTCACTAACTTACTGAGTGATCACAGGCAAGTTACTTACTCCCACTGGATTTTCTTCTACATGAAACAAAGGGATTGGGCATTATCATGATGCTCTTTATAGCTATACATTCTATAATGCAATATTTAAAAATGATTAAGTCTTCTCCACCTACAATCTACCAATCTCCCTAGGTTTTCCATACTTTTGTGAATGGCACCGTCTTTCTCCCAGTCACGTTGATTTAAAATCTCAGCTTTATCTTCAATTCCTCCATTTCTCTCAACTTCTACAACCCACCAGTTGGCAGGCTCCGGAGTTTCTATCTCAAAAATATCTATTGCATTCAGTGCCCTCTTTCCTTTTGTCTTATTATAAATTAGAGTTGAGTCTTCATTTGAATAACTAGGACTTCTGCAGTCACTCTCTTACTGGTCTCCATGTTTTTACACCGCATCAGATTGCTTTTCTTCATTTGTGACCCTTTTTACATCAAGTGCCAGCTCAAAAATATTTAGACGTCCACAAGTTTTCAAAGGTATCAAATAAAGACAACAAATAAAATCCCTTAATTTGGTGTACAGGGTTTGTGAAAACCCAGGTCTAACATCTCATGCTCTTATCATTTAGCTATTCTCTGTTTCAACCACAGAGACGGACTTATTACCAATACAAGTTCTGTTATTTTCAGCACATTGTCTTTGATCTATTTTTCCTGGATGATGTCTTCTATAATCCCTTATTGAAATTCTTGCCATTGATCAAGGCCTACATCAGGCTTCCTTGATTCCCATGCTGGATCTCCCTACTCAGAAACGCAGTCTATTGGGTGCCTCTGCTGCGGCCCTTTGTCATGATCCAAGCTGATTTTAAATGAGTTATGTCTGCTAATTTCTCCTACTATACTTGAGAATGGAGGCCTGTCACCTTTTATTCAGGAAAGTACTATTATTACTGGCTTGTGATAGATGAAGGATAAAAGAATAAATTAATTACTTAATATTGAACTTAGTATATGATTTTTAAAAAGTCATAGGGAATCTGTTATTAAGGAGTTACCAGGAAGACAAATTACTATCCAATGAGACAGTCAGAAAACAATATAAGATCTTCTGAAATAGCAACACCAAATTAAATTGCTTCTGCTTAGATTCGGATTTTGTCTCAGTACAGCTTTAAAGGAGCTGGAGGATATTAGACACAAATCACCCTGGTCCACCTTTTTCCTATGAATAAAATGTAGGCTTGTCAGGTTTAACCCAAAACAAACAAACAAACCAGACACCCAGTTAAATTTAAATTTCAGATAATACTTTTTTTCAGTTATTATACTACAATCAGTCTTTCTACTAAAAAAATTACCTGTTGTTTATCTGAAATTCAAATTTAACTAGGCATCCCATATTTTATCTAACAACCCTAAATAAGAAGACTATTTTTCATATCTCTATGAGTCTTGCTTCTCCAACATTCTATATTCAATAGGATTTTCACAGAAGGGAAAGATAAAACTGTGCTATTCCCTCTGCCTGCAGTTCTTTTCCTCTGGGTTTTTGCATTTTGATTTTAAGCTCAATTACAGACTTCTTAAGCTTTTCCTGGCCTCTTTATCTAAAACAGCACTTCCTTATCCCTCCAACCATCCCTTACGCTTTGCTTTCCAGTCACTCCTTATCCCATTATCTTGTTTCCATTGTCTGAAATTATCTTTTCACTCTTTTGGGCACATGGACTTGTCTGTCTCTTCAAGTCATTAGAGTGTCATCTTCTGAGAGAAGGGCATTCACTGTCATGTTCACTGCTGTACACCAGTACCTATAACAGTGCCTGGCACAGGAAAAGCTTAAATAGCCAAATAATACTCTAGGTGTTAAAATGAATTTTGTGAGCATTGAGGACTGAGGAGGTCCACAGAAAGAAAAGCTGAGTATGGGTTTATGTGATCAGGGAGAGCTTCTTGGAGGAAGTGGATTTTAGTAATGTCCTATAGCAGTAGTTTTAAAAGAAGGTGAGAATTTCTTGAATAAGGCGAGGGACATTTTCCAACCCTGTATGTCCCTGCTTTCCCCATTCTCCTCACTGGGTCTACGAGAATTTAGTGTGGGAGAGGAGCACTGTGTTTATTGTCAAAAGGCTTCCCAGATGATTCTGATATGACCCCTCTATGTCATTTGAAGACATCTACCTTAAAGGATGGGTAGAATTGGACTAAGTAGAAAGCATTGAGAATGGCATTATCCGCATGGAAAAATGTGACTTGAGCACAAAGAGAGGAAAAGGACCACTAAATATGAGGGACTGTTCAGATCAGAGCAGAGTTAAGGAGTTTAGGCTTTAGCTTATGGATGATGGAGAACATAGGAAAGATTTCCAGAAGGAAATGAAAGAGTAAAAATGGGAATTGATAGGTGTATTTTTACCAGGGTCAGAAAACCGTGATGTAGCAAACATGGTGGTCCACTTCTTAGTTTTGTAAATAAAGTTTTATTAGAACCCAGTCGTGCTCTTTTGTTTTATATTGCCTATGACTGCTTTTGCTGAAAATTCAGCACAATGCCTGTAATGTTTATCTCTTGTCAAACTCTACAAGCCCTTTAAAATTTTGCAGAAATGACCTCACTGACAAGATTGGACAAATTCATTTTGTAGGATGATTATATTAATATGCTTATTAACTCCTAAATACCTGAAAGGATTTTGTACATGTAGGTACTAGGTTAAATGCTGGGTTCTGTATCTTCCTGAATTGTGAGTCCTAGGTCTTGCTCATCATCTACCATATTTACGATATTCTATCTGCATGTGGTTCTGATAACATATTTCAGTGGTGTGATGGTGTCTTCTAACCTGACACAAAATAGAAAACTACTGTTATAAATAACCACATAAGCAAGTTCAAGTCTCTTCCCAAAACTGACATCTGATAGCTAGAGGTTTGGCATGAAGCTTGGTTCCCAGCAATAATACCAGACACATAAGCAGGCCAAGTGTCATGGTTAAGTTTCCCAGTAACTCCAAAAATATCCGCTCTTACCTGTTTTCCCATAAGGATACACAAATGCTAACCTCCATCCTTGTCACACTTCTAGTACTCTCTCAACTCTAAGGCTTACTTCTGGGAATGATCTAACATTTTATGCAAATAGCTAGAGTTTGGTTTCTTTGGATTCCTAAGAGCCTCCTTCTGGAAATGGTACTGTCTTGGATGGCTTTAAAGATTGGTCAAAGGGTACAAAGTTTCTGTTAGGAGGAATAAGCTATGGAAATCTATTGCACAGCACGGTGACTTTAGCTAACAATAAGGTATTGTATGCTTGAAAATTGCTGAGAGAGTAGATCTTAAATGTTCTTACCATAAACAAAAAGTCTATGAGGTGACAGATTATATTAACAAGCTTGATTTAATCATTTCACTGTGTGTGTGTATATATATATATATATACACACACACACATATATATATAAACATCATGCTATACACCATAAATATATATAATTTTTATTTGTCCATTATACCTTAATAAAGCAGGAGGGTAGGGGAAGAGATTCTAATTCCCTCCCAGCCCTGAGGGCAATGTGGAAGCAAAACTTCCTCTTGGCTACAGCAGATCAGGCAACATTTTCTCAAGAAATGTTTATCCAGGGTCTACTGTTCAAGGTGTTGTGGTTACAATGGTGAAAAAATAACCACTCATGAATGACTCGTGAATAAGTATTCTTAGTGCCTAAATGGAGCTATATTCCAACACAGGCAATTGAATTAGAGTGGTATGAACAGAGTGTGGGTAATATTTGGATGCCATGGAAACCCATAGGATGGGCATCTAGCAAGGTCTTGGGTCTTCTTAGAGGAAGTGGTTTCCAAGTGATAAACTGAAGGAGTTACACACAGATAGAGGTTGGGGAGGGAAACCTCAAGAAGAGCAGGTATGAAAGCCCAGAAAGAGAAGAGCACCAGTGTCTATGTTGACAGTGTTTTATAATTAATTGTCGATCATCTCAGCATAGCCAAAAAGCCTTATAGTAGATTCTAATCAATCTCTGATGTGTTGCACCAGAAAGCAAGCAAGAGCTTTTGCTTTTATTCCACTTTTTGTACTGCCACCAAATCTTTTTGTGAATGCTGACCAGTCACTTTATCTTTCGGAACATCAATTTCTCATTTGTCTGATGAGGTTAAGAATACCAGCCCTTGCAGGACTTTGTAGTAATTCAATGAGACTACATGTGGGAAAGTGCTTTGTAACCTCTAAAACACAAGAGATTACTATTCTAATTCCAGCCACCACCCAGGCCACTCCCTGTTTCCACCTCAATTGCCCATCCAGATTTGCTCAACAAATGAAAGCTAATTTTAATATCATCTGCTGACAGTAAATCAATCAGGTGATCAAAGCCAAAAGACCAGTTTATAGATTTTCCCAAGCCACATAACAAGACAGCGTATGTGGTGGTAACAGATGACAGTAAGATGACCATCAAGGACACATCTGTGGTTCTTTTTTATAAATGTGGAAATTAGTGCAGGGAAGAGTCTTGGGAATGTCACGCAGCTAGGAAGCTGATGCTCAGAGAGGCTGGTTTGTGGATGAACTGTGCTTTTCCATTGCCTCCTGTCTCCAAGGCCAGTGGGTCACTTCTGCTTCAGGCTCTTCTTGATTCCTCCAGAAATGAGTATAGGACAGAGCACTGCAATTTCGAAGCAGTTTAGCTTTCCCCATTTTCACCCAGTGATGCTGTGTTCTAATCTCTCTTTGCTTCTGGGCTTACTGTAGTTGAACAGTCCAAACCTCTGTGGTTTGAGAGGCTAATGGCCACCTCCTAAACAAAGTCAATAAGTTGGCTGAGCAGTAAGCTCCAAGATTTAGGAAGAGCTTTCTCTAGAGTTATAAAAGCCCAACGAACATGTTACTTATATCTCTCCCATCACAAAGTCATGACTTAGGAGAAGTTCAGCAGTAATCCCTTCAAGAAAAAGGTCTTTATAACTCGCATGGGTAGAATAACCTGGCATTTGGGAAAGCAACTCAATTATGCCTGCTGGGAGAAAAAGCTATAGGATGAATTCATGACCTAGTTTAGGTAGTATTTAAAATGAACTTTAGTATTTTTATGTAATTGTTACTATTCTATCATGAGATTACATTTATATGCTTGCAATATTTTTTCTCTAATCCTTCCTGAATTAAAAAAAATATGGACTGGCAATCTGGCATAGTTAGAAAAAAAAAAAAGCATTGTCCTAGCGGTAAGAAGCCTGGTGGTCTCGCCCCTGCTTTCCTGCTTATAGCCTTGAGGGTCCTGGCAAGTCATTAAGCCTCTCTGTGCCTCTGGTTCCTCCTCTGTGACATAGAGATAATATTACTAGTCCTTTTTTACCTCAGGATCAAATGGAGAGAAAATGACAACAACAAAATGAAAGTGAAAACGGTTTGAATATCATGATCTCTGACTCAGCCTCCAAGGCCCAAACCTCTTACAGGGCTGAGAATACAGGAGGCCCTTGGAAAATACTTGCTGATCAAATGAGAAGCTCCAAGTTGGATTTCTGAAATAATGAGAAATGAGAGCCCTTAAATTATTAAAAATTACCCATAGAAAAAAATCTGCTTCTCTAATATTGGTAATCTGGTGAATACTGCAGCCATGTGAGGCCTGGAATATACTCATAGCTGTACTATGGGCCTTTCATGAGCACGCAGGAACTTTTCTTCTAAGTGTCTCAGAGAGCCACACCGCATGCTCATATGTGTAAACACACACACACATACATACTGACTCTTTTTCGCTCTTTACTAGAGAGAATATGGAGCCTGTTTGTGATATTAATAGCTTAATCTTCAGAGCTCAGCCACTTAAATATTATTTATCAGTAATGCTATGTTTGGGTGAGAAACCCCAGTAAGAAAGTCAGAAAAACAGAGAATAGGCCATCTATGAAGAATAGACTTGGACACTGAAAACGGGACTGCATACGGCCAGCAGTGATTGCCTAATCCAGCCGGCATGGAGAGACTGCCCTGGCAGATAGTCACCTTCCTAATGGACCTCAGACCCTCTGGGAAATCAAAAACACAAGCCAGGGTAAAGATCTTGAGTTCAGGGTCTGCGTCCAATTCATCTTTGTAGTCACAGCTATACACACACTGTAGGCATCCAATAAATGTTAGATGAATGTATGAATAAGTGAGTGACTGGGGAATGGAAAGAATTCTGGACTGGTAGTTGGAGATGTGGATTCTGGTCCATCCTCTATTATCAGCTATGTAAGTGCACAGAAGTCACTCCAAATCGCCCTCCCTCACATGTGAAATGAGAAGGCTGGATAAATCAACAGTCCACAGTCAATAAAGTACAGTGAACTGGCCGATCTCTGAGCAAGGAGGTGCCACACTCTCCTCTCCACCTTAATGTGGTTTTCAGGTCCCTTGGTGGGCAAGGAGAAGTGAGTCCAGCCAGCAGTGATGTTCCAGGCTGCACCCAGGAATGCAGTGTGAGTCCTGACGAGGTGCCAGAATTAAATCGCTAATATTCATTTCCATGATCAGTATCTCAGGAAGTCTTAAAGGGGAACTAAAATCAACAAAAATTAATTTACTCAAGGCAGCTATTGGCTTTTGATGCCCACTCTGTTGAAGGGTGAGTCTGTCAACTCTGAGAATAAAATAGAACCTTTGAAAGTCTTTTCACATGGCTGAAGAAGGTAAAAACACGAACACCAGAGAGAAAGACATTCCCCTAGATGTCTGTGTTTGTGCAATAGTGCCAATTTTTCCAATATGCATTTTGTTTGGTTTTAATATTCATGCCATTATTAATTCATATTATAACATATATTTTTTCCTTATAATATTTACATTCTATAATGAAATTTGTTACTAAAAAGTCCTACAAATAAAGGCAGAAAAAAGCATTTGATAAAATTCAATTTCCCTTAATGATAAAAACTCTCAACACATTAGGCATAGAAGGTACAAACCTCAACACAAAACAGGCAAACACACAGCTAATGTCACAATGAGTGAGGAAAAGCTAAAAGCTTTTGGCCATTATCAGAAAGATAAAAAATAACAAAAGCCAGCAAGGATGTGGAGGAAAGCAAACTCTTATAAACTGTTGATGGGAAAGTAAGTTAGCACAGCTATTATGGAAAACGGTATGGAGGTTTTGCAACAAAGCTTAAATAGAATTACCATATTACAGTGATCCCACTACTGGGTATTTATCCAAGGGAAAATAAATCAATGTATTGGAGAGATATCTGCACCCCACGTTTATTGCAGCACTATTGACAATAGCCAAGATATGGAATTAGCCTAAATGTCCATCAGCAAATGAATGGATAAAGGAAATATGGCATATAATAATGGAATGCTATTCACTCATGAAAAGGAATGAAATTCTGTCATTTGCAGCAACATGGATGAGCTTGGAGGACATTAAGTAAAATAAGTCAGGTACAGAAAGACAAATACTGCAAGTTTCACTAATATCTGGAGGCTAAAAAACATTGAGCTCATAATAGAGAGTAGAATTATGGTTATTAGAAGCTAGGAAGATTAGTGGGAAGAGGAAGACAGAGAGTTTGGGTAAGGAATACAAAATTAGAGCTAGATAGGAAGAATAAGTTGTAGTTTTCTATTGCACTATGGGGTAAATATAGTTAATAACAATTTATTGTATACGTTCAAAGCTAGAAGAGAGGATTTTGAATGTTCCCAACACAAAGAAATGATAAATGTTTAAGGTGATGAATATGCTAATTACTCTGATTTGATCATTATGCAGTGTATACATATATAAAAATATCACTCTGTATCCCACAAATATATACAACTATTTGGTGTCAACTAAACTTTTTCCTTTTTTTAAAAAGGAAAAAAAGGTACCACAGAATGACTACTATGAGCACAGTACTTTCTACTTCACTAAATGTTTTCAGATCCATGTGAAAGACATTTCAGGTTACAGTGATGAGCTCAGAGGAACCTTTCAGGGTAGAAGGCTGAGTAGATGAAATCTCAAGTTCCACTGTATGGAACCTCTCCACAATTTTTCAGGGAATGTTTGTACAAGTGGAAAACTAAAAAAGATGTCAAGTGCAACACATACCTGACTTGCCACATAATGGGTTTAACAGGAGCATTCTGAGAGTAGGTGGCTAGTGGAAAGAACACAAGCTTTGAAGTCTTGGACTCAAGCCCAGGCCCTGCCCCATAAAAGTTGTGTGATCTTGCAAAGCAACTGTACTTACTTTTTTAAATGGACAGCAGTTAACTTATCTTTAAAACGAATGCAATAAAATCCCCCATAGGTTCAACTTAAAGATGTAAAAGACCCATGAAGTATCTGGCACATAGTAGGGGTTCCAGAAATGACAACCCTTCTCTTTTCCAGACAGCTTGGCCCTTCTGTGGTCTACTAGGTCCCCATCACTGAAGCAACTAAGTAAGGCCTATTAGGTAGTCAGGCAAGCTTCCTTTTCTCCCATTTCCACTTACCAAAATGTTTTCTCTTTCACCACTGGATATGCTCCTCCTCCTATTTTCAAAATTTCAATGAAGAGCCCCAGACAGCATAATATGACTATAGTGACTTTGGAGTAATCTTCAACTTGAGAACAAGAGTCAGCATGAGAACAAAAGTATATTGTTCTATTGATGAACTTTGTAAGTTATTAAATTAGCACAGTGCTATAGGATTTGCCACTCTCTTTTATATCATCTTAGTATGTATCTCAAGAGTTTATGATAAGGAGTGCACTTTGAAATGGTACCTACATTCATACAAATGATTAAAACAGCTTTGGGCAGACTTTTACATATAATAGGATAAGTAATAGGACAACCTTGTTCACCAACCTAGTCATATGTAAGGTAAGCAACCATAATGGACTAATGAATGAATAATGGACTAATAAATTGGATCATTTAACTTTACTACCTACACCATGATGAATTACACCATTCTAATGATTACTCCTAATCATTAGACCAGGCCCTCTGGTGCTTTGAATGTGTCCCCCAAAGCACATGTGTTGGAAACTTAATCCCCAATCAATAGTGTTGAGAGGTAGCACCTTTAAGGGGCAGAGTCCTTATGAATGGAGTAACATTATTATCATAGAAGTGGGTTAATTATCTGAGGAGTGAGCTGCAATGAATAATATATAATGAATAATATAATAAAAAGGACTTTTTGGATAAATGCATGAGAAAGTAAAAGCAAGGTAAAACCGCTCTCTTGAGGATCTCTTTTCATTCTTACTGTTTCAATATGCCATAGAAATAAAGCAATGCCATCCTTTTATTTGGCCTGGCTTCTTTAAGAGTTTGGGAATTACTTTTTAAAGTTTGTGGGTTTTTTGTAGAAATATAGTACGTAGGGATGTCTGCATGCTGATGAAATTCAAAAAAGCCTAAAACAATACCTTCGTTGTAGCACAATAAGTTACTTATAAAAGTACTGAACATGGGAAAGACCCAAGTGAAAACCTGAAATACAAACATCTATTCATGAAATGGGAAACAGTAAAGGGTCTTAGGTAATAATGGATTTTCTATCCTTATGGACCTTACACAAGATATCTGTCGAGGAAGCAAGTGAAACAGTTCCAAGAACACTTAGAAATGCAATCATTTTCCCCCGAGACTCTGAATCTGAATCTGTGTGAGTCTAATATTCAGCAAATGGTGATATGGCTAAGAGATGTATGAAAAGAGACACGAAGAGTCAAATGCCGATGGGCGATGACTCAAAAACAGAACTGTAGAACTTCCACAGAATCAAACAGCCTTGGAATGATTAAACTTAATTTCTAGCCTGAAAACAACTTCTTTCGAAAGGCAACTGTTTCTACATGCATCTTGTGTCACTGAATTTGAGGCTCTGGAAGGGTCACCTCACAGGTGGGTCCCTAACTTCTGACTAAAGAAGGGATACAGAATTATTATGCACATCATACATACTCCAAAAAATTTCGTGTAAGAGTTGGTGAAAAATTCACATGAATAAGAGCTGCTATGAATTATTGATGGTCTATTATGTACAAAATATTCATTGATTCAACAAATATGCGCCAGCCTCTCTTCTAAGTTCATGACAATGAACTGAAGTGACAAAAATCCTGACCTCATGGAGCTCATATGCCATTATTTAATAACACTCACACAATCCTAACCACAGCCACAGAAGGTTATTATTCCTATTTTGCAAATGAGGAACCTGAGATTTAAAAGAATTAAGTAACATGCCTAAGGTCACAAAGCTAGTAACTGATGAGCCAGAAGTCAAATCCAGTTCTGTGCAGCTCCTCAGTCTGACTTCATAGCTACTTTGCTACATTATCTCCTATTGGCAACAGAAAAAGAATTGCAATGAGGGTCAGCACATCAACTAAAAGAAGCTGAGCATTCTCCATAAAAGTATGCTTTCTTGTTTATCGTAAACAGACTACAGTTTACCAAGAAGTCAGCCCACTCCCTATCACGTGCCTACCAGTATGTAGGTCTCATTCATCCAGAATTTATTAATCAGGTATGTGCCAAGCATTAGGCCAGGTCCTGTGGATATCAAATAAGACATAGTTTTTGCCACCAATAAGTCTAGTGGGAAAGAAAAACATATAAATGGGTCATCATAACACAGCATGATAAGGCTGAGATAAAGATAAGCCCCGGATGCTCAGGAGAGTGCAGAAAACAAACAGCCCTAATAAGAGACGTTGACCTCTGAATTGGGTCTAAACCAGCGGGCATTAGCCTGATGAACAAAGGGGAATTGGAGTGGGAAAGTACTCAAGTGCACTGAGCAGAGAGGGCGACACGTGAAGGAAGTGAAAGACAGTATGGTGTTCGAGAAGTTGCAAGTATTTTAGTGTGAAGGATGGAGTGCCAGAGAGATGTTCCTGAAAATTGGCTATATTGTGCTGTATTTTAACAATGTGTGTGTTTAGAGGGTGCTGCAGAGAGGACAGAAACTGGAAAGTTGTACATAGAAATCTACTACTGAGCTGTGAAATATTTTTAATAGGTCTTTGCCAGCATTTATTTAAAACAACAAAAGAAAAGAATGGGAGCCGGGCACAGCGGCTCACTCCTGTAATCCCAGCACTTTGAAATGGGAGGATCACTTCAGGTCAAGAGTTCAAGACCAGCCTGGCCAACATGGTGAAACCCTGTCTCTACTGAAAATACAAAAATTAGCCAGGCATGGTGGTATGCACCTGTAGTTGTAGCTACATGAGAGGCTGAGCCAGGAGAATTGTTTGAACCTGGGCAGTGGATGTTGAAGTGAGCCGAGATTGCACTACTGCACTCATGACAGAGTGAGACTCCGTCAGAAAACAAAAAACAAAACAAAACAAAAAGAATAGAATGGAATAAAATATAATAGAATAGAAAATATCAAGTAAAGCATATATAGTAAAGGTAAGTATTATTTCACAAAACACACAGACATGTGGGGCTGAGTCTTAATGTAAAATATATGTTTTATTGTGAGTCATGATCAAAAAAGTTTGAAAGCCACTAATCTAGTCTGCCCCTACCAAGGGCCTGTCCCCTTTGAACTCTATCCAACAGGATTCCCTTGGACCTACTATTTATTCCTGCTGGGAGATAAAGAAAAGCCACTAGGAACAAACCTGTCCCAGGTTCTTAAACACTTCCCCTACTTCGAAGTCCCTGATCTACTTCTAAATCTCAAGTGGCCATACACATAAACTCCAATGATCAGGGCCTATTTCTCATAAGCAATTAATATTTCAGTTTTAAAGAAGTGAGGAAAATATACACACAAAATGAAGCTTCAAATGATTTCAACAAAGTCTGGGGCCTGTGAAAGGTTCTCTGAGCCAGCTATGTTTTCCACCAAATGAATCACTCAGGTACAGAGCCAGGCATGAGTCATGAAACACATCCTATGCAATATCTTTCTCTTTTTTTCTTTTACTGAGAGATTTTCCCTGAAAATTCTTTTTGGATTTCATTCCTCCCCTTTCTCTTTTAATGTAGTCAGTCTCTTAACCGTGTCTCTCCTCTTTGATTTTCCCTTTACTGTGTGTTTTTTTCTCCTCTTTTGCTGGAACATACTGAATTAATAAAAAAAATAGCTAATATAACAAAAAAATACAGATAAAATACAGATAGACAAGAAAAAAACTTAAGATTTATTGCTTATTTCTTTTATCTCTTTTACTGACCTGTTTGCAAAGCACAGGCATCAGAGAGAAACCTGATAGAAATGGTAGAATAAATACTTCTTACCTAAATTATTTGGCTAATTTGGGCTACGAAGATAGTGAAGACTGACTTTAGAAAACCAAAAAAATTCACTTTGGGTCTAAATTAATTAGATTTGATGGCCAATATCAGTAGAATCAATTAGAAAATTGTGTTTTGTGGGTCAGCACATACATATGTCCATGAATAAACAATCAGAAGTTGATATTAGAAATGACTGATTATCTCTTAAGCCATAATGATTTATCCTTCTCTAATGCTAGATATATCTTCTCTGAGCTACAAAAACACCAACTTTGTTGAGAGAAGCCCAAATAAAATCACAGATTTTTTTTTTTAATTTTAATTGAGACGGAGTATTGCTGTGTCACCCAGGGTGGAGTGCAATGGTGCAATCTTGGCTCACTGCAACCACCGCCTCCTGGGTTCAAGTGATTCTCCTGCCTCAGCCTCCTGAGTAGCTGGGATTACAGGCACCTGCCACCACACCTGGCTAATTTTTGTATTTTTAGTAGAGATGAGGTTTCACCATGTTGGCCAGGCTGGTCAGGAACTCCTGATTTCAGGGGACTTGCCCAGCTTGGCCTCCCAAAGTGCTGGGATTACAGGCATGAGCCACCATGTCCGGCCACAGAGCTTTTTGAACCTGAGATAAATCTTAGAGATTATCTGATCTGGAGTTCTCAACCAGTTTTATATGGTTGAGAACAACAACAACAAAATCACATACCTAGCCTTTATGCAGATTCAGGTGGCCCTTTTGTTGAGATTCTATGCTTTTTGTATGTCTATTGGCTGAGAAGATTTTGTTAAAGTTTATTTTCTTGGTTTCTAAAGATTTTTCTGAAGATTTTGTGTGTGTGTTTTAAATAGAAGATGCAATGTTGAATATGCTTTAATAAACTATGTAACTAACTTGGGAATCACTTGCTGAATATGGTTTAATAAACTATAAACTAACTTGGGAATCACTGATGAAGCCCAAATCCCCATTTTGCAGACACGGAGGATGAATTCTAGAGATGGTAAATGATTTCAGCTCAGACTCTATCTTCCATAAACTCAGTACGGTACATGCAATGCACATAGTAGATGCTCAATAAATATTCAGTTTACCCACCTTTTAAATGGCCATAAAGGAAAGGAATGAGCCAAAAAAAGTGAATGACAAAAAATAAGTCATCGAGCTACAATACCACGGCAAATATTTGCTTGGGAGGGTGATTTTCCAGGGGATTTCAGAATTTGCCCTTCATTTCTGTCACATTTTAGTTACTCTGCCAAGAGCTCCACAGCAAATGACTGCTGCACGTGAGGAGACACTTGTCCAAGCAAGCGGTGTAAAAACAAAGCTGCTTTGTTTAGAGTGCCCCAGTGCTTCTCCCTCCCTCCCCGCCTGACCTCAAGGACCTCAAAAAAGGTCATTTTGTGATGCTTTAGTGTGTCCATGAATAAACTTGAATCATCATGTGTCACAATCAGAACCACTAAGCCAAATGCCATGGACCCAATTACCATGCAATCCCCAAATGGGTTATAATGGCAGGTCTGGGCTGCTGGGTCACCAGGCTATTACAGCTGGGTTTGTTTTTCAACTTACTTCCAGGGAGCTCTGGCCCTTTGCAAACATTCGTACTAAAGTCATTGGAAAATATCTTAAATTCATTCAAACTTCCTTAGGATAGAAAAACAATAGAAGTATTTATGTTACTTTTCAAATCATGTAGAATTAGTGTCTTAGGGAGTCTTAGGCACAGATCATATCTAAAGAGATAGTGGGAAGGAGGAGGTAGAGATAATTATGTAAATAATTTGGAGAGTTAAAACAATAAGAACAGTGTACGATATGTAGGCAGGTATTTGGATTACGTGTGTTCACTGATTACAGTGATCAAAATCATGGAATACCTGTTCAACTTTCCAGCTGACATTTAATAGCCACCATTTAATGAGTATCTACTACTTGGCAGGCATATACTTGGTGCTTTATATGCATTATTCTGTCATTTTTACAATAACCATGCAAAGTCAGTATTATTAAACTCATCTTTCAAGCTGGTAAGTAGCAAAGCTGTGATTTATATCCATTGTTATCTGTCTCCAGATAATGACTTGGCCTTCAAAGGCAAAAGTATAATTCTAAACCCTCGCTTTGCCACTCAGTAGCTATGAGATCTTGGGTTGCTTAGACTCTCTCCATCTCATTGTTTTTTATCTTCAAAATGGGGCTAATGATAATCTCTGCCTAAGAATGTGTTACATATGAAATAGATATATAAAACACTATTCAGCAAAGATAAACATTCACCAACTATTGGCTATTATTACTATTGTAGTGATAGTCAAGCCTGTTAAAGGTCATTTAATTTTTCTTATCCTTAATAGGAAAAGAAGAGAAAATAAATCAAACAATTAGAGCACATCTATTCAATGTTTCTTAAACTTCGATTTATACAAGAATCATCTGGGGCTTTATTTAAAAATGCAGATTCCCCAGGCGCTAATGGAAATTAACATCTCATGTTCAATCTTAATGAGTACCATTTGGCTCTAATTATGTGCAGAATGCGTGAATGGCTCCATGCAAATCCATATATCCCTCATTTATGAAAAAAACAATTCACAGGCTACAACCACCTAAAAGTAGGACAACATAAGGAGCTTATTATCAGTATACTCACAAATAATCTACACAGTTAAGATACTCGGATATTGAAACTAAAATTTTCATATTGACCTCAATTATCTGGGAATTTGTTTTAAAAGTCAAATCTCAATTCATAATTACATGGTGGGAAAAAAAAACAGGTCATTATTGCCAGTCCTTGGAGCCCATGGAGTGCAGCTTATGCTGTCACATGTGTCAGCACATTTGACTTCAGGGGAAATTCTCTTAACATAGGTCACCAGGCTTGCAAAAAACCAACAAACCATAAACTTGACTCTGTAACAGGATGTTTGCTTTCAAAAGAGGGAAATAATAAAATCTATTAATTCCATAATTCCCCCACAATTAGTGTCTCATTTTGAGAACATGGGAGAGTAGAAACCGGTCTAAATATAGTTGGAAATAAAATCCATTTGTTTTCTAAGTAACATCTATAGAAAGGTGACAACATGTGACAACAAATGGATATATACAACAGCTTGATCCAGCAGAGATGTTGGCTGATTTGCCATTATACTGTACTTGTTAAAAGAGCCTAGTATCTAGAGTCAGACTGCCTGGATTCCACTCTTGGCTGCTCTGCTTGTTAGCTTCTTGGTCTGAGAAAAATTATTTAACCTCCCTAAAGCTCACTTTTCTTATCTGTAGTATGAGATCATAAGGATTCCTATCTCACTGGTTTGTTTTAAAGATGAAGGGAAATACTACATATAAAAGCACTTAGCCCACAGCCTGATATAAAAGACATGCTCAGTAAATGTTAGCTATTGCTATTTGTTGTCAACCTAAAGCTTTCTGTGTCAAGTAAAGATTTTGCATCCCTTCTTCATTTATGAGCTCTTGGCAGTGGGGAGAGCTGATGGTGATTTCTTAGGTAGAGGAGGTACCCTGGTCACTGAGAGGAACCTGGAAAGCTGTGAGGTAGAAGACAAAGCATCCAGTTTGGACCTCTTCCAGAATTGAGGCTTAAAGTCAGCCATCAATTTCTTCATCCTTCTGATGAGTGGTTGTAGTTCACTCTAGATATTATTCTTTCATGGAGCCATGGTTTCTGCTTCTGAGCAGGGATTGAGGGGTAGCCTGGTGGGTGGAAGGTTTCTTGTGGCCAAGTCCCCAAGGCAGCTTCATGAAAGTACATAAAGTGCTAGCATACTAGTAAGGGATAATAGTGTACTTGATTATTACTCCTGGCATTGGAAATTATCCCTGCTTCCACATGAAGCACCAATTAAGTCAGGCCACTGAAGTCTGATTGCTGAATGCTGTGGAAAATCCATTTGCATTTTGGGTTAGATTCACTTTATATTCATAATTTAAAATCTCAGAGGAACTCTCAGTCTTGCCTGGAAGTTCCACTGAATACTTTCTATCCCAACTGTGTCCTAGCTTCTCTCCTCAAATGTCCCTCTTGACTCCCCTTCCACAATGTAGACCATCAGATGAGACTCTCTCAGTTTTGATACAGTGTACGTACAAACCTACTCATAAGGTTACTAAGAGGATTGAGTTAATAAATGAAACTTACTTAGAACATTACCTGGTACACATCAATAAATATAAGCTATGGTGATGATGATTATCACCTCCACTTACACCCACATCTTCCCTTCTTCTTCTTTCACCAGGTGTCCCTGCTGTTAACAAAGGCCAACACCTCAACCTGCTTTCTGGGTCCCACTGCCCTTCACCCCTTCTAGATCTGTGCAACTCTTAAAACTTATCTCTCTGCCTAATCTTTTCTCTGCTGTGTTGATATCTCTTCTTGGCTACATCAGATCACTGAAAATTAACATCTAAAACCAAACTCCTGAGTTTTTCCTCAATCCACCTTTCAATGTTCCCTCTTTTAACATTTTCAACTTAGTCATTGGCATTAATACTCACTCAGTGGTTCAAGCCAGAAGCCTGGATTTCATTCTTGAATCTTTTCTCTCCCTTACTATTTCTACTTTCAGTCCCTCCCCATCTAATTTATCAGCATCATCTTATCTATTTCACCTACAGAATATATTACACATCGGTCCACTTCCCTCACTTCCTCCTGCTACCATTCTTGATTAGGCAAGCATCACCTCTTGCTCAGACTTCTTCAACATTCCCCTCATATCCTCTCTTTCCAATCCAATTTATTACACATTGAAATCTGAGTTACATTTTTAAAAATATATATATATATATATAACATTTTCTCTTCTCCATTTTTTTCAGTGGCTGCCCAATTTGCTTTAATATAATCCAAATAGCTTACCACCACCTACAAGATCCTGCGAGACCTGGCCCTGTCTATATGCCACCAACCCCATTTTTCACCACTCACTCCTAGCTCACTCTGTTCCAGCCACACCGGCCTTCTTTCTCAAATATACCTTTCTCAAGACCTTTGAATATTATGTTTCCCATCCTGGAATAGTCTCCTTTTTCCTTCTTATCTTTCTAGATTCCATAGAAATATCACCTCCTTGGACAGACCTTTTCCCATTTTTCCATCTGAGCAATACCGTGCCCTTTTAATATCCTTTGAAGCACTTATCAAAATCTATTTATTTTCCTGTTTATAGTCTGTCTCTCCCTCCTGGTCCAAAAGAGAGGAAGTCCATTTCTTTTCTTTTTTTCTTTCTTGAGACAGGTCTTGCTCTGTCACTCAGGTTGGAAAGCAGAGACACCATCATGGCTCATTGTAGCCTCTAACTACTGGGCTCAAGGGATCCTCCTGCCTCAGCCTCCTGAGAGGCTGAGATCACAGGCATGTGTCACTGCCCCTGGCTATTTTATTTTTATTTTTATTGTTTTGTAGACCCAGGTATATGTTGCCCAGTCTTCCATTTCTATTTTATTCACCACTGCCTAGCAAAATGTCTGGCACATAGTAGAATCTACATAAATACTTCCTCAATAAATAAATGAATAAACAAGCAGCCATCAAAGTATTAATCTGTGCAGTTGAAACCACAGAACTAAAGCAGAGCTTTGGTCAAGCTCACTTAAAAAGCTGGATCATGACAAATTATTCTCCCAGAAACTGGTGCCAAGTCCTGCTGATGGTGGAGCATCTTGTGACTGTGACCTGATCCTTCTTTCCTCCAGCTTTTGCAGATTATATGCCTTCTCTGTGAACTCCTTATCACTGCCATTTAATTCCACTAAGGTACAATTTTGTTCCTTGTCCTTGATGAAGCTCTTCCCCATATTTCTAGCCCACAAACCCATATTTCTAGCTTGAGCTTCAGAAAACCTGTAACACCCAATTAATAATTATATTCCATTCTGTGTATTTATAGTAAGCCAGGCGCTAGTTTAGGAAATGGGGGTCAAACTTCACGTTCTTTAACATTTATTCAGCGTCATTTGTAGCAGGCTATATAAGGCATTTTAAAACTATTTTCATAGAACACACTATGTACCAGGCCCTAGTCTAAGAACTATACAAATATTCATTTAATCCTCATAACAAACTGAAAAAGTAGGTTTGTGATATGGTTTGGATGTCCCACCTAACTCTCAGGTTGGAATGTAATCCTCAGTGTTGGAGGTGGGGCCTGGTTGAAAGTGACTGAATCATGTGGTTGGTTTTCTCATCAATGGTTTAGCACCATTCCCTTGGTGGTGTGTTTGCGGTAGTGAGTGATTTCTCATAAGATCTGGCTATTTAAAAGTGTGGCACCTTGCCCTCTCTCTCTTGCCCCTGCTCTGGCTGTGTGTCATGCCTGCTTCCCCTTCACCTTCTGCCATGACTGTTAAGTTTCCTCAGGTATCCCCAGAAGCCAAGCAGATGACATTATTATGCTTCCTGTAGGCCATCATACAGAACTGTGAGTCAACGAAACCTCTTTTCTTTATAAATTACCTAACCTTTGGTATTTCTTTACGGCAATGCAATAATGGGCTAATACAGTTTTTTGTTTTGTTTTTTTAGAGACAGGGTCTTACTCTGTCACCCAGGCTGGAGTGCAGTGGCACAATCATAGCTCACTGCCATCTCCAACTCCTGGACTCAAGTCATCCTCCTGCCTCAGCCTCCCAAGTAGCTAGGACTTACAAGTACACACCACCATGCTCAGCTACTTTTATAAAGTTTTGTTTTGTAGGTATAAGGTCTTGTTATGTTGCCCAGGCTGCTCTCAAACTCCTGGCCTCAAGAAATCCTCCCACCTCAGCCTCCAAAAATCCATGAGCCACTATGCCTAGCCTAAAACGTAGGCGATATTATTGTCCTTATTTGCTGGTGTGGGAAACAGAGGCAAAGACAAGTTATTTGCTCAAAATCACAGAGCTAATGATTGCCAGGCCAGAATTTGGGCCCAGGCAAGGAAAGTCTGGAGTCTTCCTCCTCACCCTCCGTTCTAGTCAACCTCTCAGCTCCTTTAAAGCAGGTGTGATTCCTCCTGTTTCACCAAGAGGAACGCTGGACTCAGAAGTTAACTTTGCTAGGATTACAGCTAATTTTATGTGTTCAACATCAAATATTTGTGGAGTGCCTACTAAATGTTGGGCACTGTGCTGGGTTCTGAGATACGCAGTGTTTAAACAGACTTTGCCCTCAGGGAGTTTACAATCCACCTAATACACAGGCAATGTGTGATTAAGACTTGTGAGTTTCTGATGTCAAAACTCATGACCTTTCTATTATCTCTAATAGAGTGAGATCGAATTGTTTGGATTCGAAGATGGAGGCTCCACTCGCCAGTTGTGGGGGCAGGACAGCTCTGAAAGTCTTCACTGAGAAGAAAACCACCATCCACTTTAATTGTTAGTTAATATGTAAATGTGTCACATTTAAATATTATCCCCACCTGCATTCACTATAATCCCTCTGAGGACTGGGACTGTAATTTAGAACCCTGCTACACACATAGTCAGTGTCTAATAATGGCATTTTGAATGTGTTGTGACTGGCTGAATTCTTATAACAGCTAACAAACCTGGCAGTTAGTGTTGCTACGTTTAAGATTTCTTCAAGTTTCTTCAAGCTTGAACATTAATTACCATGGGGGGGCATACATTAGCTTTTCTTGGCTCTTTGGGGACAGTGACTGAAAGACTGAATATTAAAGGGTATTCAGAATATTCTCTTTATTACATGGGCTAAGTCTTGTGAACTTCTAGATTCAATATTGTCCTCCCTAAGGAAGCTCCCTCACGACCCCATCCACTTGCTACCAGGCCCTCCAGAACGAAGAGTCCTGACCCTGTGACCACAAGTTTTCCCATGTTTATGTTGCCAAAATAGGCAAACTGTGAATTCTCACATTTTTCACCAATGTGATGGGAAGCAGCAGGGCCTTGGTCCTAGGAAATGATGAAAAACCAACCCAAATGTATACAGAGCAAACACCACTGTTTGCCATGCTGTCTTGTTTGTTTTGGGGAATGTGGATTTATTAATAATAATGTTTCACAATGTGGCAGTCACATCTGCACCACAAAATATCAGTCATAGAAAGTAATGCAGGAAAAACCCCATTAAATCACCTAGTCCTGCATCTGCCAAGGCCACAGGCTATGTTTCTGCCTTTTGAGTTTTAATAGCATTTCAAAATAAAAGATGAAATGTTAGGTGCACTCCCTCACCTGTGATTCATAATTAGTATTAATGATGGGGCTCATGACGAGAAAATGTAAAACAAAACATACAAAAAGTTCCAACTCCTCAAAGTTTCAGTTTATAACCCTGAGTAGGCCATTCCCCCAATTTTACAAAGAAAGGAAAATTGACTAGTAGACTTCAATTACCAGAAGCACATGGCATCTTCTATGGAGACTCATGGGCCAAGGAAAAGAAAAATCATGTTTATTTATTTAGCACTTATTTATTTAACCTTCTAGCTGGGTTTGGTTGTTGGATCTGGTTTTACATCCTGAATTACGAAGTTTATGATGGGAAAGTGTGTCAGCTGTTTGCTGAAGGAAAGGAAGTCCTCTATTCTTTGTCTTCTCTTGTTCATAGAATCAAGCATCCTAAATGATTGTTTAGAGAAGTTAAAATATGGTACAATTAGGAGCCTTACCCTAGTTTGGCTTCATTGTCAACACCTTTGGTTCTTTCTTCCTGACAGTGCCTTTGGTAAGCTCTTGTTACTTCCTGCCTGCAGCATTGTACAGCTCTTTTCTTGGTTCCTGTCACTCCTCTAATCCGTCTGGGCAACTGCTGCTTGAGTCAGGATCAGCTAAGATATATATACCATGGAATACTACTCAGCCATAAAAATAATGAAATGGTATCTTTCACAGCAACATGAGTGGAACTGGAGGCCACTAGCCTCAGTGAATTAACTCAGAAACAGAAAATCAAATACTGCATGTTTTCACTTATAAGTGGGAGTTAAACAGTGGACACATGGACATATAGAGTGAAATAATGGCTGTTGGAGACTACAAAAGGTGGAAGGGTAAGGGGGTGTGAGAGTTGAAAATTTCTTAATGGGTACAATGTTCACTATTTGGGTGATGGATACAATAAAGGCCCACAGACTTCATCACTATGCAATATATTCATGTAAGAAGCCTGCACTTGTACCCCCTAAATATATTTTTAAAAATCAAAAGTTAAAAACAAATAAATAATGCTGCTAATAACATTTGTGTTCGACTTTGTGGAACATATATTGAAAGACTATACGTCTTCAATTTGTGTTGTGTAGATATCTAAGAGTGGAATTGGTGGGTCATATGGGTAAATTTACGTTTACCTTTTTAAGAACTCACAGAGTTGTTTTGAGGCTTAAACATTACAAGGAAATGCCCTACCACCATGCTATTCAGAGAGTAATGATCAATAAACATTGTTGTTGTGATTGTTGCTCTTGTCGTAATTTCATCTTGCTTGCTATATAGATGAGGAGGCTAAAGCTCAGAAATGATTATGAACTTGCTCAAGATCACACAAGTAATCCCAATTCATCAATCTCTGTTATGTTTTCTGATTCCAAGCCTGAATCTGCTTCCTGTCACTGTAGCCAAAACCACATTAACCATCCCAAGAAGCACTGCTTTGATAATGTATTTCCCTGATGAACAAATATCAGTGGCTCCTCGCTGCACACAAAATAAAATCTTGGAAGGTATGCAAAGCCCTTTTTTCTTTGCCCAGCCATCTTTCCTGTCTAATGTCCTGCATATCCCTACACCCTATCCTTTCTTCACTAATCCCCTAGGGTGACTTTCATTCCAATAACTAAGCAATTAAACCTATACTTTTTCATCTGCATACTTTATTTTTTTGAGATGGGGTCTTGTTTTGTTGCCCAGTAGGAGTGAAGTGGTTATTCACTGCAATGATCTTGGTGCACTACAGCTTCAAACTCCTGGGCTCAAGCAATCCTCCTGCCTCAGCCTCCTGAGTAGATCGAACTACAGGTATGCACCACTGCACCTGGCTGGCCTCCATTTGTTTGAGCATGGTCTGCCCTCTTAAAAACTATTTCTCACTTTGCCTTATGAAATACTATCTATTCTTTAAGGCAGAGTTCAAATCATATATCTTATACCTTCCTTGTCCTAGTCATGGTCAGAATTAATATGTAGTCTCCTAATCCACTTGGTTATAATAGGTGCTCAAAGAATATGCTAACTTGAGCTGAAATGGCTGAACACTTGGCGTATAATGAATGACCGAGCTATGGGAAATACTAATTTTTAAAATTTAATAAAATCCAATTTATAAATTTCCTAGGTACAGCTCAGTACAGAGTGTTATTTGTACTTAGGATAGGATCTTGCTCCCAACTACCTGCCTTCCTGTGTCCTTCCAGAGCACTTTATTCATGCTTCTGAAAAATTCTTATTACACTGCGTTATAAATCAAGTTATGTTTGTCTGCCCCACGACTGTTAACTCTCCCAAAGAAGAAACCATGTTTTATTCATTTCTGTATCTCCATTATCCAGCATTACCCAGGCATAATGCCTGATTCATGTTGTGGTGAGTACTCGCCAGGTGCTTTTAGGGTGAATGAATGAGTCAATGAGAAAGTGGTGAATGAATCTCTCTCTCTCTCTTTCTCTCGCTCTCTCTCCCTTCTCTCTCTCTGACACAGAAAACCCATTAAAAGTAAGCAGTACTCTCTTGTCTGACATCAGAGTTCTAAAAGACATTTATCATTTAAGAAAGAGAAGAATCTTCTTTTTGGTGTGTTGTTAACCCCACCTCCTCCAGGATGGCTCATATGATTAAGTTAGCAAGCATATGTGTGAGATATCTTCCTCTCAGTTCCTCAATACTTTCTATACAAGGGCCACAGAAAAAGAAAGAAGAGAAATATTGAAAGAGAAAAAAAATTCCAAATTATACTTACGCAAGCTCTAAAACATGGTAATTTTTTAAAAAGTTGTAAAAATTCTGGATTCTACCAAGGATCCATCAGAGGGCTTTGCGCATAGTAGAAACATTGTAAATATGTGTTGAATAATTGGATCCAACAAACATTTATTAAGTGCCAGCAAACAAGACCCAGTTGCAACCTTCTAAGACTCCTGACACAAGGGGACTGACATACATATATACATATATATATACATATATACACATATATATATAATAGTAACAATAACGGCAATGATGTATTTGGTCTTTCCTCTATAATTGGCACTATTTTAAATGTTTTACAGAAGCAACAAATTTAATCCTTAAAACAACTCTAAGAGGAAAATTTTAAAGATGAAGAAAATGAGGATGAAGCAACTGAGGTATGCAGAAAGTTTAAGAAATGATTAGTCTAAAAATAGTAGAACTGGGATCTAAATCCAGGCAGTGTGGCTCCAGAATCTCCTTATGAAAATGCTTTTAAGCTTAGGTCAGGCACCATGTCCCCTTCCTTTTTATTTTCCCAGCACTCATAAGCACTCAATGAATGTTTGCTAATGAACTGTGCCAATGACAAGGCTAACAGGGATTATAAAAATAATAAAGATACACTTTGTTATGAAACAATAGTATGGCCTCTTGTCAGGGTAGGAGAGGTGGAAGAAGCCTAGGTTTTGGAGTTAGACCAAAGAGACCTAGGCTTGAATTCCAGATTCTTACTGAGGGGCTGTTTCCTCCGTGACAAAGAATTATCCATGTCAACACCCACACACCACTATTTTTGGGCCAGGAGCCATTATAGAAATCTGAAGTAAGATTGAATTCTAAGACTCAAAGACTCAAAATAATTTAAACTAAAGATGACTGAGTCTAGAAAGGTTAAAGGATTTACTTCTGGTTACACACCTGGTTGGTGCCAGTACTGAAATTTAGGTTTCCTGAGTTTCAGCTCAGTGCTCTTTCATTTAAGTCACACAGTTTCACTTAAGGTAGGGAAGCTGAACAAAGCATCATAAGAAGCAAATTATTCAAAATGGGACTTTCCAGAGCCAGCCTAGAGTTGGATGGCTGCCTCCTTGTGTTCAAGCAAGACACACCTCAGTTTCACTACTGATCTGAAATCTAATTCTCTCTCCTTGTGATGTCAGAGGCTGGGGGTGTCTTTTAAGCAGTGAGTAATGCACTGGAGATATGTCTCCCACAGCTCTGTTACGTCCTAAAAATTCTCCCCTGCCTCTTTTCCCTGCCAGGATGGCTTACTCAAAACCCAAAAGTCTTTCAGGGAAGGAGACTTATTCCTAGAAGAGAGGAAGACACTGCCACCTCCCTATTGGCTCAGTTATTCCCATGAGGGAAAACTAAAGCTTGAAATGTATTTTCTTCTAAATTCTCTCTAGTTCTAGAATCTGGAGGAAAAAAAAACAGATTAAATGTTGCTGAAGAACAAGTTGGTATTGTTCAGAGACAGCTGAGAGTGATTGGAACCACAGATGTAAACACCATCTCAAGGGTGTACGTACCTTCAACGCAGGTACCTGTGTGGGCATCACATGCACCTTTACTTACTGGACAGCACAGAGAGCTCATGCCAAGTACACAGGCTTCTGAGCCAAACAAGGCAGTGTTCACATCCTAACTCTACTGCTTACTAGCTGAGTGTCTTTATGGTTCCGATCCTAGGTCTGTCTGTTACAAGCTGAGTGAGTGTCTTTATACTACTAGTTACATTCATGGAGGCATAGTTTTATTGGTTAAAAAAAATGGGATAATGATATTGACTTAATAGAAGGTTGTTGAGGATAAAAACAGATCTCCTTTGCAGAGTACCTAATAGAAAATCTGATACTTAGCAGGGGTTTGATATTGTGATAACACCTCCTCCCCCATGCCTTGTATTTGAAACAAATGCTTTATGGACAGACCTCTGAAAACAAGCAAAATACTTTAGGGGCAGTGTAGAACTGAAACTGATTTACCAAAACACAGTTCCATCATATATGCTCCTAACACAAGAAAAATCTCAGAAGTGATTGAATCCACCCTTCTTCCGAATGAGGAAAACCCATGTTAAACTTCCTACATATGTCTAGGCAAGTGATCTTCTAGCAAGGGAATGCAGAACAAATCACCTCCCAGAGAAACCCACTCCATTTTCTTCCAGATCTCTAGTGGGTTAAAAGGCTCACTGAGGCAAAAACCTCTCCTATAATTCCCACTCACTGTTACTTGTCTTTGCCCTCTGCTCTCGCAGCACAGAAGGGAGAAAAGGTAATATTTCCCAAAAACTGTTCCCTGTTAAAGATTAGATGGAATCCCCTCCACAGAAACTTGAGGAGTGGGGCAATAAGTAATCCATCAACAAATTTAGAAAAGGGAATTGTAGAAGCATGTTCCACTTCTGCAGAAGCAGAGGGAGTAATGTGTTTTTACAACTGGAGTAAAAGTATCAGCAGTAGGTTTAGTTTAGTAATTTGCTGGGAGCAATTCTTTATCAGAAGATAAATAAGAGTGAGCAGGAAACTGCACTTGGAAGGCCAGTCCATAAGCATAGATACCCAGGCCTGTGAACTATCTGTGCCATGCTGCCTGTGATGCCCGTGCAGGTACCTGAGTTAAAGCTATGTACACCCTGGTGACGATGTTTACGTCTGCTGTGCCAGTCACTCTCAGCTTTCTCTGGACAACACCCTCTTGTTCCTGAGCTACATTTAATCTGCTATTTTCTCTAGATTCTAAACTCAATAGGCCTAAAATATTCAAGACCAGAGGCAGGAGCCAAATGTCTTTAAAAGACTTACCGGAAACATAGGAATACGGAGGTGCAATCAGAACTTCGGCATTGTGGCTTTAGAAGGGGGCCTGGTGCCAATGTGCTCTGCAAAGAGGCTGGAGGAATTTTTAGTGACAGGAATACAAGACTCACAGGGAAATGGAGATAAGTTTTAATATCCAGGTGTGAGAAGGAAGGGCGTCTCAAGGATAACCTGGCAAATTGGATTCACATTCAAATTTCCAATTTGTTTTTACAGGGAATAAAGTTTCATACTCAACTCTGTGGAAATGTACATAAAGAATGCTCCAACCTCACTCCTACCTCCCCTGAGATATTTCTGGTCCAAATTAACTTCTTTTAAAGATATTTCCCTCCATTGAGTTTAAGATAATCAGTTGTGTGTTCCAGATACTAGGCACAAATTGATTGGCATTCGTGTAAAGCAAAAGCCCAAGATTTTCTCTTCTCTCATGTCTGCTCAGTAGAGAGAATGGTGATGTGTTTGTGTGGCCACCAATATTTAACAGGTGTGCTGCCACTACTTGCGCACTGTCAAGGTGTTCAAAGTACCAATAGCTTGCGCTTCTGGTCTTTCGAACTATCATTTGGTTTTCAAAACAATTCTGTGAGCTAGGATGAATGATTATTTTATTTTGTTTTGAAGTGAAGACTCAATCAGAAATAATACAAAAATTTTTATTGTCCTGGATTTTATACATCTTGTTTGTAGAAGAGCTAGGCATAATTCCAGTCTAATTCCAAAGACAGGTGTTTGGGGTTGTTGGTTGATGGGTCCTTGATAATTAGTTGTATGTGCTGACTTGGCTAGTCTATAGTGCCCTGTTATTTAATCAATATTGATCTAGGTGTTGGCTGTGAAAGGTATTTTGTAGATGTGGTTAACATCTACAATCAATAGACTTAAAGTAAAGGAGATTACCCCCGATGATGTTGGTGGGCCTTGTGCAGTCAGTTGTGAGCAGAAACTGTGGCTTCCTGGAAAAGAACATATTGTGCCTGAAGACTGCAGCATTAATTACTGCCTGAATTTACTTTCTGCTCTATAGATTTCAAGCTTGTCAACCACTATAATTTCATGAGCCAAATTCTTAAAGTGAATATTGTCCTACTGCTGATTCTGTTTCTGTAGAGGACCATGACTGACACAGTCCCTATCTTGATGTATCTTACTTTTTTTTTTTGAGACAGAGTCTCGCTCTGGAGTGCAGTGGTGCAATCCTGGCTCACTGCAATCTCCACTTCCCGAGTTCAAGCGATTCTCTTGCCTCAGCCTCCTGAGCAGCTGGGATTACAGGAGTGTGCCACCACATCTGGCTAATTTTTTGTATTTTTAGTAGAGTCGGGATTTCACTATGTTGGCCAGGCTGGTCTTGAACTCCTGGCCTCAAGTAATGTATCTTATTTCTTATTTCCAAACGGTTTAAACTCACAATCAGAGTCTAGGTCTTATTCACACAAGTACTCCTCCTTCCTCTTGGCTCAGTGAGATGCCATAATATAAAATTTTAGCTTAAGGAGTGCACACACACCTGACAAATAATGAAGGAAGAACTTATGCCCATGACATAAAGAGCTATGATGCTTTTAGAAAGCAACATAGGACATGTACAGGAGGGAGCAATTAGGCAGGACTCATCATTTGAGGCTTTCCAGAGGGAAGTATTTAAATTAGATTTAAGGGGCCTATATGGAAAATGGTTTGGAAGTGTGAAGAGCATGCAGAGAGGGGTAAATCAGGGGAAGGCCTTGCTCTGTGGATGAGGAAAGCCAGACTGCCTAAACTTGTGATGAGAGGGAAGGAATAAAGGAAAACCAGGTCAGTGAGAACAGAGACCCATTGTGTTGACAAAAAGCATGCAAAGAACCCTTATTTTCCCCTGGGATATACAAGTAACAAACCAGCACACATGCACGTATGCATGCACACACCACACACACACACAAACACACATACACACACACACACGGCACAGAACTGGAACATTCAGAGAGCTGAAGGATTCATTGTTTGTCCGGGCAGGTACCCCGTGCAGCTGCATGAAGCAATAAAGGAGCTGCTGCTACTCAATGCCTAAAAGACTTCCGAGCTTACAAATATGTGAAAAGCTTCTTCCAGTGTTTATTCACTACACTAAAGGTGTGTGTTTACTTCACAGAACTGAGCCCTTGTTCCTTTGAGGCCCTATTAGCAATGCAGGGATGAAAAGGAAGTCATAGTGTTATGTTCTTAGTAGGATGACTGGCTCTTTTGGTGAGACTGTCCTTCCAAAGGCAGCAAATGGAGAACTCCGGAGGTTTAGCCTTGCATTTGCTTTCCAGAGAGATAGTCACATAGCCCAAGAGAATGAAAAAGCTCTTTCATGAGCCCAGTTTTCTTTTTGTGCAGATGGCAGTCCAGATTGGCATCACAGATTCTGAAACAAATTTTTGTTCCACGGATGTTATTTCAAGTTCCCCAAAGCTGTAGCAGCTGGGCAGCTGCAAAGTCATTCAGTTTCTCTGGCCCCATAAGCAGGCTCCTCCTTATCAGAATATACCCCAGTTTCAAGAAAGCCTATTTTCCCATGAATAGGACAGCAATCTTTCTCTTCTTTTAGTTACAATTTATTGCACTACCTCTCTTTCCTTGTTCATTCTTTTTTCAGTAAATATTTTTGAACACCTGCCTTGTGCCAGGAACTAAGCATACAGTCTAGTGTATAAACAGTCAAGAAAATAGGCAGTTACAATATATTAAAAACAACTAATATTTATTTAGTGCTTTATGTGTGCCAGCCACTGTTCTAAGTGTTTTAATTTTGCTCTTAAAACAATTCTATGCAGAAGGTTCTATTATTATCCCCATTAAACATGTAAGAAAATCAAGACCCAGGGATGTTGAATTACTTCTCTACAATCATACAGAGAAAGAAAGGTATTGAACTAGAACTAAGTGCAGGCAGTCTTGCTGCAGAGCCTGTCTTCTTAACCAGGAGGTACATGGAAGGGGCAGGAGCTGAGTATTATTACAGAGAAAATACAGGTACTGGGAGCATGTATGAGATGTCACTAACCCAGACTTGGGGCTCAAAGAGAAGTTGTGTATTTAAAATGCATATAAGGCCGGGCGTGGTGGCTCATGCCTGTAATCCCAGCACTTTGGGAGGCCGAGGCACGCAGATCACGAGGTTAGGAGTTGAAGACCAGCCTGGCTAACATAGTGAAACCCCATCTCTACTAAAAATACAAAAATTAGCCTGGCGTGGTGGCGCACACCTGTAGTCCCAACTACTTGGGAGGCTGAGGCAGGAGAATCGGTTGAACCCACAAGGTGGAGGTTGTGGTGAGCTGAGATCGTGCCACTGCACTCCAGCCTGGACAACAGAGCAAGACTCTGTCTCAAAAACAAAAAATAAATAAATAAATAATAAAATAAAATAAAATAAATAGAATGCATATCAGATCACGTCAATCTGTTTCTCAAAATCTTTTAATGGCTCCCAACTGAATTTGCAGTAAAATCTACATGTCTACCATGACTTACAAATGTTCTGCTTAACCTGGCATCTCTCAGTCTCTGTGGCTGCGTCCCTTACTGTTGTTCAAAGTGCCCAGTTCTCTGGCTGTGGCATCTCTGAGGTGTTGGTTACTCTCTCAGGACCACCGCCCCTCGATCTACCCCAGCTACTCAGTGTTCAGGACTCCAGTTTAAAGTCATTTATTTATAGAGTTCTTTCCTATCTTCTAATCTACTTTAGGCCCCAGAATGATAACAATAATAACACTAGACTAATGATAATGATGATAATGATAAATAGTGATAAAACTAATGATCATAATAGTTAAACACTAAATACTACTGGGTGCCAGGCGTGTTCTAAATGCTTTACGTAAAATAACGCATTTAGATATTGCCGCAACCCTAATGGTAAGTACTAGTATTATTCCCATTTTTACAGGTGAAAAAGTGAGCCAATATCATAGCATTCTGTACTTTCCTTCATTACAATTATCAAGTGTATAGTCATGAATTTATTTATGCATTATTTCCTGGGCCGTAAGATCTATGAGATCAGGGTCTGAATACATTCTCTTCATCACAGCATCCTCAGTGGCTAACACAGTGCCTTGTATACAGTATGAATTTAACACGTTTATTAAATACATTAATGAATGAATAATGGACGTGTGAGATGTATTTCTCTCAAGACTTACACCTTTGCTTACTACTTACAATAAAATGGATAGATGAGAAAGAAATTAAAGAAAGTCCTCTAGTATGTAATAATTATTAAGGTTGTTGGTAGTCCAGTCACTTCGCTTTCTTGCTATGACATTTTCCCCATCCCCTTCTTGATAAGCTATAACATCTGAGGTTTACAGTGGGATGGAGGCAGAGACAGTGTGGTTTAGACTGCAGAGGAAAGAGCATGGGTTTTCAAGAAATACAGATCTAGCTTTCAGTTCTGATTCTATCACTAACTTTGTGGTCTTGAGTGAGCCCCACATACTTCCTGAATCTTCTTTTTCCAAATATGTGAAATAGGGGCAATAATATACGCAAAGAAGTTTAGTTTGGAGAATTAGGTGACGTGATATATTCAAAGGGGCTAGCACTGTGCCTGGCACATACCAGAAATGGAATAAGCACTAGCCCCTTACCTTTCCTGAAATCAGAGGCACACATGTGGGCTTTGGACATTATCTAGTTTATTAGACCAGCAGTGCTAGCCAGACTAGACCCTAGAAATTTGAAGCCCCAAATACAACTGAGGGGGCAGAGAGAAAATAGCATTATCTGACCTGGCTGCCTGTAAGATTCAAATAAGCTGGATAATCGCCATGGTCCCAGCTTACTCTGTGGACACAGCCAGACAGGGGGTAGGAAAAATACAGAAAACTCCAAGGGGTCGCTTTTGGTGCTTGTCAACAGCTCTGACTGGGAGGAAGTCAAGACAATAAACCAAGAAAAAGATCCAGTGAGTTCTGTTGCCTGTTCTCTATTTTGAGGGGACAGTCCCTGCTTTGTTTCCCTCCTCTTGGGTGAAAGGCTGTTCCCTGAAATGCTCCTGGCTTCCGAGAACAGTTCTGGAGGCAACTTCATAATGTGCTGGCTCGGGGTTGATCAGAAGCAAGCAAGCAGAATTCACCCTGCCCCCAGGATCATACCCACTTGGGGAAGCAGGAGGCAGAAAAAGGAACTTCGGTGGTCCTCTTCCTTCCTTGTCTCTTAGCAAACTTCCATATTCATTCTTCTCTAGGCTAACTCCAACCTCCTTTTTTATCTCCCTCCCTTCCAATAAAGAGAGGAGAATGGGTTAAGATGGGTATGAGGTTGCTTTTTCCTTCTCAGCAGTAATTGGAGAGGGTGTAAAGTTTTTCCCAAAAGGGCCAATCCTCTTCCCTTCCTGCAGACTCTGCTAGTGGGTTTTGTCCTCTCTGCAAAGGGAGGCTTTGCACCAGCTCCTAGCGCTACTCCCTGCTAAGCTTCCTGGGTTGTAACACCTATGCCTGAATAGGTGTGTACCAACCCTGAAACATGTATTTCAATACAACTTTGATGTGCTGTACAAGCTGTAATGATGCTATCATATAAAGTGGCATCCTGTCAGGCTTATGCAAGACAGGGCTTTCAGTTAACTAAGATTTGGTTTACCAGAAGTCCTAAGTAATTTGACAATCTTTTTTTGCACTCTGCTTTTAAGAGAAAAAGCTGTATTTAGGGGTGTCCCTTTATATTTGGTGTCAGCTCCATTCTCCCTCCTGACTTTTCAGCTTTCCCATGTATGAGCTGGAGAACTCTACCTTCAGCTCTAAAACTATTTCTATATAACAAGATTTCTATAGTCTCAGGAGGAAAAAAAAAGTCTTAAACTTCAAAAATTACTCCCTTCAGATGGTATTATTATGGAAGCAAAGTAGACCAGAACCTTCTAGAAAGAGCTCAACAGGGCTTTCTGTTGTGGTTCTCTACTGATACCAGAAGGCTGGGATCTTAGCTACCACACATTGGTGGTTTGCTATGTGCTGAGTACTATCTGAGTCATGTTATATAACACTAATAACACCAATACTAACACTGGGACTTTCTACATGCTTTATACATGTTAACATATTTAATCCTTACAACCAAAACACACAATTTCCATCCTAATTTTGGAGACGAGGCAATTAGGACACAGAGAGGTTAAGCAATTTGTCCCAAGGTCACAAAGTGGTGTGGCTGGAATTTGAAAGAGGCAGTCTGACTCCAGAGTCTTCACTCTTAATCACTATATAAAGCTTTTCTCATTTAGCCCTTACAACAATCTTAACATATAGAATATTAAAATGCCCATTTTCAGCTGGGCGCAGTGGCTCATGCCTGTAATCCCAGCACTTTGGGAGGCCGAGGAGGGTGGATCACCTGAGATCAGGAGTTCGAGACCAGCCTGACCAACATGGTGAAACTCCTTCTCTACTAAAAATATATAAAAAAAAAAAAAAATTAGCTGGGTGTTGTGACGCATACCTGTAATCCCAGCTACTTGGGAGGCTGAGGCAGGAGACTCACTTGAACCTGGCAGGCAGAGGTTGCAGTGAGCTGAGATTGTACCATTGCTCTCTAGCCTGGGCAACAAGAGTGAAACTCTATCTCAAAAAAAAAAAAAATGCCCATTTTTCAGACAAGAAAAGTGAGTCTCAGAGAAGTAACTTCTCTGAAGGATTAACTGGGTTCTCAAACCAATTCCATTCAATATGCTACTTGAGTGCCTACTTTGTGGCAAGCACAATGCCAGGCACTAAGAGAACAATATAGTATGATAAAAATTCATTTAGTTGTTTTTCTTCCATTTCTTTTAACACTGCCACTTCTTCCTGAAGTGATGGATAACAAAGAGTTCACTTCAAGTGCCTTGAAAGTCACACGTTGTCAAGATTAGCAAGGGATGTCAGCACTATGCACATGTCCTGAGAGCTAGCAGATATTTCAGTAAGCCTTAACAAAGCTGAACATGAGCCTCACTTCCTTTCTAATCTTATCTGGTTCAGGCATGGGCATTATTTCATCCCTATTTGTTCAGTCCATAAACATTTATTGAGCATTTGCTATGTCCCGGGCTTTATGTTATAAATTGAGGATATAGAAAAAGAGGATTAGTATTTGAACTTGGGATGCTTTTAGTTTAGAATGGGAAAAAATGAAATAATTACAATACAGTATGACAAGTGTAATAACAGAGATTTTGAGATAATAATTAACAGTAATTTTGGGTGAGTTGCAGAAGGTATATCAAGAAGATGAAGGGTTAAAATGCACTTTCCAGAAGGAAATGGGTAAAGGAAGTAGTATTTCCTATGCACATAGTATATATCAGGGCCCAGGCCCTGAATTGAGACTATATATTTATTTTAATCCTGAATCCAAGAATCAGATGATATATAGAATTTGTTCACAGTGACAATGTGAAAAATAATCCCTGAGCTGAATATGTAAATGATATTTTGGAGAAAAGGCAACCAGGTAGAAGAAACAGCATATATGAAAGCAGGAAAGCAAGAAGATCCTGGTGTATTTCAGGGATGTATATTCAGTGCACTTCAGCCATCAGTTGTGCAGGGGGGTGGCAGCGTAAAGTGGGAGATGAGGACAAAGAAAGAGAGCAAAATTCTAAAGGCTTTTGCATGCCTGGTGAGACATTTAGGTCTTATCTTGAAGGCAAAGTATAGCTAAAGAAGAAAATAATGTAACCATAACTGGGGTTTATAAGAATAGTTCTACTTTGGGAGGCTGAGGTGGGCGGATCACAAGGTCAAGAGATTGAGACCATCTTGGCCAACATGGTGAAACCCTGTCTCTACTAAAAATACAAAAAATTAGCTGGGCACGGTGGTGGGGTCCTGTAGTCCCAGTTACATGGGAGGCTGAGGCAGGAAAATCGCTTGAACCCGGGAGGCTGAGGTTGCAGTGAGCCAAGATTGTGCGCCATTGCACTCCAGCCTGATGACAGAGTGAGACTCCGTCCCTCCAAAAAAAAAAAAAAAAAAAAAAAAAGAATTCTAGTACCAGAATGGAAGCTGGTTTAGAGTGGGGAAAGAATGAGGACAATAATAACAAGTTGGAGGACCACCACAATGCTTTAGGTACAGGATGATGGAACAATAAACAAAGGCAGAGGAAGTGGGGGAGAAAAGGAAAAAGATTAGAGAAAAAGACTAAAGGAGTTGGCTGTGGTAGGTGAAGAGGGAGATAAAAGGGTGGATGATGAAGATGCTACTCAAAGTCAGAAAGACAGAAAAAGGGACAGTTGTGTAGGTGAATGAATTTGGGTCTCCAGATGAACCAAAAGGGGTTACCAGAGGTAGTCAGATGTCTGGCATTTATATACAAACTTACTGATAAGTAATGGGGGTTGGGGGTCTCCAGGGAGTGAAGGTACAGGACTGAAGAGAGAAATGGGTTCTAAAACCAATGGGATAGTTTCTGACAACCAGATTTGAAGAAATCTGTCTGCTCAAGATGTCTCCCTAACTTCGATCCTGGAGGTGGAAGAGTCCAGATGTGTGAGGCGAATCTCTGGCTCTGACTCCTGGGGCTGTGCAGGTAAATAGAGCTGTCAAGAATGCCCAGAAAGAGGCACATGTTTCCTAAAGGGCTCTGCCTGCCATGCCTGGGAGCTGCATGACCAGGCTCGAGGCAGGCAGCAGCTAGGGTTTGGGAGGACACAGGCACGTGGACAGCCTCCTGTGGGAGCGCTGCAGATGAGGCAGCTGAGAGAAGTGAAGCTTTCTTCCCAGCTTCCTCCTCCACCCTTTGCTGCAGATCCCTGATGCTACAGCACAGTGCTAGCTGCAAAAAGGTTGATTCATAGATGAGGGGATGCAGCGACATGCCACGCAGGGATGGCAGAAAGTACAAAAGTGTGTGTGTGTTTGGAGGAGACTGTTTATTCAGGGAACTATATATCAAACACGACCTTACTGGCAGACAATAGTGATTTGCCTAAATAATTTATGCAACCAAGTCAACATCAAGATAGGCTGTGTAGAGCAAAATGTGAGACTCATTTTTAAAAGTGGGGTACCTCCCTTCATGGTCTCAATTACAGGAGATGCTTTTGCACACAAAACATTCAGGCAACAGTATCTGGGTATCTGCTTGAGCCTACTGTAACCAAAGAGAAAGAAAGGCCGGAACTAAAATGCAAAAGAAAGAAAGAAACTGTGTTTGGAGATAGGTCTGCTACAGTATAAACTTTTCCCTTTCTCTGGCTTACTGCTATAGCAAAACCTGATGGTTGTCTTTGTAAAAAACGTGTCTGTATCTAGGTCCCTGGCAGCGATTTGCCTCTGGGAGGGCCAGCAATCTATTTAATGACTCCATTGACGTCAATAGCATAACTGAAATACTTACTAACATGCATGATTCCAACTTTCAAGGGGAGGGTGGGTGGATGTTGTTTCTCAGCAGTACAAAAATGTGAAGTGGAGTCAACACGGAACGGACTCAACTGTTCAGGCAGCTAGTGAGAACTTAGATGAGGCCTCCTCGGTTTCATTCAAAGAGAAGAAATATTTATGCTAAATTTGCAAATTAATTTTGAACTAGTGAAATAACCATAATAAGCAGGGTGTTATATTTGACAATATCTGCTTAAGGGAAACATTTTAACGTTTGCACTTTAGCTGAGGTATTAATGTTTTTGCGAGTACCAATACTTAATTTTAGATATGTATGAAATAACTGCAAATCAATATAAACAGCTCAGTGTTGATGCTCTGGGGTAAACTTTCATAAGAGGGCTATTTTAGACAAAAGCAATTATTACAAAACAACCATTTGGAAAATTATTCTCAAAATAACTGGGGCTTTTCTGGTGCATTTTTGCTATCATTTTATATGCAGGCTGTCTAAACGCTGAAGGCGAGTAATTAAGGCAATTATTCCATTAATTCAGCACACAGAATTCAGAATAAGGAAGAAAACATAGTTTGATATTTCTGACTTTTTCTTTTTCCATTCTTTTTTATCTCTTTTCTTTCCTTTTTCTTTTTTCTTATAATTCCCTCTAATCTTTCCTTTATCATGACTGGTCAGAGCCTTTGGTCACAAGATTGATTTTATTCCTATTTGTCCGTAAGTGTTGTAATCCTGCCTGACAGTTCTTGCTTAATGTAGAAACCAAGCAAAGGTTCTGCTTGTGCTGGGCCTCATTTCCAGTCATCTGATGCAGCACTGCTCTCAGGCTATTGCTGTGGTTCTCAGAGAGCCCTTTACCCATGCACATATAGACCCTGTCTCATCACAGGTCCTGAAAGTTCTGGCAAAGAATGAGAACGGAATCAATGTCATGACTTTCTGAATTCCTTAAAATCGAAGATAACTCACTGACCCTCTTGTCCACTACTTGAAGAGACCCTGCATCTGGTACACCCACATGAACCTCCGGAGGGATAGTCATAATCAAGTAAAGCTATGGGCAGAACCTGTATGGAGAAATAGGTTTCCAAGGAGAAAGCCTCTTCTTCTGTTTTATCAGTTGGTAAAAAGCCAATTCCTCCCCAGAATGGCCTAGACACATATTAAAAGAAATGTCTCATACGATTTCTCTGAACACAGTCTTTTCTTGAAATGCATTCTAATTGACTGGTGTTGAAAATCACCATAAATCAAGGCTATGGATATCCAGGCTTTGATATCATTAGTATCTGCAGCAATCTGGCTTGAAGTCCTCAAAGTGATTCCCTAGTCATCTTGGTGCTATGGTTTGCTGTCATTTCCAGTGACCCATAGACTTCTGTGGTGTTTTTCATAACATCTGATCTGTTACCAGTGGTAATGTTCCTGCTCAGTAAATTTACTGATAAATTTTAGAAAAAGAAATTTAGTAGAGAGCACCCCACCTTATGTATCAAATTGGCTGCTAAAATATTGTATACATGATACATATTATTTTACATCAAGTCACATTTACATGACTCGGATGTGCTAGCCATTAAAAGGATGCTTCTCCAATCCTTCTATAAAGCAAAAAAATCATTTTGTAAAGACAGCGAACACTTGATAATTTATCTTTTCAGTAAATTCTTACTGTCATGACATATGTGTGATTACTATTGAAGAGCAAAGGATAGGATGGAATGGAAAAAAGGCGACAATTATCACACACACATGTGTATGCATGCACCCCATTTTCCTGTTGCAAATAGTTTTGGGACCTGAAATCCTGAGAATTACTTCAATTTTCTGTTGTGAATATGTACAGGTGACAGAATTCGAGTTCCTGCCTTATTTTGGAGTTTTCTTTCTTTTTCTATTTTTTCCTTTCTGTTTCAATCCTTGAGCACCATGTAGGGAGAGCCTGGAATTTATGCTTGTGAAAGGCAAAATGTGAAACAAATTCAGATGCTCATTAAACTACAACATTGGCATTTTCGACACCCCTAGGAGGATTTACTGCGTCTTTCTCCTCAACCTGGGAGCATATGGCTTCCTCGTTGTTCTTTCTGGGCTTGAAATTCTCCATTGCTCTACTCTGGCTTTCTTATTCAAAGTGCTAAATGCCAACTTCTTAGATTTCACTCTTTTTGTTCAAAACCTATACGAACACACTAACATATATAAGCAGTTATAGAGTGTGCTTCAAACCTCTATTAACTTCAGTGCAATAACTAATTGTTAACAGTGAAAAAACACAATTTGAATAATTTTCATAGCAATAGAGATAAAAATATTGGCTCATTATTAAAAGTTTATTTTATATGTATTTTACTTCACATAAAGTCCCCAAATTTTATGTAGTTTTCCCGGTCAATTCAACACTTACTGTGTTCTTACTATGTGAAAATAACTATGCGAAAGCACCATGAGTAATAAAAAGATAGATAAGGCACAGTCCCTGTCTTCAAGAGCTTTATCTCCAATGGGAGAGACACACAAGAAGCCTTGAATTAAAGTATATCAGAGAATTAAATTGTTGCCATAGCACAAAAAAGGAGCAATTATGCCAACTTAAAAAAAAATAAGATGTCTTTGCAAAGTAAGGACATTTGCATTGAGCCATGAGAGCTGATAAGAACCTTGGCTGGATAGTGAGAAGAAGGGTATTTCTGGTATTTCTTTCTTTATTTTCTTTTTCTTTCTTTTTTTTTTTTTTTTTTTTTTTTGAGATGGAGTCTTGCTCTGTCACCTGGGCTTGAGTTCAGTGGTGCGATCTCGGCTCACTGCAACCTCCGCCTCCCAGGTTCAAGAGATTCTCCTGCCTCAGCCTCCCGAGTAGCTGGGACAACAGGCACGTGCCACCACACCCAGCTAATTTTTGTAGTTTTAGTAGAGATGGGGTTTCACCATATTGGTCAGGCTGGTCTTGAACTCCTGACCTCGTGATCCGTCCGCTTTGGCCTCCCAAAGTGTTGGGATTACAGGCATGAGCCACCATGCCTGGCCGAAGAGGGGTATTTCAAATGGAGAGCTTTCCTTTGATGTATCCATTTAATATTTCAGTTAATAATCAATTTGTAAAAGTAAATGTACCAATTTACCATGGTTTCTGACAATTAGCTTTTAAAATAAATTGCATTTTTTCTCATTTATATGTTCAAAATAATAAAGCATTTTAAGATTTGGTATTTCTCTCTCTCTCTCTGAATTGCTCCAATACAAGAATACAGTTATCTAAGTCAGGCTTTCTGAGCAAACTAGGTTGTTGCTAAATCTGTTTAAATTGATGTAGATTTCTTGTACCTTTTATCTTAGATTTCAATTGAAATACATGAATTCAACTTCAGTACTGAGAAATAAAAACCTGATCTTACTATCATGAAAAATCATATTTTGAAGCAGCACTCCAGTTCTCAATTCTGTTTGCTCTGAGCCAGTTATTTTTCATTCCCCTTTAAAGTTTCTATTTAAACACACCTCTTTGTCATATGCTGATAAATATTAAAATAACAGGAAAAATCTGCCTGACTTATTTAAGCTGATAATAAGAACAAAACAAGGGATGTGTGTCTCCTCCTTCCTTTTCTAACCGTGGCTAAACGTTAAGGAGATTTTGAAACCCGTAATTACGTAGTAATTGGTATCACTACATTCTCTTCCCAGTGAAAAGCCAAGATTTTTGTAGTTTGCCACAGAGACAGAAGGAAACAAATTGCCTGAGTGGTACTGTCATTTCTTTGCTCCATTGTTTGAGAAGACTTTATCAAAAGAATCCCTAGTTGTCAAGCTGTAGTTGCTGTGCCAATAATCACAAAAGGATCTTTCCAACCACATCTTTGGTTAATGAGCTAATTTATAGAACCATAAATTGTACATATTCTCCTAATGTTTGTCAGTATTTATTACAAGAAAAAGAAAACATAGTCTAAATAATCAAATTGATGTAAATTTGGCTAACAGAAATGTGAGCAACATTGCCTCACTGGTAGGCCAATATGATGAAATGATTGGAGTTTCAAAACTACCTCCTTCGATCTCCAAGTATGTAACACGAGTTATATGTTAAAACATCCTATTTTGTTTCTTTTTATAAAAGTTCTAAAAGAAATAGTACATGCAGCACACCAGGTTTTTGAAGTCCATAGAGTACTGTTTACTTCTTTATATTTCATATTACGAGGCTCTAGAGTAAACTCACCTTTACTTAGTATCTTTCTTTCACTTTTTTTTCTCGTTCTCAATCTTTCTTTTATAAAAATATTTTAAAAAGCATGCACCACAAATACTTCAGAAGCCAATGAGCCAATAGAATCTGCTGCTTTTGTTCCCTTCTTTTAGAAGCTAAGCTTTTGTAATACTTCCGTTATACTTATGATCAGGATACCAGAAAGAAAACACAACAACCAAGAGAGAAAGATTTTAAGTATGAAGCGCTGCTGGAAATAGAAAAGCATGTGAGGCATCGTTAGGTGTCAGGCATTAGGTGATCTCAGTGTGAGTTCATCTTAATTGTTTCTCCTGTGGTTTTTCTCAAATCTACTGCTACATTAGTAGGGAACAGATTTAGGAGAAAACATTATTTGGACTTTAACAAATATCATAGAACTGGTTGCATTTTGTGTGAAGAAGAATTTCAGTTCCAACAGAACTCCATGGTGTTCCTTCAAGGTGGCCCTTCCTCTCTGCAGCTCTCAACACACCAAGAAAAGTGGATGCACTGTCCTGAAAGATGAGAGGTTAGGTTCTTAAAAAACAAAAAACAAAACAAAACAAAACACCGTTGAGGAACAAAGTTGGATGCCCTCCAAAAGAAATGATTCGTGACCTGGAAAGAGCCTTTGGTTTCACACCTGGAAAGGATGTAGATTCAAGTGGAATCTATAGTTGACATTAAGAGGGAAACCACTAACATATCCGCAGGGGCCCTCAGGCGAACGTGGAGCACCTTAGGTCTTCGATGTTAGCTCTCCTGGAGTTTATTGGGGCCAGCAAGCTGAGGTCAAGCTGCACTGTCAATACAACTCTGTCTCCTGCTCCTCTTTGGGGAAGAGGCAGCATTACCCCATGTTTATCATATTCTGAAAGCCTGCACATACAATGGGCAAATTATTTAGTACTGCTTTTAATGTGGTTTTAATAGAGTGAAGTAATGCTCCAGTGTACCTTAGAAAAAAGTCACCAAGAGACATACTTTTGAGAGCCACAATATGCAAACAACACTATTGTTCTAAAAAACAGTTCTGAATAAGAGGCATGTTTATTATTCTATCTTGAAACATCTAGATAGACCTTATGACATGGCCTACCTTGTGGGTTGACTCTGGAGACAGGAGGCTGACTAGCAGCTGGGGACCTCCTGTGGAGACAGAGAAAAGAAGGACTGAGTCTGTGTATCAAAACTGCCCATTCCACCCCCGACACCCCACCCTCATGGTTACTGAGGACTTTTCCAGGTCATAATGAACTATGTAGTGACATAATGCCATCTCCGGAAGGCAAGCTCCTGTAACCCGGGTAGATGACTGCAATTCTCTCACATCCAGATGGCCTGGAATTTCCCTCTGCAAGTCCTCAGGATGCTCAGACTCTCCAGGAAGGAAGTTGTTTACTCCAGGTCCCAAACCAGCCCCCTGTTTTAAGTTTTGCTGTTCCAAGAAGCCCTGAGAAAAAGAGTCACTTGCTCAGGCATCACTCGAAATGCCAGAGTGAATCTCAATTCCTTTGGGCAGTGCTGTAAAAAGTTATAGCCAGAGGAACCCTTGGCGATCAATCACTTCAGGCCCCTAATTTTTGTACCTCAGGAGACAGAGACCTAGAGAGGTGAAGTCACTTGCCAAGGTCACACAACCACTGGGAACAGTCATCCAGCTTGCTTTACTTAGGGAACAGAATTTTCATGGAGGAACTGGGACGTCATTCTACATCATAACAAGCCTGCTGATGTCAGGGGTTAAATGAAACAAGCAAACCCATGTTCCCATAGTACTGGGGCTCCTCCTTTTTTCTTGTTTCTTTTCCTTTCTCTGCCCCTAACCTTTCAATTTCACTGCTCTTACCCTTCTTCTCATGTTTTGCAGAACTTCTACCAGACTCTCCTGTTTCCTGATGCACTGCTGGAAAACTTCTCAGGAATACTATTGAGCGGGGCTCTCAAATTTTAGGGTGCATCAGAATCACCTGGAAGTCTTATTCAGACACACTGCTGGGCCCTACCCCCAGAGTTGCTGATTCAGTAGGCCTGGGATGGGCTTAAAAGTTTGCCCTTATAAAAAGTTCCCAAGTGGTGCTGATGCTGCTGGTCTGAGGACCACATTTTCAGAAACACTGGCATTAAGGATTCTCTGCTCCACTAAGGAGTAACAGGACATTTGCAATGAGCAAGAGAGTGAGACTCTAGTCCAGTGGTTCTCAAACATGGATACGCAGCCGACTCATCTGGGGAGCTATTAAATTTCTTTTTCCAACCCTGAAGAGTCTATTTCAGTATATCCGAGATGAGGCCTGGGAATCTGTAGTTTTCACTTCTTTTTGCATTCTCTTGCACAGGCAAGCGTGAGAACGAAGCCAAATTCTAAATGACAAAGAACAGCCTGCATCGTTGTTGCTAAAGAAGAGTCTTCCTACTGGTGTGGCCACAGAATTAATTCCCTAGGTTTTTCTACTGCTCTGAATTAATCTCTGGTCCTTTAGGGACAATCTAGCTTGTAGGTACCCATACCTAGTAGCCGTAGTCTATAGACAGGGTCCACATCTACCATTAATTTACTAGCTGGGTGATCTTAGGCAGGGTACTTTTAAACTCTCAGTGGTATGAAATTTTCACATGTGACAAGAGAAGGGAAATTATCATATAGTGATTGCTTTTCTCTGCTAGGCTGTGCTAGGTATTTCTTAGCTTCCACTGGGAGTATTATCACCCCATTTTAAGGATAAGAAAACTGAAGCTCAGAGAGTTTAAGAAACATACTGACACATGATTTATAATTGGCACAGCCAGAATTCAAAGCTAAGTCTTTCTGAACCCAAAGTGCATGCTCTTTCCACTATACTATATGCTGATAACACCTGCACTAATACTGAGGGCTGTTTTTCAGGAAAATTAAGAGATTAAATTCCAAAATCCTTAGCCTGGCATTCAAAGTCTTTGCTCTCTAGCCCCAACATCCTTTTCCCAGCTTATCTCTCATAATTCCTCATTGCCTGACATTTCATCTCAGACCACTGACTGGCTCTGTGCTCTCATGCATCCTGTACTTCTCTTTTGTAGCACTTTAAAATTATAGCTTAAATAGGCTCTGTCTAGTTAGTGTTCAATACATAGTTCCTTTGATTAAATGTAAACATTATGTGAGCAGGGAACAACTTGTTTACCGCTTGATCCCTGGCACCCAGGATGGTCCTTCATATGACAAGCATTCAGTAAATACTTATTGAATAGAAGAGTGAATGAATGAGGGACAGAGCTGACTCACACTTGCCAAGGCCAAACTTGAACACTTCTTTTTCCTTGAATATGTGCTGCCCCTTTCCTGCCATTATTCAGGCCATTCATTCCCCTGTCAAGGAAGCTGTCTCCACACCAAACAATCTACCCATCAAAGGTTAAGTTAAGGTTAACTTAAGGTTAAGTTACCCATCAAACCTTCTCCAAAGGATGCCATCCTCTTAGCCAAGAATGGTCTCTTTAATCTCTCATGGTGCTTTATTTGTACCTTTAGGGTCATTTCTTCATGTTACAGTCCATATTGGCACATATTATCTCCACTGGTAATCTGTGACCTGTTGATGGCAGGATCCAGTTCTGATCTCTTTGCTTACATACTCTTCAGGTCCCGCCATATTGCCTGGCAAATAGTAGGAACTCCAAAATGTTAATAGAATGTAGATTGAATAACCCACTGATGTGAAAGTGATTTGAGAACCAAATACTCTATATGAATATTTTATCTGGTTTCCTTTTCACATACAGTCTTGGTTCTATATGCCACTTGCTGTTCCTCGAACACAGCACTCTCTTTTGTTGCTGTGCCTTTGCACACATTTTGCTCAGTTGGATACTTTTCTTCTCTTTATGTGGCTAGCTCTTTCATATGTCCTAGGACTCTGCTCAGGCATCACCTCCTCAGAGGAGCCTTCCCTCTGTGAGTGGCCCTCACCTGTGTTCTGTAGTTTCCTGTGCTTACTGAACCACTGCATTGCTCATTCTATATTGTATTTCCCATTTTCCTGTCTTTCTCTTCAACTCATCTATGAGAAATTTAAGCAATGATTGAACATTGTGCACCACTGTAACACAGGGATCTGGCATAATATTTGCTATGATGGAGGTACTCAACACATACGCACTGGATTAATAATGCATTTTAATAATTTTATCTTACACCTTTTCCTGAGTTCCAAAGAAGACTTTTGTGAAAGAAGAAACTGAACTAGGAGACCCCAAATGTCAGAAATCTCTACTTTCTTTATAGCGTGTCAAATCACAGTGCCTAATTCTCTCAATGACTTCTTGGAAATTACTCATACTATACAAATTCTTTTGTCTCAGAAGTTAATTTTGAAAATATGGCTTTATTTAGAGTTGTCAATTCAGATAAGCATCTCTGTGTGGAAGCTTTGGAAAGGCAGGGACCATGTTTATTTGGTTTGTCAATTATTCATGAGACCTGGTGCAAAGAAGAGGCTCAATACATTTTCAATGAATAAATGACTTCTGCAAGCCACATGATTGCTTGTAGGGCATGAGAATGCCAGACAGAAAATTGTAAGGAATGCCAGAGGAAAGTGGTATTGGTTGCTCAGTTTCCAAAGTCCGTAACTTATGGAAGAATCATAAGAAGTTACGTGGCTGATTGCTGAAGATGGTGATATAAATAGGGAAGATAATATGGCCATAGCAGTTCATACTTTCCAGCCCTGAATAGCACAGTGGAGACAGAACTGGACTGTGACTAAGAAGACAGGAATCCTAATCCTGGCTCTGGCACCTTCCCACTGTATAGCCCTTGGGCAATTCACGGAACCTCCTAGTTTCTTCCTCACTTGAGAAGAGCAGGCAGCAACTAACATTTACTGGTGATTTACAACGTACTGAGTCCTGTGTGAGGAGTTTTACCTATGTTGCTTCACTTCATCTGAGGAAATTTGGCTAGGTTCATTCCAGCTCTGAACGCTAAACATTTTATGATCCTCAGTTAATTTAATTCACATGCCAAAGTACATACAGCAATAAAAGACATTTTGGATAGATATGCACTAAAAAAATTAAGTGGTTATTAGTTCTTTCCTGAAGATTACATACATGTTCATTAAATTATGCTTTGGAAGAATGTTAATACAAAGAAGTTACATTATTTCCTGATAGCCACAGGTGACATTCATGATGTTGATGACAGAGTCGATTGATAAATGACACCTATTTGCTCCCAGCTCCATCCCCTGGCTATCAGACTGCTGAATGGTGGGCACACTCACTTGCGCACCTGATTACTCCAGCAGTCTGTTTAAAGTCAGCAAGTGCTTTAAGAACGCTTATCTGAATTAACAACTCTAAATGAAAGCCATATTTTCAAAATTAACTCCTGGGACAAAGGAAGTGTAGGTTTTAATTTGCAGCCAAGAAATACAGGTCCAATCAAGCATCCCTCAATGGGATATTTCATGAAGGTGCAAGGAAACCACCTCAACAGGAACTTTGAGATTTCCACCCTTTGAGTGGTAAAGCACAAGCAGACAATGGACTGCTTTTATGCACAGCAAAGAGCCAAAAGATAAAAGAAATCTTGACTTATGAGAAGTATAGTTCTATGTGGGAGTTCCTTTTCCTACAATAAACCACACTAACCAGATGTCTCATGAAAACCACTCCTAGGACACAATTATTGCTTAAATGCTACATTCAAGGCAGGGAGTGGCACCCTGGATCTGAAGTCAAGTATATCAGAAAGGAATATCTGAGTTCCATGAATTCTACAGTTTCAGCTGTTAAGATAACTCTGTGTATATGTGTGAGTGTTTGTGTGTGTGTCTGTGTGTGTGTTCGGGTGGGGGTATGCTTTCTGTATGTTGTATCCATTCCTGCCAAACATTATTGTCTTCAGTTCCTTCTCTTGGCTTTTCTTTAGTTGTTTGAAGGTATTCACTATCTAGAAATAAAATGGAGTGCATTAAATGGACACTCAGTTTTCCAGCCTGCCCCTGCCAGACTGCTCCAGAGATGGCTAATTGATTTCATTGATTTCAGCTCCCTGATGTCTGAAATCCATTATTCAGGACTGAGTCTGAGCTAGACTGCACCACTCTCAACTCCCTTTGGTGAAGCTCTAGTGGTAAATGTGCCCTCTCTTGAATTTTTGTTGGTGACAAGGTAGTACTTGCAATCAGTAACAGGATCAACTCTGTACACATGGGTATGAATTTGAGAAAGATCATTAGATACAACTATCTTACCACTGGAGGCCTGCTTTTTGTGATAAGCATGGCTTGCTTTGGACCAAGGGTGACACAAGGGGCCGTGATTTGAAGGGTAGTCCTCAGCCAGAGTGTGGGAAGGGCTGTGCTTCAGCTGTGCTATGGCAATTATGGTCTTGGGGTACTTGGTTCCTAAAAGTTCACAAGGACCAAAACCCTCAAGGGTTTGGAAAGGCCTGATTATTGAGAAAGTTGTTTCAGTTGGCACAGCTTATTAATCAGCAGGGTTGGGCTGAATGTTCTGATACTACTAACAGAGGTAAAAAACCTTCAAACCCATGCTAACAAATAAGAATGAGAACACCACCACCCACCCCGCCTTCTCCCTAGTGCTGTGCAATGTAGTGGTTCTCAGTCCAGCCATGCTTAAGAAGCCTTTAAAATGTGTCCATATTAATCCCTTCCTCCCCATTGCCATCTCCATCATTCTGGTTTAGAGCTATACCCTCATGTTTAATTCCTGAAAATATTGTTTTAGCTACTGTCTCTGTCTTCAGGCTTTCTGACCTTCATCTATTCCATAAGTTCTTCCTAAATGTCTTTCTGTTCCAAAGCCTTCCAGGGACTTCTTCCTATAACCCAGAAGACTTAACAGGTTTGGCAAATGAAAAGAGCACTGCAGTGACAGTCAGGATTACAGGTTTCAAGGAAAACTCTGTTGCCCACTGGAAGCTGTACGTTCTTGCCCAAGTCATTTATTCTCCCTAAGTTTTGTTTCCTTATCCATAGAGTGGGGGTAACAATACCTTTATTTGTTCAATACCATGAATATCATTTATGGTGATCTAAGCTGACAACAGATATGAAAACCCCAAAGTGTTACACCACTTCTGGATTCAGCAAGAGAAATGTAACGATCCATTATAATAGCTCACATTTATTGAGCACCTACTTTGTGCAAGATGCTGTTTTAAGTGCTTTGCAAATATCAATTCATTTAATCCTCATAACAACCCTATTTTACACATTAGAAAACTGAGATATAGAGAGAGTAATTAGCTTGCCCAAGTGCATCATTTTCAAGGGGGTAGAAATGGGCTATGAAGCCAGAGGCCATATTCTACAAAGAAAAAAACATAGAGAAGGAATCAATCCTGCAAATATAATTTTCTAAATAATTGGTGGTCTTTCCTCCAACAATTATTTATTCAGAAGTTCATATATGTGATGAATTTTTATGAAGCACAAACTGTATGTCAGGCATTCTGCTATTCTTGGGAATTCAAGAAAAACTAAACCCAATTCTTACTCCTAAAGGGCACACAGTCTAGTGGTGGGCAGAGATCCATAAAGATAGTGATAAGGTTTTCAGAGTACTCTGGATCCAAATGAGGGCCACTCAGCCAGGTTTGGTGAGGTCAGGGAAAGCATCTCAGTGAAGGTGATACTAGAGATGGGACATAGACAATCAGGATTTGGCCAAGCAGACACTGGCAAGTGGAAACAGACATTTTAGGAAGAAAGAACAGTAAGTCCATAATTAGGATAGAGAAGAGAGTATGCAGAGAACAACAGACCATGATTATTGAACATAATTCCATGTGGCTAGAGACCTGGTCTGATTGTTTACACTGCATCCTACAGCATTTTGTATTAGAATGTAAGCCCTAAAAGAGGAGAGGACTTGTCTGCTCTGGTCACTATTATATTACCAGTGCCTGGTACTGATGGGGGTGCCCAGTAGTTATTTGTTAAATGCATATATCCATGTATGAATGGATGGTATGTACTAAATAAATACTAGTTGGATGGATAAATAGATAAGTAAATACATAAATAAATAAATAAATGGAGTTCTACCCAAAAGAGGCTGAGACAAGCCTCTAGATTTCATATACATTGCACTACATATAAACCCAAGCAACTATCAATCAAATTAATTTGTCTTGAGTGCCAAGCACCAGCATTTAAACTTTATCTTAATGATAACACTGGACCACTGAAATGCCTCAAGCTGGAGGGTGACACAGTCATACAACATGTGAGAAAGATCACTCACATGGAAGTTTGATCAGAGTATACAGAGTCATCTCACAAGAAAGCCTAGTCATAAAACAGTGAAAGAAAAAGCAAACATTCAAAGCAGGGTTTACTCCCACTTTTAATGAAACTATTCTATGAAAATGTGTGTGAAAGCAAAGTAAAGGACTGAAAAATAACTTCACAAAGACTGGAGATATAGGATACTCTGTAGTGAACACTGGCTGAAAAATTAGATACAGGTTTTGGCCCTGCTGTGTCTCTAACTTATGCGGGGGGAGGGGGTTGTTAGCAAGTCACTGGATTCTTGAGAGCTTAGGTTTCTACTAAACAAGAGAATCAATGGTCTCAAAGGCCTCCTCCAGTCCTCTCATTCCAGGATCACGGGTTCTATGACTCTCTGACCTTTGTGATACTGTTTTAAAACATGCAGAAGAGTGAACCGAATAGAACTTAGCTTAAGCTCATAGATTCGAAATGATTTTGGAGAAAGTGTTACTGCAAGGAATATAAAGTTCAAACCCTTCATTTTATAGATACGGAGATCAAGGATCAGCAACATTAATTTAAATGCCAAGATCATATAATTAATTGAAGGTGGAGGAGAAGATAATCCCACTCTTATTCATTAAACTGCATGAACTTGTTTATAGACAATCAAAAATTAGGCAAATTGAACTTGAACTTTTTGCTACATTTAATTTTAAGTTTGAATATCTGAATTCATTAATAACTTATTCAAAAAGAATTTTAATAGAATTTATGGCAGTTACTGGTCAAAGTAGTAAATGTAAAAGTCAACGAAAATTAAATCTTCCTTTTGTTCTTTCATTTGTGAATTTCTACTTGGTACTGAGTCTTATGGGTACAAAGACGAATAAGACCCAGACTAGGTTACTTATAGTGTTGTATGAGTTCTAAAATACTATGGTGCTCCATCCTGTTTTCAAATTTTATTGTGTATATTAACTTAGCTTAGAGGACAATTTTCCATGTAATAGTTGTATTTTTTTAAATGCTGCTCAATATTTTTTGCCTTTATGTTAGGGATTCAAACTCCACAAAAAAGTCAATCCTTACTTGTTAGATGTACCATGAAGGTTTGTCAGTATAGTGAAGTTGTTTCTCACACTTCGCAAGCTGGCAAGGACCTAGAAGAAAAATGTTTTAAACGGTTAAGGACAAAAGAAGACAAATGGCCAGGTTCAGACTTAGAAACCAGCGACAGTGAAAGCAAGCCAGGGCCAGCATAATACATACCTGGGCAAAAGGAGTTACAATCAAGTCATCGCCGTGTCTGGTGAAAAGAGAAAAAAAGAACCTTTAGAAATTTACTTGAATTATAACTGTGACATATAAGCTATAATATTAAATTTTATCAGTGTTAACAACACAAATGTTATACAAGTTCTTCTACCTGGATATAAGACAGGACTCACAATTTGGCACGAAAGGGTATTCCAAGAGCTTGAAAGGAAAAAATTAGTACTAGATTCATGACTCCTGAATTTACAGTGACTACACATAAAAGCATTTGCAAGTAAGCATATATCCTCAGGATATATTCCCATTAAATAACAGATCCAGAGTACTGTAATTCAAAGCGACTTGTGGATTTTGGTTGCCAGAGCCAGGAAATTCAAAGGGAGGGCTGCTCACAGGGACACACACAGTTGGAAAAACTGGTATAACAGTCTGGATAAAGGTTAACTTTGGATTTCCTGGCTTTTGTTGATTCGAACCACAGCTTTAATGCCATTTAAACACAGATTTCTGTCTGGGAATCCCATTACTTTTTGTTTGTAATATAACTTTTTCTTAAAGTACCTAAGGAAAAGCTTTTAATAGGAGTGTATGGCTGAACCTGCCATAATCATACCATTGTCACTCCATTTTGTCCCAAAGAACAGATTAAGCTGTACCTAGTGTTATGTAAATCTGTATTTAGGAAGAGTCAAAAATGTGTTTTCAGAAGTGCACACTGTCTCTCTGGCACATACTTTGAGAAATCTACTTAAACCCACATTCAGCAAACTCTCTATTGAAGGTACTAGAAGACATGTTGGTTTGAGCTACAGTCACAAAATCAGGCCACTTTGCTATTACAGTGTGAATCATCATAGCAGCACAGAAATTAGTAACAGTGAACTTCCCTCAGTGTCTGGCCTACCTTCCCTGTCCTCATCATTGTCACACAAATATGGCACCTTCTTTGTTAACTACATTAGTGCAACCAATAATTATTAATCATGTGCCCTGTACCAGGCACCACACGAGGCCTGGGGCTCCAGAGTCGAACAACACATGCATCCATTTGGGCCTCTCCTCTGTCATAGGCTTTTAACTTGACATCTTATTTAATATGATACTTTTATTTCCACCTTTTTCTTCAGCTAGAAACCTCCAAACTTCAATTTAATCTGGCAAGTGTCTTCTGTGCCCACTCTGTACAGTGACAATAAAAAGAATACTGACAAGGAGTAAGCATTATTTGTGTCACTACTGTTGTCTGCCAGGTCTTGTGGTAAGCAGTTTACATGTATTATCTCATTTAATTATTGTAACAGGGCTGTGTGTCAGGTACTCTTAATATTGCTATTATATAAATGACATCGATCCACAGAGCAGTTAACTAGCACATACCTAGTAAGTAGAAGAACTGAGACTGATTCCAAGTGTAAGAATTTAGACTGTTTGGTTTCAAAAATCTGTGCTTTTAAACACTATGCTTCATTTTTGCTGTTGTTGTCATTATTTTGTTTTGTTTTGAGACAGGGTCTAGCTTTGTCACCCAGGCTGGAGTGTAGTGGAGTGATCTCAGCTCACCGCAACTTCTGCCTCCAGGCTCAAGCAATCCTCCCACCTCAGACTCTGGAGTAGCTGGGACTACAGGCACACAACACCACACGCAGCTATTTTATTTATTTATTTTTGTATTTTTCTGTAGAGGCAGAGTTTTGCCATGTTGCCCAGGCTGCTCTCAAGCCCTGGGCTCAAGCAATCGGCCCACTTTGGCCTCCCAAGTGCTGGAGTTACAGGTGTAAACCACTACACCCAGCCTATGCTTCCTATTTTATGACTTGCTGCATAGTTGACATATCAAATCATACAAAATATCCATGAACTCCAAAACTGAAACAAAGTAGGGGAAACAAAAAATATTTTAAAAACTGTAATAGACATTTTAATACAGAATGAGAATTAAAAACAATGGGTATACTTCATGAAGTCCAAAGGAAACATGACAATTACAGGTTAGAGAAAGTAGGAAAGTCTTGATTGAGTGAGCAGTGTTTCAGAGGAACTTTGAAGGATTTAAAAAGTCAGGGATGGTAGATGCTGCCAATGAAGAGAAATGGCAGGAACAAAGGTACTGAAATGGGAAAATACTGAACACGCTTATTAAGATGTTTGATGGCTATTTGGGTGGAGCAGAGCATATTAGCTATAGACATTTGTAGAGAATAAGGATAGAAGGCCTCCCACGCTCATATTATGGACAGTCCAGACAAAGATTATAGAGTCAGTACTTAACTCCATAGAAAGAAATCACCCAGGCTGGGCGTGGTGGCTTATGCCTGTAATCCCAGCACTTTGGGAGGCCGAGGCAGGCGGATCACCTGAGGTTGGGAGTTTGAGACCAGTCTGATCAACATGGAGGAACCCTGTCTCTACTAAAAAAAAATACAAAATTAGCTGGGTGTGGTGGTACATGCCTGTAATCCTAGCTACTTGGGAGGCTGAGGCAGGAGAATTGCTTGAACCCAGGAGGCAGAGGTTGCAGTGAGCCATGATCGCACTATTGCACTCCAGCCTGGGCAATAAGAGTGACACTTTGTCTCAAAAAGAAAGAAAGAGAAAGAAAGAAAGAGAAAAAAAGAAAAGAAAAAAAGAATGAAAGAAAAGAAAAGAAAAGAGAAAAGAAAAGAAAAAGAGAGAGGAGAGAGAAAGGAGCCAGGGAAGGTTTTTAGTGAGATGGAAAGTGAGATGGGCCAACAGAAAAGTGTTTTAGAAAGTAAAATGCCTTGGATGTGGAGGGATAGATTGGAGTGGGGACAGACCTGGAAAGAATAGTTAGAAATTGCACCCATTCTGATGAGAACCAATAGGTAATGTCAAGAAAGGGACAGAATGAGACAACTTGAAGAGAGCCCAGAGGTTTTGCAGAACTTGACATTTAATTGGATAAGGGGTCATAAAGAAATATAATTTTCAATTTAAAAAATGGATATCTGAGAAAACAGTGAAGCCGTGAGTAGAAATAAGGAAATGAGGAGTTTCCCCTCCTGTTGGGGGAGTTTAAGGTAGTCACTGAGTTTTTAAGGTACACGTTGAACTTAAAGGTACTGATTTGTATCCGGGTGGAGACATCGAGCAGGAAGACTGAGATATGGGAATTCGAGCTATAGATTTAGGGGTTTCCTACAAAAGTAGGGATAGTTAAGGCCATGGCAGGAAGTGGCCCCATGAGGTGGGGGTACATATAAATAGGGAGCCAAAGGAAGAGCCTCAGGGTTCTTGGAGAGATACAAAAAAGAAAAAATAATCAAGACAGGAGCAGTTGTGATAAATGGAGTGTGGTGAACTGTATCAGAAACTGACCCTTTCCAACCTTTTTTCCCAAGATGAACTTTGAGATGGGTGAAGATCTTGTGGTTTGTTCTGATTCTTTTCTTTCCTTCTTTCTTGCTTTCTTGCTTTTCTTCTTTCTTTCTTTTTTTTTAGGCTAGTCAAGTGAAGTGTTCTGATTTCTGATGTGAAGTTCACATTGTTCATAAGACAACAGGATGAATTTGGGACAAGATAACGGATTTAGATTTAAGTGCATCTTCTATGACTCCCGGATTTCCAGAGTCTAGTATCTAATAAAAGCTAATTAATATAAGTAAATCTCATGCATAGGTGGTACCTTGAGCTGATGTACTGTTGAATGAGTTGGAGGAGTTATTAAAACTGTACAATCCAAAGATTAAAGGGAGATAAAGAAACATTAATAGGGCATAATGTCAACATGACTTTATCATTATGGAACTTTTGAAGTTTAGGAGAACAGAACATTCAGAAGCAAAAAATGGATTTTACAGATGCCCAGCATTGGTTCCCTTAAACAATTTGAGCTGCCAAAGCTAATGCTGTATGTTAGAAAATTGCTATTAGAGAATCTATCAGATAATTTATAGAAAGTAACAGAAAAGAAACAAAACAAAACAAAAAACTTCTCTTAGAGTGCAACCAGATTATTTATGGAACTATTATAAATTTTTAAAAATCATAATTTGATAAATCACTAGTTAAGAATCAAATGGCATAGAAATTATAAAACATTTGATTGATTATGAAAACTGATACACTTCTTACTTTCCCAAACCCCTGGAGAAGGCAATGCCTCTCAGGAGCAAGTCCAGATATTCAGAATCATTGCATTGCAAGAGCAACATCTAGTGACAAAGCCAGCACATTACAAATTTGTAGAATAACGAAATGAGCACTCCAGTCTTAGTACTGAGTCATAGAATTGAGTGTATGTAGGTCTGCTCTAAACAATAAAATGATTTTCTAGAAAGCAGAAATACTGCCTTTCACTGCCACACTCTGAATTTTATTAATTCATTCCACCTTTCTCTGTTTTCTCACTACACACAGAAATTAACTTGTAATTTCCTTAATTTTTGTCTGTCATATGGAGAGATATATACTATAGTGGTTAACAGCACAGATTTTGGAGCCAAAGTGAATTGGTTTGTTTCTCAGCTGCATTATTACTAGCTATGCGACATTAGGTAACCTCTCCATGTCTCAACATTTTTACCTGTCAAACAGGGTTCTGTGAAAATTAAATTAATTATTACATATGTACAACTCTTGATAACAGTGCTTAGCACATAAAAGCAGATTAGTTATTGAGTTATAGTTATTATCAATACCAGTAGGTATCTTTATTTTTATATGGATGGTCCTCAACTTAACGATTATTTTACTTATTTTATTTATTTATTTATTTTTTGGAGACAGAGTCTCACTCTATTACCTAGACTGGAGTGCAGTGGCACAATCTTAGCTTATTGCAACCTCCACCTCTCTGGCTCAAGTGATCCTGCTATCTCAGCCTCCTGAGGAGCTGGGACCACAAGCACGCACCACTACTCCTAGCTAAGTTTTTGTATTTTTTGTAGAGACAGGGCTTCGCCACGTTGTCCAGGCTGGTCTCAAACTCAAGCGATCCACCCACCTTAGCCTCCCAAAGTGCTGGGATTACAGGCCACCACGCCCTGCCCAATTTACAATTTTTGAGTTCACAATGGCGCAAAAGCCATATGCATTCAGCAGAAACTATACTTTGAGTACCCATACAACCTTCCTGTTTTTCACTTTCAGTACAGTATTCAATTACATGAGATATCGAACACTTTATTATAAAATAGGCTTTGCTTTGGATGATTTGCCCAACTGTACACTAATGTAAGTGTTCTGAGCACATTTAAGGTAGGTTAGGTTAAGCTGTAATGTTTGGTAGGTTAGGTGTGTTAAATGCATTTTCAACTTAGGATGGGCTTTTTGGGACATTGTAAGTTGAAGGGCATCCATAATTAAAGGGTTGCATGTCTGTATTTCCAGCTGATGAGAGCTTCTTTAATCTTAATTCATGTCTGTCCATTGCAATCAAGAGGACTCATATTTATGTTATATTTACAGTTTACAAAGCACTTTCATGTACATTATTTCATGTAGTAAGAGAATGCTCCTGATCCCAGGAAATAGTGCAACCACCTATCTTCTCGACCAAGCCTGAAACCTCCCTCTTCCTTATCCTTCAATTAAACACTAACTCCTGCTGATCCTGACTTGCAAATATGTACTAACTGCTCACTAGATCATCTGTAATATAAATCCCCATCCTCTTTTACATGAATATCATGGCAGCCTCCTGTTTGGCTCTGTAGGTTTGAGTACTAGCCTTTAAGCTTCCCTACCCTTTAAACCATTTTCTATACTGCAATCAGAGCTATTTTTTTAAAATGTTGCATTATATGTTTATCTGCTTAGTAACTCTCCACTTGCAACATAAAGGCCAATTCCTTAACATAGGCCCTTCATGATGAGGTTCCTGCTCACTTTTCCAGTCTTGTTTTTCACCACTTCCTCATCCTCTCATATCCTCTGGATCAACCACACTGAGCTGTGGTTCTCCAAAATGCTCCCACACTAACTGGAGGATTAGTTAGCACCTGGCCTCTCCTGCACTTCCTCTGCCTGCCTGACTCCTCTAGCTGAGCTGTAACCTCCTCAGAGTAGGCTGCTTTCCTGCCTGGCCAGACCTTTCAAACCAGTGCATAGCTCTCTATGCCTGCCCTTATCTGAAACTGCTAAAATTGCCTATTGACTTCTAATGTTTCCGTACCCTTGAAGACACAGAAACTGTCTTATTTGTTCACAAAGTTCCTAAATTTACATACTTATTAAAAGAGAGAATGAATATGATCCTCCTAACAGCTGGAAAGGTAGGCAGAACAGAAATTAATAGCATTATTTTGTATTTTTCAGCCTCACTTAGAGTCTGTTTACATACTGGATATCCATATAGTTTACCTCCTAGACTTCTTGGGTTCGTCTTGTTCCCATTTATTGGAGAAGTCACTTAACTTCTCTGTGCCCTAATATCCTCATCATTAAAACAAGAAAGTTATAGTACCTACCACATTGGGGATATGGAGATTAAATGAATTAACATATGTAAAGTATTTTAACAGATAGCATACAGAAAATACTCAATAAATGTGTGCTTTTACTTACAGATAATTTAGAGACAATAAAAGAGATTCAATGTCTTAAAAGCCATGGTGCTAGTAAGTGTGATGGTGTAAGTCTAACTCAAGTCTTAGAAACCACACTGCACTTTTTGCTAGTCCATCAATAAACAGGTTTTAAATTTAAGTGGATTATTATTTCTGCTTTTCCTCTTGGTTCTTAGGTCTCATTTCCCTTGAAAATGAGTAGGCTCTCTCTAGAGACTACTTAGTCCACACGTAAATGGTGGCTTTCAAAAGCTTCTTGTCTGTGTAAGGCTTTGCAAAATGGGATGACCAAATGAAAAAAAACATGGAGTTTCCTTTCCTGTGGCTTTGCAGGTGGATAATCAAAACTCCATTCTGTCCATGGTGGTTCCTGCCACAGTTTTCAGCAGTAAAACTGGCCTTACTAGTTTCCAGTACTTTATGTTCCCATGAGGCAATCTGTACCTCAGTATACGAAGGCATTACGTTTGGGATGACTACAACACAGGAACTGAACAGAAACCAGCAAACTATTGCCACATCTAGGAAAGCATCTGAAATTGCCTTTTGGGACCCAATGGTGATCTTGCTTTACTTCACTATAAAGCCTTATTCTGATCCTCTCCTTTGTTGCTCAAAGTTAAAGCTACTTTTAATTTTTCTTGTTCACATTTTTACTCTTAATATCTTTTCACTCACTCTCCCCTGACTATAATTTTCTGTTACTCTTCTGAAAAAATTCAGATGAGAAAAATTTAAAAGCTAGTGTTTCCTTTATTACTAGGATTTAATGCAGTAGAATTATGCAAAGTTTTCCACCATTCATAAAAAATTCATGACAGCTCTGTGCTGGGTATGAGGTCTGTGAGCAGGGAACATCCGGCAGCCCCCACCCAGTGGCCTTCACATCTAGACTCTTGGTCTATTAGCACCCTTCTTGCTTCCTGGATCTATGGGTAGAAGGCAAAAAAAGGGGCGGGAAGTGTGGGGAGCTGCTGTTCCTCTGTTTCGATTCATCTTAAAGAGTTAATAATCATATGAAATAGCTTTAAGAGCATTACTTTAGTTCAGATTCAGATATTTATGTGAAACTGGATTTGCCAACTTAAAACTAAATTACTAGAAGAAGCTTAATATTATTCAAACTCTACTTCTCAGCGTGTTGTGAAATATAATTCCAAAACTGACAAATATATAAAAGTTTTTTTCTGTGGTACTGAAATATTTGGAAAACAAAATCTTGTGCTATTTTCATTCACACAAAGATTTTAATATATCCTGTTATCAGTATTTTTGATAGGGTGGTATTATGTTGCCAACCTTGTTTTCTTGGGAAAGGCTGCTTTTTATTATGAAATTGTGCCCATACTACTTTTTATCTAAGTCCTTATCTTTAAAAAGTGAGAATGATATTAAATAATTTACATATATAATTTTTACTTGCCTAAATTTAAAGTTGGAAAATTTAGGTTCTAAAGTTACTGGGGGCAGGGGGTGGGGCGGGTGGTGGGGAATTTTACTGGCCAGTAAAATTGAAAGGACAGTAAACTACCAGTAACAGGGATGCTGGATGCGGTGTCATTTAGAACTACACCTCTTTTTTGACTGCCGTAGATTCAGTTGGATTGTGATCTTTAAGGTCTCTTCAAATTTAACATTTCTACAACCTTTTGATTCCAAATAATGAAACACAAGATTTAATCTGGAAGTGCAGTAGAGTTTTCTGGGGCGACTCTGAATGACCTTGAGATTCTTCCTGCCGTTTGGCTTGAGTCTGGAGAGCTCTTAGCCAGGGAATTAGTTTTTGGGGAATGACAAGATTTCAAAGCTAATCTTGCACCTGTAAAATACTATGTGAATTAAGCTCTAATTACTTTGAGCTCACCACATGACCTACGGTCTTCCATGATGAAGCCTAGAAAGGTGTTTATCTTGGTGAAGGAAAGAATTCCCAATATCTTTGCATTCAAAGACCCCCATTCAAACTTTTGTCAGAAATGCCTTGGGTTCTACAAGATCTACAGCAAAGTTGCTGGCTACCTACCTCTCCTGCAGCCTTGGACACCTCTACTCTGCAGTCATTTGTTTTCTACCTAGTGGTAGAGATGCCACTTTGCAATTTGAAGAACATGGATGGAAAGATTCCAAAAGTTTTTAATATGGTCAGGCTTAGCCACATCATGGGACACAGCATGATACACAGTCATGGGATAGGGGCAAGTTTCTCAATCTCTCAGAGTCCCAGTTTCATCATCTATGGAGTGGGGATAATAAAGACACCTACCTGACAGATTAACAGAGATAACATAAGAACATGAGCTCGGCTCCATGGGAAGTGCTCATTAAATGTTATTTCCTTTCACTCTGTTATGTTTGTATGTGTGTGTTCCTCTTATCTTTCTTATTTAGCTGTAACCTCCCTGACAGCATGCACATTTTTTGAGAATGAGATATGCTTTTAACTCATCTGTGATTTTTACACTGTTTTGTTTGTCTTTTATCACCAGAGATTGACACAATGTGTGGCACAAAGGAGAGAATCAGTAAATTTTGCCAAATGACTGAAAAATGAATTTGGGCCCACACAATGATTGAGATATTTTAGGGCAGGGGTGCGTCTATTAAAATGTGCTGGCAGAAATGCCTCAAGGAATATTTTTTTGCTGGTAGCTTCAAAATTCCCCCTTTCACCAGAGGGTGAAATTTTTGACTTCCCTTCCAATAGCAGAAGAGAACAGAGTGGAATTTTCCAAACTGGAGACCTTAGGGAGCTACTGATACTTTTATGACATATAATATAAAAACAATTGTATCTGTGCCCAGAAACCTTTTAAGGCATGAATTCCAGAATCCAATTTTATTTGGTTTTGGAAATTTAATAAATGGGTGACACAACCTAGATCTTGTTCTTTAAATAAAATTTAGAGATTTACAATTAATAGCGGCAAAACAAAAATATCAGCAGTGCTTTACAGGGCGGTGGAGTGTGTTGTGTCTCACCAAGGAGCCAGGCAACAAGTGGGCATTGTGTTAAAGTTTCAGAGAAGGGACACAGGCATGTGTCTGAATGACATCTTATTAAAGTCACCAAGCAAAGGCTACTGAGACAGCATGCATATAACCAATCACCATTTTTCCTCTTTGCTGGAGCCTCATGAAAACTGCACACACAGCTGAAATTTCAAGTGTGATGTATAAAAAGTGTTAAGGTTCTCATGCCATAAATGACTCAACAGTTCAGGAAATGAAGCAAAATAATTTTTTTAAGGTATCAGTAAAAGATGTAAAGTAAACACTGTGTCTAGGTTTTCCAAAACCCTTGGAGACCCCAGCTACATATTCCGCATGCTATAGAGCATTAATGTCCTTAAAATGGTCATCACGTCACCCCTGCTCATATTCATTTTCTTCCTTCATCCTTACCATAGATTAATGGGGAATTGTTGTTGCTGCCACTGTGACCTGGGTAGAGATGAGGTAAATGTGAAACTGGAAGCCAGACAGAGCTTGTACTTACTGCTCGCTTGGAAGAGAAGAGTTTCTCGACATCGCCTTTGGTGACAAGTCATAGTCGCTGTCTGATCTGTAGAGAAATGACTCTCTGCGCTGGCTGTGCCCAGGAAAGGTGGCGTGAAGTACCAGCCCAGCGGAAGAGCTGGCCTGGGGATCCAGTGGACTCCGACCTGGGGAAGGGCCATTTTCCACATCAAAGCTTAAAGAGAAAGTGGGAAACTCTGGTCACATGATAACCATGGAGGAGGACACATAGTATACACTGAGAACCAACGTGTGGCAGGTACTATACACTAAGCATTTTACATAAAACTGTATGTACTATGGAAAGTTTTCATCCTCAACACAGCTTAGAGTTGCAGTCATTATTATTTTCATGTTATGTATAGGAAACTGAGTCGCACTGAAGTTCAGTTATTTACCCATGCCCACCATTAGCAAATAATGGAGCCAGAATTTGAACCCAGGAGCAAACTCCATGGCCTTTCAGTGACATGAGTAACTTGGACAAATTCGGCGTTGGTGCCAGGCATACAACAACTTGGTGATAATAAGCAACTTTAGAGGGGGCATTCAGCACAGCTCTAGGTGTCAGACCCTGAACTATCACATGAGTAAAGTCTTCCTGTCTGGAAGACTTCTTCCTGTCATGAATAAATATCACAGTCTCATTAAATATACAATACACGTATTTCTAAATGTTTCAGGAACAAAGTGTTATCCTGACAACCTCCACTGGGTTATTAGATGGGAGGCCCAGCCTGAGATTTAATATTCATCTGCAAATTTAACCACAGAAAATGACTTAATTAATCTGCTAACACCAAATTACTCTCCAAGGCTGCAGAGCTTTGTCTCTGGGGGAGGATGCATTCACTGGCTCCCACAGAGGAGTGTCATGAGGTTTCCTATCGGTCTTCGTCACTCTAGAAAGGTGCCCTCAAGCCCAGAATTATTTGAACATGCTCTGATCAATGAACACACAGACGGGAGCAGTAGAGATTTTGTCTCTTGTTTTCTGTATCCACGCTCCTGGTATTTCCCTGGGCACTGTGCCCTTTTCACATTCTCCTTTATCATTACATATGCATTTTTTCCTGCACACACAATCTCTCTTAGCCTCAAATTGACAGTAATCCTCTTCCCTAGTATTTCTCCAGAACTCTCACTGCTCCCCAGCTAAAGCTTTGCAGAGAGATGGTGAACAAAAGATATGGGGCTGAGGATGCTCCTTTTTTCAAATTAGACCACAACAGTGAATTTCCTGTATACCAATTCAGCGGCCATGATTTATGTCTACATTCTTGGTTCTTTCCTTTCACTAGTTCTTACAACCAGCTCACTTTGGGTGGATTTTGCTTATATTTCTTCACTTTACAAAGTGCTTCCCAATACATTATTCCATTTACTCCTAACAACCCTGTGAAGTATATAAAATGATCCTACTCTACATTTGAGGTAAATGAGGCTTAGCAAGATGTAAATACCTTTCTCAGAGTCATAGGCTAGTAACTTGCAGAGCAGAATTGGAAGACTCATGTCTTGCAACTAATTTCTTTACAACCTCAGACTTTCCTAATGACAGAACTCCAGAATGGCCCAATAGATAACTGAGTGAAATTCCTCTTTAGTCTCTGAATTCAACCAAAAGTAATTTGGTACATAAAGAGCCAGTTAGACTATAAGCAACCTTGGCTGCTCTCTTGAATGAAAACGGGGAGGCAGCAAATTACCCTGAAGCTGTAGGTTTCCTTGAAACATGAGGAGAAGAAATGACAGAAGGCAGGGTTATAAGGCTTCCCCAGAGACCATTCACAGAAGCTGCTTTTAGACAACCCACAAACTCCAGGTGTCTGATAAGAAGCAGAAAATGATAATGTCTGGGTAAAAGGCCAAAGAAAAGCTATAACAATCCAATATGTTTGGTCTTTCAAGGTACTGTAGATGAATTTTCTCAGTAGGCTAATGGTCTGGGATGGGGCTGCCTTTCAAAGACTGCAGGCAGACAGGCAGGTGGACAATCACTCATACTAGCAGCCTGCTTGCCAGCCTGCCTGGAGGCAGAGCTACGTTGTTAGCCACATACATTGCAGCAAGCAAAAATATAATAAAGCGACTTGCAAACTTCCCTTGGGTGAGATCTATCGTAGTTGAGCAAAATAAAAAGCCCCTCTGTGGATAAGGGCTTTTTTGTGTGCCACCCAAACCCCTAGAAACAGTAGGTCATGGGCTCTGAACTATTTTTAAGGGCAAAGTAGGTAGGTTCTTAAAAAGTGAAGAGGGGATTACACAAAACTTAATGGTGGGCATGAGTTTAGAAATTTCATGTATTTATGTTGTTATTCATCTGGTATGTATCTGTGCAACCTTTCTGGATATTAAAACACTAACATACTTTTAAAACTGTTAGCATCCATCCACTGCCCCAGGCCCTCCAGGGTCAGCTGGACTTCTTGGTGATCCAGTAACTAAAGGATTGGTGTCTGGAAGCACTGTGCCTGTGTCCATTAATTCATCAGTGCTCATGCAGTGCCAGTCATTAAATATTATGAATACCACTGCTGTGTGTATCTGTGCTAAAATCTTAGAGCAGGTGCCAAGTGGGTATGCCCACCGAGCTCTTAGAACTCTTTCCATTCAGGGTTTCCACCAAGGCTCATTCTGCCTTCTTTTTTGCTAAAGGCATTCCTAGTGGGCAGAGGGTAAGTCCACAAAGCATTACCCTTAAAATGAGTGTCATAGGCATTCTGTCCCTAGTATTAGAATCCAAGAAGTTCACTTATGCCAGGTAAACTGGGGTTAGACCCTGACTCCAATGATCTCTCCATGATGCCCCTGTTTGCTTTTGTTTTCTTTCCTTCTTACCCTACTTAAACTCAGGAGAGCTTGCTGGAATTTAAACGAAGCCAGGGAAGAAGTCTCTGATGCAAAGAAGCAGTCTTAGGGAGACAAATGGCCTTTCATATTCCCTGGGGCACTGCTTCAAAGCAACCAACACAGATGTACAACTTTGGAACAAACATGAATCACCAACCAGACACCAGCCCCAGTCACAGCAAAATTAGCGGGCAGACATCACAATACGTCCCACAGATCCAGGGAGTGAGGAGGGGTGTGGGCAAAGGGAAGGCTGAGGACAGGCTTAATAAGCAAAATGAATATACCACACAAACTGAAATACAATTAGGAAGAAAATGGAATCTACAGTAGCAGAAACAAACACATAAATAGGGCCATTATTTGTTTAGGGTAATTTTTGCCTCTGCCTTCATCAGGACACATATTTCACCTTTAGGCTGCTTTATATTTTAAAAAAATCATTATAAAAGAAATATAAGAATATTATATAAAACGTAGACAATAGAGAAAAGAACAACATCATTACTAGCAGTTTATTTTTTTCTCTTCTGAATATTTTTTCTCCTGCAGGTTTGGATCTTGATTTTTTTCACAAGTATTTGTTATGTGCTACAGTTTTCAGAATTAGCATTTTCCATGAGCTGCTTCATTCAGTTGCTGTATCACAATTTTCTCAAGCATTTTCTCTACTTTCACTCTTCATATTTGCAATTCTGAATAATGTTGCAGTTGATAACTTTGAGCTTGTAGCTACTTCAACATTTAAATGAGGTCACACAGAAGTTTCAGATAGATTAAGACAGGAAGTTACTCACAAGTTTCTGAATATTTGATTGTGACTTATACCTGCCTGGAAGGGGTTGCCCATATATACACGGCATTGAAAGTGGCCTTTTCCCTGGGTCCAAAGACCCTGCCAAGCCCTGCTCTCTGATCTTCAAGATTATTTATGTTGCCTGCTCACTTGGATCTGCCTTCTTCTCCCTGCCTCTGCCAATATCCCTGGACTGAATCAATTGCTCATCTGAGACCTAATGTTTTAACAGCCTTCTCTTGCATTGTATCTAGTGTTCTCAGCTCTTCCAGGCAGTGATGGTGGGTGATGGGCTGTATGAGAAGTGGTGCTTCCCATAACTGGAATGTCTTTCCCATTACAGTCTCCATTGAGCTAGTATCTTCAAAATTCAGTTCATGCCATCTCCCAGAGTATGCGCTCTCTGACACTGCAGTCCAGTTTGATTTTGACACATGCTCCTCCTCTGTGCTCTCCTAGATTCCTTTACCATAGTACTTTATCACAGTACTTGCAATTCTGTTTTAATTCTCTATTTATTTACTGCTCCCCAATACATTGTTATCTCCAAGCCAGAAGGGACTCAGTATTACTAAGTATTACTCATTCTTGTATCCCAGGCACCTGGGTCAGAGCCTTGTAAACAGTAGGTCTTCAAAAAATGTGGACAGAACCAACTAAAATATACTATAACTTACTGCGAAATGTTTCTCCAATCCCTCCCCTCTTTCTGCTTCCCTATACCCACCTCAGACCCCACTGCCTTGTGTTTCTGCTGTTTCCTTTAAATGAATCTACAGAGATGTGTCATTAATTTATTTGTTCGGCCTTGTGAGACAGTGATCTAAATAAAATAAGATACATTTTTTAGAAAGCACTGCTATGTTCTCCCTGAGCAAAACAAATCTGCATAGAAATATCACTGGCTTAGCTGTTTGAGATGGTCACATCTTTACACAAACTCGCAGGAGGAGAAAAGCCTTCTTATACCAGCTTGTGTCTGCCATCTTCTCATCTCTTCATTTTTCAATATGAGCAGGAACGTTCTCTGGCCCACAGTTATTCTCCTGGTGGTTTCTATTCCTGGGGAATCCTTGCAAAGCCAGCCCTGAGCTGGTGACACGTGAGCCAGCAGATGGCAGCAGACTGCCACACTGTCCTTAGGCTGCAGGCCCCAGCCTCCAAGCCCAGCAGGTGGGGCTGCTGGCAATTTTGGAGGGAGAAACATAACTGAAGCCTTATTCATAAGCCTGGGAGGAAAAATCAGGGATAAAGAAAAGAGCCACAAGGTGTACCATGAAACCTTTGATTAACCTAAGAGAAGCTCTACTTCCTAGAATTCAAGTTAAGCCAGGTGGTCGCAGAATTGCCTGCAATTGTCCCCAGGGTGGTTGTTTCCTGATCCCCAATTACTTGCACAAACTCCAATTTCTGTAACAAAGACTCATGAAGCAACATCCTAGGAATAATTCATTTCTGAACCAGAGGAGATTTTTCTTTCGCAACTTAGTCATTCTCTAGGTGAACCTCTTTGGCTTATTCTAACAAATAACCCGCTAGAAAGACTGCAAACTCCACAAAAGAGATTCAAATCCACAGGTCCGCAGAATGGTTCACTGCCTTTTGGGAGAGAGCTCTTGCTGTCTCAATTTTGCTTTTCTTTCTTAGAAATTACTCACTGAGTCTCTTTTATATCATTGAATTATAACAACTCTGGCAGGCTAATTCTTTTTGCCTCATTTCAAAGAAGAGAAAATGGAGGATCCAAAATGTGAAGCTTCATTTGAAAAATGTGAAGCTTCATTTGAAAACTGCTAAGGTGTGACCTCTTTTCATTACACCTTACAATCTGTGCCCTGACCCCTCAGATGTCCCCTTAGACTCCTTGATTCCAGAACCGGCCATGCTAGACTATACTCTTGTGTTTACTTATCTCTCTCACTCCACCAGATGGTGACCTCCTTGAAGCAGGAATGAAGCCTTCATTTAGTTTTGTAGTCCCAGGGCCTAGAGCTGAGTATCACACCAAAAGGCACATAACAAATATTTGTTAAATGAATGCAAAGATCTTATAGTTTTTTCTCGCATCTGACAAAAAGCCAGTTTCATTTGGATTAAAACCTCTGGCAGGTGATGACCTCAGTGGAGCTCTTAAAGGGAGTCACTAGGTTCTTCTTTCCGCATTCTCCCTTCAGTATCCCAGGAACTCCGTCCTAGGAGTTTTTGCTTACAGAAAATGTTTCTATAATAAGGTGTATGTTTCTGTATAGAGTGTGTGTGTTGTGGGGGTAGGCATAGTCATGAAAAAATGCTGTGTTTCTTAAAATTTCTATTGGAAAATATTCTCCTCGGTTGTACTCAGAAACTAACTGTATCGGGAGGCTGAGGCAGGAGAATCACTTGCATCTGGAAGGCGGAGATTGCAGTGAGACAAGATGCGCCACTGCACTCCCAGCTGAGCAACAGAGTGAGACTCAGTCTCACAAAAAGAAAAAAAAAGAAAAAGAAATGAATGTCTTCAAATGCTTGTCTATCATTTTAATAAAAACAAATAAATATTTATCCATTTACTTAAGTGATTATATTGGCTATCACTTCAAATGTACTATCTGATCCCTATAGACAGAGAAGTTTAACAGGCACATGTGTTTTTACCCACAATGACAATGACCCATCTTTCTATAATTAGTCACTGCAGGCTGCAGCCAGTCCTAATTTCTAATGAAGGACTAAGCTGTGAAAAACACAGCCAGCCTAATATAGAGCCCACGACCTAGACGAAGGCAGGCAGAACTCCTCTGGCCACAGCTACAGCAGAATATTACAGTTATGCCATAAGAATTCAGTTCCAAAGTCTATGACTTCCCTTCCACAGACTAGGAAGACGAACTCTGATGTTCAGCTCATCTGAAGTCTAGAAGCAGCTTCCATTGCTTTCTCTTCTTCCAGGGCCTTTGAAAATTACATTCATGGCAGTAATCCAAAACTGCTTTCTCCACAGAAAGGCTCAACCAGAGGTAGCACAGGAATGCTGAAGAGCTCTGAGATTCTAGGGATCCGGCTTCTACTTCCAGCTCTGTGGGGGAACTAACTGAAATGAAACAGGGGCTCCCTGTATCCTGCCCCCCACACCTCAGTCTTTTCCCACAGAAATGAAGTTGTGAGGTAGATCCCTGAGGTACAAGATTAGACAACTTGCAGACATTTTGGAGATAGAAAAAATGTTGGTTATCAAGTGTGGTTTTATGTTAATGGTGATGAGCATTCATTTACTCAACAAATATTTAGCAAGCACCCACTATGAAACAAGGCACTGTTCTCCGCCTGAGAATACAGCAGTGTATGGAACAAGGTCCCTGAGGGAAAGATAGACAACAAATAGGAAAGTAAGATAGTTTCAGATAGTGAGAAATACCATGAAGAAAATAAAACATAGTAGTGTGATAGAGACAAAGGGAATAATGTTTCTTTAGTTTGGGTAGTCAGCAGGTCCGCTCTATCCAGCCATGTAGGTTGTCTATTGCACTTCACCGGGAAACACCATCCACCTTTCTCAGGCGGTGTCATTTGAGTTAAGATCAGATACAGGTAGTGGTAAAACTTGTCCTTTAGTTCCTTCCTATCCTCATTTCTATACTTTAAAGAATTGAGTCAGATGATACTTAGGTTTGAATCTTTTTCTTATTTTTAACCCCAGTGCTAAGGGCCATGCCTATCACGTCTGATGAATAAACAAATGAACAAATGAATGGTTTGGGACCAAGGAATTTTTATAAACTCCCCTTGATACCCACCACAGACAGCACAGACGAACTTCAACAAGACTGACTGTGGGTGATACGGTGATACTCAGTCATCTCTTGCCCTGTACCCTAATCAACCCCTAAAAGTTAGCTCCATAAAGAAGAACTGGGGATGTGCTACCAAATACCACCTGCAGGGAGGGGCTAGAATGCCTTCCACAGGGCTCTAAGCCCAAAGGAGAGGCCCAATGACCACACACAGCAAAAATCATTCACATTCTTTGGTATTGATGTGGTGAGAGATGGAAATGCCACAAGTACTTCTCAATGTTCCTTTGTTAGAAAGCTTTAATTTTTGATGATAAATATATTTTGCAAATTATTTTACTTATTGATTGAGATCCTTTTTTTGGGTTGTAAACATTTCACTATCAAGAAATGGGTGAACAATGAAAAAAGAATATCAACACTTAGTTTCTCTACTGAAATTGTTAAGTATCATTTTTTAAAAGTTTTGTTTCAAATGCTTAGGAGTATATTTTAGTGTGATTCTTTGGTAATTTCCCATTGTGTTGTTCCTATGTCATACTATTTAATGCACAAGCAGAACAAGACCATATGTAAACATTCCCTCTTCATAAATATAGGAGCATTATTTCTAGCAAGCTTACAAAATGCTCTGTCTATCCCTTTCCAGGTAAAAAATGTTTCTCAGAAATAATAGGAATTACAAAGTATGTCTTTCTTTATGTTTTCTAATTATGGCTGAAATTTCACAGACTCGATTTCAAACTTTTATCTACTAAAACCCCTAAACGATGTTACAACATTTAATAGTAATTACCACTTTTTATAAAACTGTAATTCTAAGGAAAGGAAAAGTTCTCTAAAAGAGATTAATTTTGTGTGGGAATGTTTTCTGTATGTAGACATTATAAAGGGCCAGGGAGGGGGGTGGCTTTGCATTGATTCTGCCCCAGGGTGCACTTTGAGTATACAAAATATTCTACTCGCTCAATATTTTCCAGGCTACATTCTCCATTTTTTAAAGTTATCATAAGAGATCGTTAAATGCTCTATTAGTAAAATATAAATACTTTAATTCATAAGTTAAGTATCTCTGCCAATAAGACAATCTATTAATTAAATAAGATTTTTATTAAGAAATATGGTGCCAGCTTCCAATAGCTCAAGATCAATTAGGGAAATGAGATTGATCTGGGAAAACTAGTTTTTACTAAAGTAGTGATGGCTTCAAGAAATTGCTGCTTTCTTTTGTAAGTTCTCACCTACCATTTGAAAATCAGTTCTAGATATATGTTTGAAACCTGTATCTAAAATATTGCAGATAAATGGTCATTTAGCTTCTGTTTGTATATTCCAGTGATGGGGCCATAGTAACCACTGACATAATGAATTAAATTTTTGAATTGATTTAATTCTTCAAGACTTGGCTAGGAAACTTTAGTTTAATCTTTATCCCACCCTTCCCCGCCCCCTTAGTTTTCATTCCCTGCTCCCAACCACCTACTCACTCATTCTCCCTCATAGTAGTAAATGGAACCACCATCTACTCAGTTGTACAAACCAGAATCATCCATGATTTTACTTCCCTTCCCAACCTCCTTTCTCCTTTTCAGTTGACCAACAGGTCCTATCCACTCTATACAGAAACTGTACTGTTTTGTGTATCTCTGTTTCCACCACGGCATTAAAATCTCTCATCTGAACTGGAATAGCCACCCCATGGATCTCTCCACTTCCACTGTGCCCAACTCCACCCTCCAAACCTTCTCCACATAGCAAGAGCAATCTTTTAACACAATAATAAAATCATGTCACTGCCTGTAGGATAAAATCCAAACTCCTTGCCATGGATCACAAATTTTCACATAATCTAGCCCTTGCCACACCCCCCATCCTCATCCAATACCACACTGTGCCCTGCTCAGTGTGATTCAGCCTCAGAAGCTTCCTTTCTGTTCCAGAACATGCCAAATCCTTTCTCAATTCAGCAATTTTGCACGTGTGTGTTTTCCTTCCTGGTATATCTGCTTTGCTTTGAACAGTCCCTGGCTGGTAGAAAGTGCTACATAAATATTTGTCGAGTGAATGAATGAATAAATGTTGGTCTTTCTGTTTGTTTTCTCCTCTACTCTCTGGATGGCTGCCTTCTTCTCATTCTTTAAGCTTTAGTTTAAGTCATCTACTAAAAAATTCCTTCCTTAACCCATTATTTAAGTAAGTTCCCTTCACAGTACCTATTAAAGCTTTTTGCTATATTTATTTGTCTTTTTTTTCCCCTTTTATTGCCTTCCTCTCTCACACAACTCTAAGCCCCACGAGGGCCATCTGTTGCACTTAACGGTATACTAACTAGTGCCTGGCACTTTCCTGGGACATACTGCAGGTTATGAACAAATGTCTGCTCAATAGATTAATGAAAGAATAATTGACTGTGTGAGCGCATTAAACACCAACAATAACCTCCATGGTTCACAGCAGACCCAACTTGTTTTTACAAAGTATTTCTTTACTCAGAGAAAGGATATTTATTTATTGTCATTGGGCCAGCTCCCACATCAAGTCTAAGGAAACTGAGATTTAAAACATAAGTTGATGTAAAAACTTGTCCCAGGTTTGAAGCATTTTTGTCGTTATTACTCTGCATTTATTTCAGAAAATGAGACTGGTTTTCAGATCAAATTTCACAAGTCTTTGACCTTTCAAGCAGAGCTCTAGGGAGGTGTTGAGGTGCACATCAAGGGTGCATTTTCAGTTCCAGGTTTGTGAAACAGCATAACTTAATATTTCAAGAACTTCATATTTTTAAAAACAATTTATATTCTCTTGAAAATGAATAGGCCATATATTGTCTTTTTGGTGGAGGTAGAGACGTGGAAGGAATGGCATTATGGTTTGCTGTAAATTCAAATAATAATCATAAAATTGGAAATCAATGCCTCAGCCTCCGGTCTACATAGCACTTAATAGTGTTTATGTCAGTTAACATCTGGCCTCCAAATGTTATCAGTCTTGAACACTGCACCTGCAGACAGCCTGGCATTTGGATTTTAAATATGTTCTTTTGGGAAGGGAGGAGGGGTGAGAGAAAGGGAAGCAGAGAAAGTAGAAGTGGAAAAATGATATTTCAGAATCTTTCCACTTGTACTTAGGCAGTAAAGCATAGAAAAGCTATATATTTTTTTCTCACAGGTATTGAGTGGGCACAATGTGCCAGGTCATGTGCTGTACATTTGGTATATATTACCTCATTTCATTGCTCTAATCACCTTCTGAGGAAGGAAGGAACTTGTTTTTATAGACGTGAAAATTCAAATTTAAAAGGCTTAAATAACTTGCTGACAACCACTTAGCTATTAAATGGTACATCGTGGATTTAAAACCAGTTTGGTTGGATCCATTAATGAATCAATCAACTCACACGTGTAAACAACTGTTCTGTCTTTCTTCTTGCTGCTATGGATACATTTCTGTGATTTTATCAGAAGCCAACTCCTCTGTCCTGAACCCTGTCCTCCCTCACCTACTCATGGTCTACCCTTCTGCATACATTTACTCTCTCCTGCATCATCGTTTTGTATTTTGCATGAGCAAACAATCAAGCTGTAAAGTTTTGTATCAAAAACAAACAAACCCACAAACAAAAAATAACTAGTAAAAAGATTTTCATCAAACATATGAAAGTTGAAGGAATTCATCATCTCCAGCAAACCCAAAGTACAAGAAATGTTAAAGGAAATCCTTCAAGCAGAAGGAAAATGATACCAGATGGAAATCTGGTTCTATACAAAGGAATAAACATTTTTTTTCTTCTTATTAAAATCTCTTTAAAAGATAAGTGATTGAAAAGCACACATAATAACAATCTACTGTGAAGTTCATGACATATGTAGAAGTAAACTATATGACAAGAGTACAAAGGCAAAGAAGGGGGAAATAGAAGGGTATTCTGAAGATTCTTACAGCTAGATAAAGCGGTAAAATATTGCTTGAAGGTAGACTGTGATAAACTAAAAATTTATACTCTAAATCCTAAAGTAACTATTAAAATTTTAAAAATGAAGAGATATATATAATAAGCTAACAAAGGAAATGGAAGCATAAAACAACTATCCAAAAAAGAGAAGAAAAAGAGGAAAAAGCATATAATGAACCGCTAAATTTAGCCTGAAACTTCCTCTGTACTTTTTACGATATAAATTAACTGAAAGCTTAACTTAGGCTTATACTTATGTAACAAATAGCTGAGCTCAGCCAATCACAGCAGCCAAGCTTCAATTTTGGATGGCCAAGTAATCATGCTAATCAAGCTGTTTCTGTACATTACTGTTTTCTATTAATAAATGCTGCTGCCCATACTGTGGAATGCTGCTCTCTGAACCTGTTCTGATCTGAGGGCTGCCCGATTCTGAAAAAATCCTTTGCTCAGTTAAACTCTGTTAAATTTAACTTGTCTAAACATTTTTTTTCAACAGAATGGATAAGACAAATAGAAAACAAATAGCAACATGGTAGATTTAAGCCTGACCATGGCAATATTACCTTCAAATGTAAATGGTCTAAACATCACATTTAAAAGGAAGACATTTTCAAGATGGATTAAAAAAGCATGACCTGACTACATGTGGCTTATAATAGATCACTTTAAATATAAAGACACAAATAGGTTAAAAGGAAAAGAATGAAAAAAGATAAACTATGATAACACTAATCATCAGAAATCTAGAATGTCTATATTAATAAAAGAATAAGTAGATTCCAGAGTTAAGAATATTACCAGGAATAAAAAGGATGATTTCATAATGATAAAAGAGTCAGTTCTTGAGAATATAACAATTCTAAATATTTCTGTACCTATTAATAGAGTTTCAAACTACATAAGGCAAAAATTGATAAAACTGAAAAAAGAAATAGAAAACTACACAATTATAGCCTCAATAATTGATGGAACAAATAGACAGAAACCCAGTAAGGATATAGAAGACTTGAACAACATCATCAATTTAACTAATTGACAAAGATAGACATTTTTTCAAGTGCACGTGAAACGTCACCAAAATAGCTGACGTTCTAGTCTATAAAACAAGTCTCAAAACATCAAAAAAATTTGAAGTCATACAAAGTTTGTCTTCTGATCAGAGCGGAATTAAACTAGAAATCAAAACCAGAAAGATTTTTGGTAAAGCCCCAGGCATTTGTAAACTAAATACAGTCTAAACAACTCATGAGCTAAAGATACAATGAAAAGAGAAAAGTATTTTGAACTGAATGACAACGAAAACATTATATGTTAAAATTTGTAGGATGCAGCTAAAGCAGCATGTTCAGGGAAATCTACAGCTCTAAAATACCTTTATTAAAAAAATAGAAAAAATGACTTCCGTTTCTAGCTCAAGAAAAAGCAAATAAATCACAAAGGAAGCAGAAGGGAAAAAATAAAGATAGAGCGGAAATAAAAGAGAGAGGGAGAGAGAGATCAGTGAAGCCAAAACAGGTTTTGAGTAATCAATAAAATTGACAAACCTCTAGTCAGACTTACCAGGAAAAAAAAAGAAGAGATACAAGTTACTGAAAGAATGAGAGAGGAGATAACAGGATAGACTCTAAAGATACTATAAAAATAATAAAGAATCATAAAAAAAATTATACCAGGCTGGGCACGGTGGCTCATGCCTGTAATCCCAGCACTTTGGAAGGCTGAGCCAGGCGGATCACCTGAGGTCAGGCGTTTGAGACCAGCCTGGCTAACATAGTGAAACCCTGTCTCTACTAAAAACACAAAAATTAGCTAGATATAGTGGCATGCACCTGTAGTCCCAGCTACATGGGAGGCTGAAGCGGGAGAATCACTTGAACCCGGGAGGCAGAGGTTGCAGTGAGCCAACATCCTGCCATTGCACTCCAGTCTTGGCGACAGAGCAAGACTCCGTCTCAAAAATAATAATAATAATTATGCCAGTACATTTGACAACTTCAATGAAGTGGACGAATTCCTTGTAAAACACCATCTATCAAAATTCACTCAAGAAGAAAGAAATAATGTGAATAGGTCTGTATCTATTACAGAAATTGAATTTTAAAGTTTAAAACATTTCCATAAAGAAAACTGCATGCCCAGATAACTTCACTGGTGACTTCTGCCCGAAATATTTAAAAAATTATACTGACTCTACACATCATTTTAGAAAATTGAAGAGGAGGGAATATTTCTCAACTCACTGTATAAGGTCAGGGTTTCTCCCATATAAAAATCAAAGACAATCACCCAAAAGAATAATATCACCATAAACACACATGGAACAATTCTTAACAAAATTATATCAAATCAAATCTAATAACATATGAAGAGGATGACACCTTATGATTAAGTAGGGTGTATCCAAGGAATACAAGGTTGTTATAACAGACAAAAAAAAATCAATGTAGTTCTCCATGCTAACAGACTGAAAAACAAACCAACATACATGTAATCACATAATTAGGTGAAGAAAAAAGCATTTGATAAAGTTCAACATCCATCCTTTATACACACACACACACACACATATATTTACATATCAACCAGGTAAACGGCATCTGTGAAAACTTTCAGCTGACATTATCCTTTAAGATAAAAGACTGAATTATTTCTCTATAAAATTAGGAACCAGGTACGAATGCCTGTTCTTTCCGCTTCTACTCAACATTTTACTGGAGGTTTTACCCAGTGCAATAAGGAAAGACAATGATATCAAAGCAAATACACTGAAAAGGAAGACATAAAATGATTTTTATTAATAGATGATATAATAGTCTATGCAGAATATTCATTGTAGCATTGGCATAGTAAAAAAAAAACTGGAAACAATCCAAATGTAACAGGTGAATGGATAAACAAATTGTGATATACCCATACAGTGGAATACCACTTAGCAATAAATAAGAATGCACTACTGACAACTGCCGTAACATGGATGAATCCTAAACTAATTATGCTGAGTGAAATAAGTCTGATAAATAGAGTACATAATGTATAATTCCATTTATATAGAATTCTAGAAAATAAAATCAATCTATGGTGACAGAAAGAAGATAGGTAGTTTCCTGGGGGGAAAGGGGTGGTGTCAGGGAGAGGTGGGAGGGGTTGCAAAGGGAAACTTTTGGGTTTGATGGCTATATTTATTATCTTCAATGTAATGATAGCTTCATAAATGTATATGTGTCTGAATTGTACACTTTAAGAAGTGCATTTTTGGCATGTCATTTGTACCTTATAAATACGTGTTTTAAAAAGACTTGTGGTTATTCCATGCACCCCTGCATCCATTGCCTCATTTTCCGGCAATTCTTTTTAAACAAAACTTTCTAACAAGTTGTCTTTATTGCTGTCTCCATTTCCTTAACACTTATTTTCTTCTCAACACACTAGAATCAGGATTTGGCCCGCAACACTTCATAATAAATCCCTCTGGTCAAGATCATCAGTGGCCTACGTCTTGTCCAAACCAATGGTCAATTCTTAGTCACTATCTTTCTCAAATATCAGGAATATTTGACCCAAGTTATCCTTCATTTGACTTTCAAGGTATGTCTTGTCCTGGTTTTTCTCCTATATTCTTGGCTTCCTAGGTCTTTTTCCAAACTCTAACTTTTTTTCCAATTCTAAATGTTGGAGGGCCCCTGGGCTCAGCTTTACGCTCTTTTCTTTTTCTACACCGATTTCCTAGGTGATTTTATCAAGCTTTTATCATGATATAGAATACTATCTATTTACCAATCCTTCCCTAATGTGTTTAAAACAATGAGAACTACAGAAAAACTATGATGAATGACCAATGCAGCTAGACAACAAGGCTAGCACACTGTATATCCCCAAAAGGGCAAAAAAACATTTTAACAGATAAAGGTCTGAAAATGTAGTGCTGATGCCAGGTGCTTCAGGAGAGGCGCCCGGACAGAGCTTTGCAGTGTATTTGAGGCACTGTCTCTGCACTGCTTTTGCATATCACTGCCCTCTGCTCTGCTGGTAATCTTATGGAAAATGCATCCAATTTCTATAAAACTACTTAGCATTGATCTTGCATCTGAGGAGTTTCAGAAACGTCAACATTCCAAAAATAAATGGTATGATGATTCTATTAAAGCTCAGTCTCCAGGCTTTGCTGTTCTTTGCCATTATTTTTAGAAATTTAATCTTCTTGTAATTTAAACCAAATGCCTATGAGCAGGTCTTAGCTTGCCCTTCATCGGGCTGGACAGTCCCCAATTTCATTCCCCAAAGCCAAATTAAGGTGGAACCAGTCAGGTTTGGGAGATGGCCTCACTATGACAGTATCCTTGAGGAACTGTCACAATCCTTTACCTCACTCACACTTGACCCACACATGGAGTATAAAACTCCTGAATCACCGTGATAGGCTTTGATTTTTCTTTCCATAGGAAGCCTTTCAAAAGAGGGAAATAAGACCAGTGTTTTGAAGTGAATAGAGAAGTCTTTACTTTTTAACCAATGTGAGTTCATTTTCCTCTTCAGATATCAATACCAATTTAAACACCTGTTTTTAAAGAAGGCATTGCTATTTTGCAAATCCATCCTTTGAATAGTTACTGCCTTCAAATTTAAGTATTTGAGGAAACACATTTGCAAAGCATTTCTTTTAACTGCTTCTCTTAGAAGCCTGTCCTTGGACTCACTCAATCACCAACAGTAAAACAAGTCATTTGAAGGGTTGATTTATTTGATACAGACATCCCTGAATACTTCTCAGCTCTGTCAATAACTCCATTTCCTCACTTCATCTTTTCACAACCAATTCTCTCAACATGGATTTCCTTTTTAATACTCAATTATCTTAACTTACTGGTAAATTACTCAGTTGAATCAAAACATCAGTTTGAGTAATCAAAAGGACAGAGGGCTCTTCACACAGTGTTGCTGACTCACATATTTCTGACTCACAGATGGATTACTGTTTTCTGTGCCACCTCAATAATGTGACATTACTTGGACAAATAAAAACCAGTACCTTAAATGGTCTAGCTGAGTTTATTGCATGTAGCTTCTCAATGTTATTAATGAGTCACTTAAATTATTCAATATTCTTCAATATGTTTTAAAAAATTATATTCTGAATCATGACCATTCTACTCTAGACAAGGAAGCCATAATATTCATTTCGTTTGCCATGCTGGTTTTACAATTTAGGAATTTTTTTTTTTTTTTTTTTTAGACAGATTCTCGCTCTGTCACCCAGGCTGGAGTGCAGTGGTGCAATCTCGGCTCACTGCAACCTCCGCCTCCTGGGTTCAAGCAATTCTCTGGCCCTCAGCCTCCTGAGTAGCACATGCCACTGTGCCCCGCTAATTTTTGTATTTTGAGTGGAAGCAGGGTTTCACCATGTTGGCCAGGCTGGTCTCAAACTCCTGACCTCGTGATCTGCCCTCCTTGGTTTCCCAAAGTGCTGGGATTACAGGCGTGAGCCACACTGCACCTGGTCAGGAACTATTTTAACATTGAATTGCAAGATGCTTCCGGTCATTTGTTATTTAACGTTAGTAGGAGCAACTTTTGTTCTTACAACAAAAATTGAATTTAGACGTAAGAATTTTCTGTTTTGTCTGTTTAAAGGCTAACGGTCTTTGTGATGCGCAAATTAAATCTCATTGCTATCTTGGAAAACAGAAATGATAACAGAAAATGTCACAAAACTTTCAAATTTGCCTTGGAATCCCTATGGTAGGATTATTATGTTTGCTTTGCATTCAAGGCAATTTTTAAATTTTTTGATTTTTTAAAGTTGTAAACACAAAGTATAATTTAACTCTCCTGTGTCAAAACCTCCAATACATCATCATTGCCAACAGAAGAAAGATCAAACTCTTCTGCCTGGCAGTCAAAATCCTAATGGTATGATTTGAACTCTACCTTCAAAGCTTATGTGCCACCATGGCTTATCTAACCTTTAATTGAGCTGGATCACACGCTCTCCTAGAGCTTTATTTACTCATTTCTGCTTATGTTCTTTGTACTCCAAGACTATCTCTCCATCTAGAATATCATTTTTGACCTTTCCACAAATTCAAGTCCATATGTGAGCAAGAGCCTAGGACAGGGGCTGCAAAAACCAGGAATTAGGGCAAATTAAGCAACTCTGTGGAAGTGACTGCTTAGAAACTTCCAAGCTTCCCTTTGTTGTCAGCCTCATTAGAAATACTCAGAGTGACTCCAGGAGTCCTATATAGAAGAAAATGATTGCCCTAGGAAAGATCTGTAATACTTGGTAGTAATTTAATGAAATGGATCAGGACGAGGCTTTGGCTTGAGGCAGACCTGAGTTTGAATAGAAGCTCTGTCATTTGCTAGCTAAAGGGCCTTGGATTTAACCTCTCTGAGATTTAGTTTCCTCGTGTATAAAATAGCAATAGAAGAGAGAGCTAAAAGCTTGCTGTGAGGATTAGATTAAATAATATGTATAAAGATTTAGAAGTTCAGCTCTGCAGGGTTTTTTTTTTAGCCACACGAGCACAGGATAATGTGGTAGAATGGAAATGACAGTATGGTTTATTTAGACAGAAGGCCCGAGATTCTATCATTACTGCCCCAGTCTCTGAAATGTAATTCCTCAAAATCTGTAGATATCACATAAGAGACCCAAAAGTTCTCATGTGCTGAGGTGTGGAGTAGGGATTTAGTGAAGAGTTATGAACCCCCATGTCTATGAAACAGTGGTGGCTGCCTTGTAACAGAGGCTCTGAGGGGGATGGCTCAAAGCCAGGAAGCTGAATAAGTTCATGGAAGATTGGTAACTCAAAACGAACAAAATTGTGGATGGCAAACACTGAAGTGGCTGCCTTAAAGGCTCACACAATCTTTATGTCCTGCTCTGCCTGAGGCTGAGAGTGTCCAAGTGGCATAGTTCTGGCCAATGAGATGCAGGTAGAAGCCTCTGGGGGGCCGGGCATGGTGGCTCACGCCTGTAATCCCAGCACTTTGGGAGGCCGAGGCGGGCGGATCACGAGGTCAGGAGATCAAGACCATCCTGGCTAACACGGTGAAACCCCATCTCTGCTAAAAATACAAAAAAAATTAGCCGGGCATGGTGGTGGGCGCCTGTAATCCTAGCTACTCAGGAGCCTGAGGCAGGAGAATGGCGTGAACCCAGGAGGCAGAGCTAGCAGTGAGCCAATATCGAGCCACTGCACTCCAGCCTGGGCGACAGAGCAAGACTCCATCTCAAAAAAAAGCCTCTGGGGAAGATGTTCCTTCCCCAATATTAGGTCAGACCTTATGAAATTGCCATTTTATAGGTTAAAAATAGCTGAAAAATAAGCAATTTCAGGCAGTGCAGACTATAGAAGACAGACTTTACAACATAGGAGAACTCTTTATCTTTTGCTTTTTACCCTTTCCTCGTTTTTTCTGCCTGAAATAGGGAACTCATAAAAAATCAGTAGCAATAGTATGGCTTTGAGGATAAGCACAAGGATGGTAGAAAAAGAAGATAAGAGGATTCCGAATCTTTGGTGACACACTGAGTCGTGTCAGGCCTTAGACTATCTACCCTTGAACTTCTTGTTGCATGAGACAAATAAAGCCCTGTTTAGTCACTATAGCATGTTTTTTTTTTTTTTTTTAACGGAGTCTTGCTCTGTCGCCCAGGCTGGAGTGCAGTGGCGCGATCTCAGCTCAGCTCACTGCAAGCTCCGCCTCCCGGGTTCATGCCATTCTCCTGCCTCAGCCTCCTGAATAGCTGGGACTACAGGCGCCCACCACCATGTCTGGCTAATTTTTTGTATTTTTAGTAGAGATGGGGTTTCACTGTGTTAGCCAGGATGGTCTTGATCTCCTGACCTCGTGATCCGCCCGCCTTGGCCTCCCAAAGTTGCATGATTTCTTATATTGCAGCTAGAGACAACCCTAATGCATGTCATGGGGCTGAGTCAGCAGGCAGAGGACCAATGGATCTTTACTGATAGAAGAATTGACTCCAGAGAAACTGGCTTCAGAGAGTATAGTGTCTCTCCGAATGAGCCGGGGTAAAGGAAGGGAAGGGAAATAGTGCCAGGAGAGATTTAATTTTGAACAGGTGGTCAGGTTAACAAGACAGATGTCTGGGGGAATGTCTAGGATATTTGGGTGTCAGGCTAAGGAAACAGCAAGTGCAAAAGCAAGAGCATGCCTAGTGTATTTGAATAACAGCAAGTAGGCCAGTGTGGCTGGAGCAAAGTGAGTGAGGGGGTGAGTAGCAGGAAATGAGAGTGGGGTACCATGAAGCCATTTCATACAAAGCTTTCATAAAGCATGTGTGAGAAAGACAAGGACTGATGATGATTACAGGGTGTTATACCTGGGCAATCAAAAGGCCCGAGATGTCCTCAACTAAGATGAGGAAGTCAGCAGAAGATTTGGGTTTGGGGTAGAGATCAGATCATGTCAAGTTTGAAATGACAGACATCAAAGAAGAGATATGAAATAGGCATATCCATAAAAATGTGGATTTCAGTGTAGAGCTAACCATTTCAGCTTCTTAGAAATGCTACCTATGTTGGTAAGTCAGGGGTAGTCCATGCAGGTATGTACATTTTCTTTGAAAAGTGAAAAAATAAATCTGTGTTTGTATCAATCTGTTCTCAGTCTCCTGTAGAGTGATATTTAGCTGGGAGAGCTGATGTTAGGAATGTGGGAGGGCTAGGTGAAGTAATATATACAAAAGGCATATCTCAGAGTAGATGTTCAATAAATAATCCCTAATATATATTGTATATTTATATTTTTCTGGACACTTTGTTTAGCACTTTGCATATATCATTATTTAATCTTCACAATCAATTTATGAGGTACATAATATTTTAACCTGATTATATAGATAGGGATCCTGAGGTCTAGATAACTTAAGAATTTTGCTCAAGGTCACAGAGCTGTTAAGCATCAAAAACTGGATTCAAGCAAAGATCTTTTTACTCCTGAACCAGTGTTCTTAACCTATGGTCTGTACCAAAGACACAAACTTAGAAGCCCTTAGGGGTAATGTAAATGGATGCAGTGACTCATATATCCAGTGCCTACACAACTTTACACATGGATGTCTCGTATGCATCTTAGACGCCACATGGCCGAAACAGAATTATTTCTTTTCCCAACTAAGTCTGTTGCTCATTCAGTCCTTCCCTTCTCAATCAATGACACTCTTGTCTAGCCTGTTGCTCAAGCCCAAAATCTGGAATTGTCCTTGATTCCTCTCTTTCCTTCACGAGATGCATTTAATACATCAGCAAGTCCTGTTGGCTCTATTTCCAATGTCTGTCCTATCCTTGTAATTCTGTTCACTTTAATAGTTCCAAACCTCACTCAAGCTATCATTATCTGTTATGAGGATTTTTTTCAACAGTCATTGATCTTCTTGTTTCCATTCTTTGATTCTATAAACTATTTTACCCACAGTAATCAGAGTAAACTTTAAAAACTATAAACTAGATCATGCTTTAAAATCTTCCATAGCTGTCCATCACATTTAAAATAAAATCCAAAATCCTTACGATAGCCTATAAGAATTTCCACAATCTGCTCTCTGCTTTCCGATCTCATTTTATACAATTTTCCTTCTTGCTTCTATTTTGCACTGACTGTTCTTTTCTTGCAACAAACCAAACTTTCCTTGCCACAGGCTCTTTGACCTTGCTGTTGGCTCTGCTTAGCATCCTCTCCCTGATTCTTCACAAAGTGGCTCCTTCATATTATTGATTCCTCAGAGCAAATGCCAGCTCCTCAGGAGGGTTTTCTGGTCTAGTCAATCTATAGTTACACCTCCTTCTGCACACTTTTCACACCACATCATCTTATTCTATTAACTTAATTGCATTTCTCATTATTTGGAATGTTCTTGTTTGTTTATTTGTTGCTTCATTTTTAATCAGTATCTCTCCATTAAATGCAGGCTTCATGAGATTTGGGACCTTGCTATCTTGTTCCTGCAATATCTCTAGAGCCTAGTACAGTGCCTGACCTGTAGAAGACCCTCAACAAAGATATTTTAAATAAAACTGGTCAGACAAGAGATAGAAAGATAATAAAAAGTGATTGTTGGGGTCTTGGTGAACTGAATGCATGCTCAGCTTTAAAAAATTAAGTTAAAAAAATTAAAAGCATTTTGCTAGACAAATCAAAAGGTCTGTTGGAATTTCTAATTCCTGCACTGCACAACTTCACTTCCTGACCCTCACACCAATTCCACAAGGCTTAGGACCTGAAGATACAGAAGCAGAATGACAATGAATTTCAGTATGCACATAAGCAAGTGTTTGCCCTAGGTCTGTAGTGTTTGCACCAACAGAAGAAATAATCCAATGAGCTAGGCTTTCTTTAAGACAAACATGACACATACAATGAATGTGTTACTTCTCCCAAGGGGGAATTTATTGATGAGTTACTAATCCATTAAGCAAATAAACAAAAATAAGAAATTGGAAATGCCAATAACCAGGAAAACAAAATAAAACAGGAGACTCAAAGAACAGTATAATTTACAAAGTTAAACACAGGGTGATTTTAAAAAGATTTCACAGCTGGATTAAACATCAAATATCCCTGCCCTGGTTACTGGGCCCAGGTATTCAGTTTAGAATTTCTAGAGCCCAAATCTAGTTGAATTCTGGCTGGAACTGTGCATAAGACGTCTTGCTCTAGAGCCCATCAGGAGAAATGCCATGGGAGCTGGTATACCTGTGCCTAGGGAGAAACAGACCTTCATTGAATTCCATTCAAATCTACTTAATGAAGGTCAAGGAGCTCATATCTCTCAAAGACTCCCATTATAAAATATGTGGAAAAATATCTGAGTTCACTTCAAAAACGCAGGAATTCTTAGAAATATTATCGACTGAGAAGAGTAAAATGAGGATTGATATTGTGCCATGAGTTTTGGCAAAAGTGAGAATATTGAGAATGTAGTTTCCATTTGGGCGTAGCAGACCCAAGCCTGGCTGAAGTGAGTTGAGGTGAGAACGGGGGGTGAGAAAATAAAAACAACTTTTAAAAGAGCTTGACTGTGAAGCAGAGGCCAGACATGACACAGTAACTGGAGGAGGTTGCAGAGCCCATGTAGGCTTCTTTAATGTCATGTTTTTATGTTTGAGAGAGAGAGAGAAATTGATGATCAAGGTGAGGGAGGAGACAGATGCAGGTGCAAAGTCCTCGAGGAGCCAAGGTGAAGTGGTGTCCAGAGTACAGTGGAAATGCTGGATATGGTTCATGAATTGTGTCCAAAGAAAAGGCAGAACACATTGGTAGATTCGGTGACAGATAAATTAGCTCTCTTGTGATTTCTTCTATTTTCTCAGTAAGAATGCGACAGACGGGCATAGTTTTGGAGGTTTAAGTAGAGATGAGATGACATAAAATAGTTGTTCTGGAGACTAAGAGAGTGACTTGACCAGAATTTGCAATAAAATTGCAGAGTAACATTGACAGCTCATCTGAGATTTGTGGTCATTAGTTTAGAATGAGCTCGAGTTGTTTGCTTGACTATTATTATTATTATTATTTTTGAGGCAGAGTCTTGATCTGCTGCCAGGATGGAGTGCAATGGCACAATCTCGGCTCACTGCAACCTCTGCCTCCCAAGCTCAAGTAATTCTCCTGCCTCAGCCTCCTGAGTAGCTGGGATTACAGGCACACGCCACAGTGCCCACGTAAGTTTTTTAGTTTTAGTAGAGACGGGGTTTCACTATGTTGCCCAGGCTGGTCTTGAACTCCTGACCTCAGATGATCCACCTGCCTCGGCCTCCCAAAGTTCTGGGATTACACGTGTGAGCCACTGTGCCCGGCTGCTTGACTATTTTTCTCCAGCCATTTTTTGCTGCACTTGAGCCAATTCTGGGTAGGCAAGAATTGATCTGACCAGCTCCGAAATTTTGCCCAGAATTTTGGTGGGCACCTAAGTGTGTTTAGGAAGGAGTAATTTTAATGACAAATACTTACATTTAAGCTTGGCAAAGAAAGAAGTGGAGAATGTGTGTGAGAGGGGTTGAGGGGAATGGGGAGCAGCGAGAAGTGGCAGAGTCTATGAGCTGGAAGTCGTAATGGAGTAGAAATCTAAGCAGTGGAAAGAGATGCGCTGGAAAGATGGGAAGTAAGAGTCAGGCATCAAGTGGAAATGCTTGACATCAAGATTTTGGAGACAGTTGAGTTACTGGTAAGCTAAAAGGTGTAAGGTAAACATGGGAGAGGAGATGGCTTAGTTGATGTGGAAGAAAAGGTTATTCAAAATGATAGCAAATAACTATAAGACCAGGGTATTGAATGCATCATCTACATGCACGTAGAAGTTATCACAAATGATGCCACCATTTGTCACGGAGACAAAGAGTGAGTCAGATGCTGCAATATTCAGTGAATTCGAGGGTGTGATCCAGAAATCTGTGGCTGACTACATCAAAGAAGGGTAGCAGGTGTATAGTCTGATGGCATGCACTTCAAAAAAGCAAGGTTTTTGAGAAAGGTAGGGAATAAAATGATCTCTAAGTGGAGGGCCCTCCTCTTTCTCTATGCACTGCAGTGCATTGAATGTGGGGCTGGGGGGGAATGAAAAAAGAACACTGCAAGTGTAGCTCAGAGGCCAAGGGAGAGCCAGGTGTCAGTTGGAGCAAGGAAAGGGAACAATCAGCTAGGAGTCTAGGGATGGAGGAAATCTCCATGATTTCCAGATTCAGAATTTCAGCAGCACTGTGGAAAGGTTAGGGAAGATTCATTTATCTTAGGAAATGTGTCAAGCCTTATGGAGCAAAATACTAAAATGATTATGGGAGGCTTGGACTACTGAGGATAACTGAGGGAAAATTGAATATGAAGCAAGTTGGAGCTAGTTCTGATGGCCTCTCAGGGAAACTGAGTAATCAACCTAAATACAGCCTTTTCCTTAAGGTCCTGTAGGCTGTTTGTTGTGGTGGGCAGGGAGTTCAGACATCACCTCCTTGAGGGTGTTCTGTCTGAGAATCTTATCTGACATGACACTAGCCATCCTTCTCTATCTCGTTTTCCTGTGCATTTTTCTTCACCACATGCATCACTACCTGAAACTATATTATTTATGTATTCATTTATTTGTGCCTCTAAAATGTGTTTCAGGAAAGAAAGAAACCTTGTCGGTTTTTGCTTATTGCTGAATTTCTATGATCTGGAACACACCTGGCACACATTGTGTGAACACTCAATGGATATACACTAGAGTTAACGTTTCGTTAAAAAATAATAATGAGGAACTATCATATTTGAAGTATTCTGAGTTCACAAGCAGAAAAACAAAACTATTTAAATTATCTTTTATTATTCATTTACTTTATTCTTCTTTATAAAAAATAATGAAAAGCCATTAAGATGCCAATTTTTCTTTTCCCAAGGAGAAAGGCTTTTACTAATAAGTGACTGCAAATCTTTGTGATGGAGAGAGGGCTAGAGGAACAACTCACATTTCTTGAGCGTCTATTCTTATGTCAGGAACTAAACTGGGAGCATATTTTTACATATATCATATCATTCTTACAACAATTCACAAGATAGGTTTTATAATATTATTCACATTGAACAATGAGGAAACGAATGATCAGAGAGGTTGAATAATTTGCTCAAGATGATACAGCTAGTCAGCATAATTGTTAACATTTGGATGAAGTCCTAACTGAGTTTAAAACTTTTATCTTCTCCTTTAGACCATAAGATTCTACAAAAAGCAATGGGAAATGAACAACTGGAGGCTGCATGGGTGCTCTGAACGCTAGGCCTCAGGAAGATAGTAGAAAGGAATCAACTTTTACTAGGTGCTTATTATTTACCAAACCCTTTTGTTAGAAAATGCACACACATTACCTCATTTAATCCTCACAACAATACCAAGAATTAAATATTGTCATTAAAGGCAAGCAACCTTAGTTCAGAAAGAGATATTACATTTACCCTTGAACTAGTGTAGCCATGTGATTAAGTCCTGGCCAATGAAATATAAGCAGAAGTTGTTGGGAAGAAACTCTAAGATGTTTTAGGAAGACCACGTACAGCGAGAGAAAACCCTCATTTGCCTTTCTGCTTTTACTCCTTACTCCAATCTGTAACATCTGGCCAGATGGCTGGCCCTCCAGCCGTCATGATAACTTCTAAAAAGACTTGGAAATTGGAAGCCAGAGCTAATATGGTAGAACAAAAAGACAGAGGAGGCTGGGTTACTGATGACCCAGCCACACCAGACCTGGCTTTCCTTGGCTTTTATGTGGGATAATAGACCTTTTTCTGTTTAAACAACTGTTATTTTAGGATTTCCAGCATATTCAGCCAAAACTCATCCTAATTAATACAGACATGGAGATAAAAAAAAAAAGTCAATACACTCAGTACCTGAAGTTCATCTTTTCAAATTAATTAAGGGAAGAGGATTCAATAAGCTTTCAATAATATTAGCCAAAGGGAACAAAGAAAGATACAAGGAGTGATGACAGAGGGTGGGAGGGCCAGAGGGATAAAAGGAGAAAATATTTTGGAACTGAAGTTCCTCAATGATCTTATCTGTTTGTGTATCAAAGCCCCAAAGAATAGGAAAGAAAGCAAAGAAAAACATAAAATATATAATGAGGACACTTGGTTTTGAATATTATTCTGTCACTGAATTACTATGTGATTTGGGAGAATTTACCTGATATGTTTAATCCTAAATTACCTAATCTATAACACAGTTTTAATACTGCCTGTATATTTCAGAGTGTTGCTGCAAAGGTTAAGTTGAATATGTTTTACATTTTTTATAAAAAGTAAAGTACCATGGATTTATTTTTTTGGTTGCTGGGCATTCAATTCCCATTTTTAACAATATCTCTCTATGCCCTTGAGCAATTGTCTTTCCTATTACATAAAGTCTGCTGACATAATAAATAATCAGGGGGTCTACACAACCTAAACAAGGGGCTTGCATGTGATCCGAGGTAGGTCAAACAAGATGCCCTATCTGTGGAATTTAAATCCCAACTAAAGGGCAAAGAGGCTAGAAATGGCTGGAATTTCTCTTTATCCTAGGAGGGTGGCCACTTTCCAATGGTTTTGGTTAGGAAGCCTCTCTGAAGGGTCCTGCTTTTTCTCTCTAGGGCTGCCTTGGTTCTTGCCTATTTCTAGGGCTGGCTCTCCAGGTTTGCAATGATTGTAGGTGCTCCCAAAATCTTTTCAATAAATTCTCCTTTGTTTAAGTTTATCAAAGATAATTTATGTGGTATGAAATAAAAAATCCTAACTGAAATATTAATATATGTTATATAAATATTGTTATTGCTACTGCTACTTTTAATAGCAGTAAAAATAATATGTCTGTTTACTACTTTAGACAGAAATAGCCAAGTCTTGATTGGACAAATAAATGAAGATATCAACTTTATGTCATTCCTTGGAGCCCTGGCAACATTTTCAACTTCTCTTGTTCAAGAGACTATCAATTCCAATCAATGTTATTACCCATCTCCAGAAAGCTCTCAGCAACAGTTTTAAGGCACCTTTCTAAAGCTTGAAATTTGCCAAATCAGTCACAGTAAATCCAAGTCTATGCTATTAAAACATAGCAGCAGAGGGAAAAACGTTTAAGAATGTGAGCAAGGAAGGATAAATCACAGATAAAAAGATAAATTAGCAACCTAAAAGAGCAATGACTTAAAAAGGGAGGAGCCATTCTAATTTATAATGCAAAAGGCTCCACTGTCATCATCCATCTCAGCTTGCAAGCAGCATACAAGG